>NC_000003.12:64858484-65161515 GCF_000001405.40 Homo sapiens | reverse complement strand
AAAAGAAATGAAGAAATAAGAACACTTGCAAACAAACAAATAAACAAATAAAACCAACCAACCAAACCAACAAAAAACCTGTCAAAATCAACTTTTGAAGAACTCTAGAAATAACTAAAGGCTTACAACAATCTGAGGAGTGTTTATTTAAGAAAAATAATTGAAACTTTGTAAGAACAATTAGATTTATAGCACTTTAAAATTTATAATTCTTTCCTCTTCCCCAGCCATAGTAGCCTTGAAAACCATCAGGATTACAGTTATGATTGCTGTGAAAACCAGTAGCCTATCAGCCACTGGAAGGGAAAAAATAGGTTTGGAGTTTTCCTAAAGCCTGATCCCCAGAGAATTTCCACTATTTGGCTTGTCTGAAAGCTTGCTGAAAAGCTCCATTCTCAGGGCTTGTGTTTATTTGACTTGATTCAGAACTCACTCTGTATGAATAGTGTTATCTTCAAGATACTTGTTGAAAACAATTGGCAGCAAATGTTTAATATTACAGCTGTCTGAGGTGCCATTACCAGTTGGGGCTAACGAGAGGTTGACCAAGAAACTTAAATGGAAAAACTGAGGAATGAGACATTTGCAGGGGTCTTTGAAGGGCTCTGACATATTCCTGGGACTCTAAAAAGCCACAGAAATTCTATATAAAAAATCATAGTGAATCCACAAAAGAATTATTGGAGTTAATAAAGAAGTTCAGTAAAGTTGCAGGACACAAGATCAATACACAAAACTCAGTTATATACACCAGCAATGGACAAATTGAAAATGAAATCAAGAAAGAAATTCTCTCTACAATAGCACAAAAAGGAATAAAATACTTAGGAGGAATAAATTTCACAAAAGAATTGTGAGATTTGGCACTGAAAACTAAAAACCATTTCAGTGAAGTTAAGAAATACCTAAATAAGTGGGAAGACATTCCATGTTTATAGATTGTAAGAATTAATACTGTTAAAATGGCAATACTCCCCAAATTGGTCTACATATTCAATGCAGTCTCTTTCAAATCCAAGCTGCCCTTCTTTGCATAAATGGAAAAGCAAATCCTGAAGTTCATGTGGAAATGCAAGGGGCCCAGAATAACCAAACCAATCTTGAAAAAGCAGAATGAAGTTGTAGGCTTTGCACTTTCTGATTTCGAATCTTCCTATGAATTTATATTAATCGAGATGATATAGTACTGCCATAAAGATAGACAAACAAGACAAGTACATGAATAATGTAGAATTAAAAGCCTAGGAAAAAACCCTAGCATTTATAATTAATTGATTTTTGCCAAGAGTGCCAATTTAATAAGAAAAGCAGTCTTTTCATCAAATGATGCTGAGACAACTGGATACCCACATGCAATAGAATGAAGTTGTTCTCCCTACTTCACATGATATACAAAAATTAATTTGCAACAGATCATAAATTTAAATGTAAGAACCAAAATTAATTTTTTGTGACATTGGATTAGATATGGTTTCTTAGAAATAACACCAATGGCATAAGCAACAGAAAAAGAAATTGGATGCCATCAAAATTAAAAACTTTTATGCTTCAAAGGACACCATCAATAAAATTAAAAGACAACCCAGATAATGGAGAATATATTTTCAAATCACATATGTGATAAGGGTCTAGTATCTAGAATATTTAAAGAACTTTTTACAACTCAACAATAAAAAGAAACATCTAATTTAAAAATGGAAAAAGGATTTGAATAGATCTTCCTCCAAAAACGATATATAAATAGCCAATAAGCACATTAAAAGATGTTCCACATCATTATTCATTAGGGAAATGTACGTCAATGCCACATGAGATATCATTTCACATTTATTAGGATGGCTATATCAAAAAGACAAAAATAACAAGTGTTGTGAGGATGTGGAGAAATTGGAACTCTCATACATTGCTGGTGGGAATGCAAAATGGTACAACCATTTTGAGGACAGTTTGGAAGTTCCTCACAAATTCAAGATAGAGGTACCATATGACCCAGAAATTCCAACTTTAGGTATAGACCCTAAAGAATTAAAAACATATGTTCACATAAAAACTTTTGCATGAATGTTCATAGAATTAATAACAGCCAAAAGGTGGAAACAACACAAATGTCCCTCAATTGATGAATGGATACACAAAATATGGTATGAACATACAATAGTATTACTTAGCCAAACAAAGAAGTAAATACTTCTATCTTCTACAACATGGATGAACCTTGAATAAGGGAAAGGAGTCCTTCATAAAAGGCTGCATATTGTAGCATTCCATTTATATGAATTGTCCAGAATCGGCTAATTTATAGAGACAGAGATGGGTTAGTTGTTGCTAGGGGCTGGATGAAGGAGGAGGTGGGGAATGGCTGCTAACAGGCATGGGGATTCTTTTTGGGATAATGACAATATTCTGGAATTAGATAGTGGTGATGTTGCACACCTTTGTGAATATGCTGAAAACACAGAATTGTATACTTTAACAAGATGGATTTTATGGTATGTGCATTATATCTCAACAAAGCCGTTATTAAATGAAAAAAAAAAAAAAAAGATGAAGGCATTCCCCCAGCTGTTCTCAATTGCTGTTCTCAGGACTTTGTGGATGAATGACTCAGCAGAACTCACTACTTTTTTGTTTTATGTTATTTTATTTATTTGTTTATTTATTTATTTTGAGGCAGAGTCTCGCTCTGTCGCCCAGGCTGGAGTGCAGTGGCACGATCTCAGCTCCCTGCAGCCTTGGCCTCCTGGGTTCAAGCTATTATCCTGCCTCAGACTCCTGAGTAGCTGAGATTACAGGCACCCGCCACCACACCTGGCTAATTTTTGTATTTTTAGTAGAGACAGGGTTTCGCCATGTTGGCCAGGCTGGTCTGGAATTTTTGACCTCAGATGATCCGCCTGTCTTGGCCCCCCAAAGTGCTGGGATTACAGGCGTGAGCCACTGCACCTGGCCATTTCTTTTATTTTTTAAAAAGCAAGACTCTTTTGCCACACAGAAAACATATATTAAACAAAATATATTAATCACATATCACTGTTATAATCTAGATAAATAAATAGACTTCTTCACAGACACCATATGGAGATGGGATTCACCTACAAATATAGACAAATACTGTGGTAATTTCACTTTGAGCTTGGGTTGGCAGAGAAAAAAAGAAGAAGTTAGGGAGAATAATTCAGGCCTGATGATTCTCCTCTTGATCAACAACAAAAAGCCTGTCTTAGATTCTTAACCATCTAGCCTGGTTCTCTCTACTGATTATCTACAACAGATAATAGTTTGTCTGCCAAGTACTGGTAATTATTTTAGATTGTGAGATTTCACTGTGATTAAGCGAGTTAAAATCTGTCTCCCTGGCATCCTAAATAAATCCTATACCTCTCAGAGTTTAAGCAATCTTTTTTTCTTAAGATGGAGAATGGTTAAAAAGAGATTGATCTCTCCTTGTAAAAAACAACAACCTACCCCCCGCCCCCACCGCCACCACCAAACACACACACACAAACCCCTCTGACTCTTCTAGCTAATGTCACAATAAAAGATGACAATCAACAAAAGATTGAGCCTTTTGGCAATGGAGATGGCTTTAAACCTGAACAATTCTGTTGAGGTTTTTGTTGGTCTAGTCTGTTCCTTTCCAGGTAAACATCTTTGTTTATTTAATGCACACATTTTATTCTAACATTCTAATGCTAATGTTTTATTTCTATCCCCCTGGACCTAAGAATACATTATGAAAAGATAGTATCCTGCCAAGATTTCTTTTTTTTTTTTTTTTTGAGATGGAGTCTTGCTCTGTCACCAGGCCGGAGTGCAGTGGTGTGATCTCGGCTCATTGCAACCTCCACCTCCTGGGTTCAAGCGGTTGTCCTGCCTCAGCCTCCCAAGTAGCTGGGACTACAGGTGTATATCACCACGCCCAGCTAATTTTTGTATTTTCATCACTGAAAAGGAGGCACACAAGAAATTTCAAGTTGGAGTTTCATGATTTTTGTTTTTAGTGTGTTCATAGGCATAAATATTTATGTTTTGCTCTGCATTTACTAACTTAAATCTTGCATGCTTATATAATCTTGATATAACCAAGGTGGTACACCTGAGGAAATGTAATTGTAAAATTGGATTGTCATTTAAATGTTCCATGGAAGCAAACTAAGGATATTATTCATCTTATGGATTGACAAGTTATTTCGGGGAGAGGTTGAAACATAGATCAAGCAAAACTCTTCCCCTTGGTGAACCTCTTTTGGCCACTTGACAATTTTTCTACTTTGGACATATTTATCATAGGTTTGTAACAAGAAGGCAAAGAGGAAGGCTTTGAACTGTCATCTGCAAACTGAATTACCTGATGTCATTTATACATCTTATGCAATCTGGGGGCAGAACTTGTTTATTTAGATCTGATTTATACTGTGGAATTCCCATGTGGGTATGAATATGGTAATATTGAAGGGTAATTTAGGTTTTCTGTTGCCATTTCCTAGTGACTAGTTTTGCAAAAGAATGCATATAAATTAGAAATTAGAAGGAACCATGTCTTTAGGATTTTGTACTTATATTAGTGATGGAAGCAGCCTGGCATTGTTAAAAAACAATTGAAGGATCTGAAAATGTTTCCAAATAAAGTGGAAAGGTATTGTCCCAGTCCTTCTCAGTGACATGACTCCTAAAAGAATAAATTAGTAGGAAGTTGGGACTGGCTTAATTTTGGAAGAGTTACATCCAAAATGGAAGTGAGTTTTTAGGTCTTGGACAGAATCTACTTAATCTCTGAAAGTTTTGGGAATTAAATCCAGAAATTTCAGGGAAATAGACCCTCAGCATGCTAGCATGCATGGCAGCACCCTCATGTCCCATGCATGGTGGACATCATGAATGAAACAGGACAAACTTTCATGCTGAACCCTAAGACAAAGTATGATAGCCAGCCTCCAAGATCTTCCCCAATGATCCTAGCCTCTCTCGTGTATCCATACCCTTGTATGGTTCCATCCCATATTGTATGAGGCTGGCCTGTTTGACCAATAGAGTCCTGCAGAAATGACTGTGTGTGACTTCCAAGGCTAAGTCATAAAAGATATCATGACTACTGCCTTGCTCTTGTGGATCGTGTCCTCTGGGGGAAGCCAGTTGCCATGTCAGGAAGACCCTTAAGCAACCCTGTGGAGAAACTCACATGGTAAGGCCAACTGCTAACAGCCAATACCAACTTACCAGTCACCTGAGTGAACCATCTTGGAAGTAGATCTGTCAGCCCTAATCATGCCTTTAACTGATGGCAACCTCATGAGGGTCCTAGAACCAGAGCCTCTCAGCCAAGCTTCTCCTAATTTCCTGACCTATAGAAACTACAAGAGGTTATAAATGTATATTGTTTTAAGCTGCTAAATTTGAAGATAATTTGTTACATTGCAATAGATATCTAATGCGTAGTGTTTGAAAGGTGATTCCCGGAAGTTTAAATGAGTGAGGAAAATGAGACAGGGAAGACAGAAGTCAATATGTTGATGAATGAGTTACTGCTATAGACAAATGGGTTCAATCCCACTGGGGATCCTGCGATCCTTGTATAGGATGCACCTGAGAACAATGCCCATGAAGGAAGGGGACGCTTGCTTATTTTCCCAGTGATTCCCATTTCTTCACTGGATAAAGTTTTCCTCTGGAAGCATTAAATCCTTAGTACTTGCAGGCTGCCTTGCCCTTGGGTTTCCAAGGAATCAGAAAATCCTTAGCCAGAAGAGCAGAGAGTTGCACGTGGTGGAAACAGGAAGCTACCCTAAGGCAAAAGAACTGTCCACAGAGCCCAGAATTGAGCTCAGGGGTGAGTTGGACTTAGTGAAGGATGGGTTGGATGATGGTGGCACTTGGGTAATGCCTGCCACATAGCTTCGTAGACTTTGTCATTGCCACACTTTGAGAAGGCACTCCCAATCAATTAGAGTTAGGGTTTGAGATAATGTTCATTTGTCTTCTTCAGTTGATAATGTACTCCCCACTCTTTTTTCTGGCCCCTCCACTTAACACCACTTTCCACCTGGTGAATTCTCGTTTAATTCACAAAGGTCAAAGGATACCCACTCCATGAACCTTTCCTAATTATGCCTCCTTAGCCTGGCTAAGTTAGCTTCCCTTTCTTCTGATTCTCTGTTTTCAATAGTTACATGGATTGTCACTGTTTCTTGATGTGTTTGTCTCCCACCTGTGGGTGAGCTTTTGCTCATCTTTGTATTCTGAATGTCTGGTATGTATTAGGCCCTCAAAAAATGTCAGCTGCTGGTCATAGGTGGAAGCTAAGAAAAGCTGATCTCATAGAAGCAAAAAGTAGAACAGAGAATACTGGAGGCTGGGAAGGGTAGGGGGAAGGGAGGGAAAGGGAGCCATTTGCTAAAGTGGCAAAATGACAGCTAGCTAGGAGGAATTAGTTCTAGTGTTCTATAGCACTGTAGGATGACTAGAGTTAACAATAATATATAGTTTCAAATAGCTGGAAGGAGGATATTGAATGTTCCTAACACAAAGAAATGATAAATATTAAAGATGATGGATATGCTAATTACCCTGTTATGATCACTACACATTATATGAATTGAAACACTATGTATCCCATAAATTTGTATAATTATTATATGTCAATTAAACAGAGGAAAAAACTTAAGAAAGAAAAAAATGTGAGCTGAAAGCAAAACTAGAGGAGTCGGGGAAATGTCTAAACCGCAGTGTTCTACAATATTCTCTCGGTTTATTTTCCCTACAGAGGTACTCATAGATGTTTTATTATGGTTAAAAGAAAACTATTTACGTCCTTCAGGATTACCGGGATTTCTCTGTATAGCAGTAAGCCAATTGAGAATGAAGATTTGCCAAACTGACCAGGTTTGAGAAGATGTAATGTTAAGCCTCAGGCCATCCAATACCTGAATTAACTTACCATATGTACTTTTCAATCTGTTCTATCTTATCTTGGTAGAGAAACTTTTGCACTTAAAAAAAAAAAAAAAGATTCTCCAAGGCAAAGGCACGAAATGGATATGTTGCCATGTTAACTGTGGTGCATGAGATTTGGTTGCTATTAAAGTTCGAAGAATGAGGTTTACATCTGAAGGGAAAAAGTGACCAGCAGCATTTCAGAGCTGGCATTGTTTCTAAAAGTGCCCAGGGAACAATCCCATCCCCAAACATTAACAGATGTCATTCTCTTGTCCTGGATTGACCCGGGGCCCTTACCCATGGTTCACTTGTGATTTAACCAGCGTGGATTAAGTTATCTTTCCCTTCAGGGCAGGACAAGCAGAGAGAAGTTTCATTTTGGCTTATTTTGTTTTGTTTTTACCCCCTCTGAGCCATTCCATGGCTTATGTTGGGTGCATTGAACAGTTGCTGGACCCGGAGAATCCCTTGTTCTCAGATGCCAAGAGTTAAATGGATTCAGTGCATTGTCCAGGGGGCGTTATGAAAGGTGCTAACAGATGCGGATTTCAGCTTTGTCATTAAAATGCTTCTCAAACGCCACCTGATGTCCCTGGGTTAGAGGTTTTCTTTCAGCCTTTTCTCATTACATTTTAGCTCTGTTTTGTGAACTAAACCTTTGAAGAAACTTGAGAGCTATTTTGGAAACCCAAGAATTAGAAAACATGAAATGTCTATAGCTCTGAAATATGCATGTGACCTTATTCCCCATGCCTGTGGTGCAGGGAAGGCAAAAGCAGATGCTAAGTGTTTTTCTGTGCTCTGAAAATATCATATTCCTTAAAAAATTTGCCATTAATTATATTATAATGATCTGTACACAATAGTTTCCACTGCGGTCTTTGTAGAAAATCCTTAAAATTGGGTGCTAAAAAGATTCATACCATGTTTGGATCATAATAATGTGTGGAACTTTTGAATGCTTTTATTTTTCCTAAAGGTGTACATAATAAATCTAATAATAAGCACCCAAATGCTCTTTCTTCTTTTTTTTGAGACGGAGTCTCGCTCTGTCGCCCAGGCTGGAGTGCAGTGGCGTGATCTCGGCTCACTGCAAGCTCCGCCTCCCGGGTTCACGCCATTCTCCTGCCTCAGCCTCCCGAGTAGTTGGGACTACAGGCACATGCCACCACGCCCGGCTAATTTTTTGTATTTTGTTTAGTAGAGATGGGGTTTCACCATGTTAGCCAGGATGGTCTCGATCTCCTGACCTTGTGATCCGCCTGCCTCAGCCTCCCAAATTTCTTTCTTCTTATAGTTACCTGTAGTAAAGACAAAGACTAAATGCCAGTATCAGGCTCAGGATTTACATTATTAGGAGTGGTTTGGGACCCATCTAACTGCAAGTAAAATAGAAATCTTTTAATTCAGCTGATTTCATTTCACTTCAGCTCTAGTGGCACAATCGAGTTTTGCTGGGGTCTGATTCAATTAGGATTGTAAGCAATTTCTGGCTATTCACAGCAGAAAAGCAGTGTCATGTGCATCTCTGAGGATGCCCTTTACACAAATAATCCCGCTTTCACCAATTAGGAAATGACCTATTATAGGCCTGAAATATCAAGGATATGTCTAGTATTTGTTGGCCAAGCATCCCATCTCCTTTCCTTGGAGAACCACCCATTTCCCACTCCCACCCTCCTCACTACCCTAAGCCCTAGATGGGGATAATTCTATTTTGAGGGTCCAGGGGTGCGTTCAAGACTCAGGCCAAGCCAATTCAGGATCAATTTTCCCTGATTGCAGTGATTTGGTTCAGGGATGGGCACCTGTATTAAATTAGGCCCATCAAGAGCTTTCCGAGGAGTTTTGCTGGAATTATCAGACAAGAGTTCCACTTGTCTTCAGACTGAGATTTTAAGAAACTTTTCTATTCAGAATTGTAAGTGGCCACTTTTGGCACCAAATGGAGAGAACCCACCATCAAAATTAAGAAATCCAGAGGAGAGAGGAGCCAAGGAAAGGTGAGAGAGTTATTTCGAGGAACTGACTTTAGCCTTCCCTATTATATGAGCCAATAAGTCCTCCTTTCGTTGTTGTTTTGGCTCTAGAAGTTGGAATCCAAACTAATATACAGAACTACCTTGGAGATCCTTGGCAGGCTGACTGGAGTGTGACCTCCTGTAGATGTGACACGGTCCTGGGAGGTGAGGCGGGGGTTTCCACAAAGACATGACCTGCTCTGGCTGTCATTCCATTTTTTTGACTTGAATACCCTAATTTTAGGCAGTTGTGTTTTTGTTTGTTTGTTTTCGTTTTTGCCCATTTTTGGGGGGTGGAGGAAGCCAGAATGAATGCAGGACAGGTACATGAGTTCTCATCCTTGCTCTGCACTAACCCGTGACCTTGTGCAAATCCTTTCCAGTGCCACAGCCACTGGCTTCCCCTCTGTGGATTGCAGTTTCTTTGATGTTGAACCTATGTTGGTAAAGTTTAAACTCTTCTGAGGCACCCTCGCATTTCTGGGAGGAATTCACCTTAGGAAATAGAGATCAAGTCATCCCAATTCCGGCTCTTTACCACATTTCCCTCCCTGTTCAACCTGCAAGTAATCTTTTACCTATTTTATGTTTAAGATTGCACTTGAAAAAGAAAAAAAAGTCCCTTTTTAAAAAATGTTTGAAAACCACTGAAGAGGTCTCTAACCTTCCTTTCAGCTTGCTTCGCTGACGTCATCAAGATACTAATCTCTGAGAACGTTATGTTGAAGGAGTCAGAGCCTGGTCTGCACATGAGCTGGGCTAAGCCTCCTTATAGATCCTCAGGCCCTATTGATACAATGAGCCAAAGGCATTATGTTGCCCTTTTCCCTTTTTAAATGGTGGGTTTGCTTTCTCGATAATTCTAAGGATATTTAAATCCGTGACCTTCTTTCCCAAAAGGACCTATTTGATAAATAGTGTATTGTATTTATTTCTTATTAAGATGAATGGTTTACACAATTTAAAAATTATATAAATAGTACTTGCTCATTATAGAGATTTTTAAAAATCAGAAATTAAGAAAAAAAAATCCATAGTCTCATTATCCAAAGACAAGCCAGTCTTCTGCTGAAGTCTCCCTGATAGCTTTCCACTGCCTTTGGGAGCAAATTTCCTTGCCTGGGTCTGACCCGGCATAGTTATAACCCTTGCCCATTCCCCTTTTGCAGTTAATGTCTTCTCTGACTTCTTTTAGTCCACTGAAAGGGCTCACTTGCTTTTACCACTAGACCTCTGTGTCTCCTGTTACCACCTTCTCCATCTTGCTGGTTCCTCCTTGAGTTGCAGATCTCAGCTGAGATGGCTCTACCTCTGGGAAAACTTTTTTTCCCAACAGGGGCTCTGATAGACACTTGCTCTCAAAATATCTTCTCTTTTCCTGAGCATTTACCACAAGTTGGTATTGTTACTGGTTTATTTACCTATGTCTCCTCTGTAGCTCCATGATAAGAAAAACTAGTTGAATTGTTTTCCCCATTATTACTGCCAGTGCTTAGTCCTCATCTGATACAGTTACTCTGTGTAGATTGGCTCAATGAATCAGTGTTGTTTAACCACTGAATTGTTCAGTATATTTCTTTTGTCTTATTTTCCTTATTATTTTTAAACATAGTTTGTGCCAACTGTTGAAGTGTTGGTTGTGCTCTGGATGTTCTGTTAAACAATTCGTGCAGCATGTGAGAGCCTTCTCTCCTTCTCAATTGTTGTCTCTTCCATGCTAAGGCATTAATATTATTTATGTGCCCCCTTCTCTGTGCCAGACACTGTGCTGGGTGCTTGTCCATACACGAGCTCTGGTGTATCATCTAGGGCAATGCAGAACAGGGAGACTTTATCGTTCTCATCTCTACACTAGAAATTGGAGCCTGTTAGAAGTTAAGTAACTTACCCAAGGACACCCAACTGTCGAGCGTCTATATTGAGATCTGAACTGGGATTCAGATGTTTCTGAATTAAAGGTATCACTTTACCTCTTGTCTTTTTTTCATTCAGGTTGCTATAACAACATACCATCAACTGGGTGGCTTATAACCAATGGAAATTTATTTTTCATAGTTCTGGAGACTAGAACGTCCAAGATCAAGACACTTGCAGATTTGGTGTCTCATGCCGGCTTTCTGGTTTCTAGATAGTTCCTTCTTGCTGTGTCCTCACGTGGTGGAAGGGGCAAGGTGACTCTCTGGAGTTTCTTTTATAAGAACACTAATCCCATTCATGATAGTAGAGCCCTTTTAACATATTTTGGGGAGACATAACATTTAAAATGTAACACCCCTTTGTTTCTTGGCCTGTGAACTCAGGCCAATCTAAAAGGAAGTTTTGTTGGTCTCTATTGAAGTTTTCACTGGGCCGCAAAGTAAAGAACTTTAAAAAAGTAACATCTTCTCCTAATTCAATCTGCTAACCAGAGGGTAAAGTGACATAGTACAAATGCAATCATAGGTAAAAGATTAACCTATTTTAATATGGAAGGTCTTTTGTTGTTGCTGCTTTGGAGGAGTTGACTTAGCCCATCTGGGAATGAGGTACCTTCCTGATATGCCAAGTAAATACTTCCTCTCACTGGCAAGAGGTAGAAATGAAAGAATTCTATTTTAAAGATCAAGTCTTCCCTGTCCTCAAGGAAGTGACAACCAAATTTTTGCTTGACACATTTGGATTCTGTTTTAAATGAGGCACTGAAGGTTTCTAGTAGGCCAAAAAAGAAAACAGGATTAGGGGGTGGTGGATAGTAGAACGGTAGTCTGTGTGTGTGTGTTGGGAGAGGTGGCAGAGAAGCACAAAGAAAGGAAACTAAAGCCTGTCGCTCTGGGAAGAAGGGATTCGAGGTGACTAGGCTCTGCTTAGAAGGTGCCTGGTGAAGTGCCCTGAGAAGAAGCACTGGGTCGAGAATTTATCAATACACTTATACAAATTTAGAAAATAAGCATGAACTCTGCAAGAGCTCCGCCCAATTGACAATCCAATTTTCACACCAGGGTTCTCTAATTACTCTTAGCAATGACTATCTCGCACGAACAACACGTGGGCCCAAGCCACAAGGCCTTTTTCTACCCTCATCTGAGGACATGGAGGAAGGTACGTGTACCTTCCCGCATTGTTACCAAGCTACTATAGATTTGAAGGGGCCCTTTGAAGCGGGATGGAGGTGAGCACTTTCTATGTGTGGAATGGGGCTGAGCACTGGGGAGGTATGTCTCTGTATTAGTCAGGGTTCCCCAGAAAGACAGAGCCAATAGGATATATATATATAGATAGATAGTTATAGATATAGATATAGATATAGATATAGATATCTATATATATCTATATCTATATCTATATCTATAACTATATATATATATATAGAGAGAGAGAGAGATGGGGAGATGGGGATATAAGTAGAGAGGTAGGGAGATAAGTAGGTAGAGAGGTAGGGAGATAAGTAGGTAGAGAGGTAGGGAGATAAGTAGGTAGACAGGTAGGGAGATAAGTAGGTAGAGAGGCAGGGAGATAGGTAGGGAAAGAAATATACATAGATGAGTGTGGATTTATTAGGTGAATTGGCTCATGCAATTATAGAGGCTGAGATATTCCATGACAGGTCATCTGCAAGCTGGAGACCCTGGAATGGTAGCAGATTGGCTCAGTCTAAGTCCAAAGGCCTTAGAACTAGGGAAGCTGATGGTGTAACTCTCAGCCAAGGCCAGAGGCCTGAGAACCCAGTGGGCTGCTGGTGTAAGTCCTGGAGTCCAAAGGCTGGGGAGCCTGAAGTTGTTATCCAGGGACGGAAGAGGAGGACTATATCCCTGGCCAGCAGACAGATCGACACATTTGCCTTTTCTCTGTTTTTGTTCTCTCCAGGCACCCAGTAGATTGGATGGCACCTGCCCACACTGAAAGCTATCTGGGATTGTACGCATTAGTTCCCCACTTACCTGCTGTTTCAACCTGCAGATTTATATCATAGTGACTGGCACAGTGCCTAGAGCTTCATTTAATTTATTGAATGGATTAATAAATTTGTGCATGTATGCATGCATAAAAAGCAAAAAGTTATTCATCTATGGATACCATGATGAAACTGAGAAGCTTAGAATACTGTAGCGTGAAGGGTTATTATCTCTTATCTGAGAAGTACCCTAAATATTAATACAACACTGAGAACCAACATAGTGAACTGCCTCTCAATCCCTAGCAGTAAGGAGGGTGTTCCGTGTAACTGAGCCAAGTCAGTTCTCTTGGTCAGGCAATGCACAGGGAGAGCCTGTCCTAGGTGGCCTCTGCAAGAGTGACAGACTCACTTCTCACTGCTGGGACATTCCATGTACTGCTTCAATCCCCTATTTGAGTTTAAACTTAGGCAACCTTAGACAGTATCTAGCCTGGCCTCCCATTTAAAGAATGAATATATGGGGAGTGAGGTGATGTTACCAGTCTCCTAGCTAGAACCAAAATCCCTTTATCTTGCCTTTTCAGAATCCTTTCTCTATGACTTCTCCTTTCCTCTAAATCAGACTCATATGTTTCAATGCTTTATGGGAACCTAGTAGGAAACATGCATAAGAGAAGCTGTCATATATATGACAATAGGGAGTAGTGGTGAGTATGACAAACTACAGCACATGCCCCATCTAAAGGACAGACCTACATTTCAGCTCTAAGTGTTGCATAAGGGAGGACGTGTGCAGTGTGGACAAACCTGTTCCTTTTAGAAAAGTCTAAAATCTGAATATTTATGTGAAAAATTTCAACTTTTACATTTTGGCAGCAAAGTTTTAAAAAACTTTAAAATACCATATGGGCAGAATAGAACATGTATTCAAGACCTGCCAATGGGCTTTCACTGGTGACTTCTGTTCTATACCTTCCACTGAACTTGACCACAGAGCAAGGATATACAGGTATAAGTGCTGTGTCAAGCCATCAGATAGTAGTGACCCTCTCTTTACCAATGTCTGAAGGTAACCTTCTTTTAAAACATATATATTTGTGTGAATTTAAAGTTCTCACTCTTGTGCTACTGTCAGTCTCTTTGCACTTTGTTGAGTTGTATTTAGGGTATGTAGGCTACTCTTAAATTTAAGGTATTTAGGGTATTCCTCAGAAAAAGATGCAGTCACATTTATGTCCCTTAGCAAGCTGCAGAGTTAGTGGTCAGGAACACAATCTCTGGAAACTTTCTGCCTGGGTATGTGAACTTAGGCAAATTACTCAATCTCTCCATGCCTTTGTTTCTTTATGTGTGAAACGAAGTTAATAACAGTAGTGCCTACTTTGTAGTGTTGTCACAAGGAGAAGCTAAGCTATACATAAATTGCATTAGAATAGTGCCAGGTAGTACCTAGGAAGCACACAGTGATTTTTGCTGTTACTTGGATTAGTTTGTTAGTATTGCTAGTGAATTGTTCTTTTCCTTGAATCTATCCACGGATTGTGTCCTTCATGTGGATAATAGCTGAACAGATGTATGTACTGCTTTTTACAACATGTAGGCAGATAGGGGCTGAGAATAGTTAAACATAATCCCCTGGTCTTTTCATTTGGATATCCTCTTTTGGGGATCAGGAAGCCATCAGGCTGTGGAGACCTTGGCAAAATAGAAGGAATAGAATTGGGGTGGGGTTGAGAACCTGCTGAGGTGGCTTCTGAAGTTCTGAGATAGGGCTCAGGATGGTTTTAAACTGGGATCTCTTTTAAGCTAGACTACTTCTGACCTTATCACTAATATGCCATTAAAACCAGCAACCTCTGTTGCTCTGATTGGCTATTGGGCTATTCAATGTTCTTAGAATTTCTACCAAGTTTTAATATCCTTGGTGTCACTTTCTAATACTTCAGCTTTTTATTAACTTAAACTACATTATTGAATTTAGTAATTATCTTGGTCATTATCTTGCAATACACATATGTCATCTTAAAGCATATGTTTTCTAGCTGATGGAACAGGCTGGAACCTCTCATGCGGGTGGAAAAACAAACCCTTTCTATATAGACAGGGAGGTGTCCAGCAACAAATCATGTAGTTTCTTGTTTGTTTCTCAGCAATGCAAATTGCAGGCGTATGATAGCTGTCATGCAACATAATGGTGGGAGGACAAGTTCAGGATCTGATTTCATAAACATTTCAAAGAGTTGTACTGTGTGTCTCCTGACCTGCATCATTCCTTTAACTTGAGGCCACCTTGCCATGTGCAGAAACCCTCTCAGGAAATGAGATGAGTACATCTCTGCAGGTGGCAGGCAGGTGTAATAGGAAAGGAATGTGGAGACTTAACGTTGAGTTTCTGTGATGTGGAAATCACTGCAGTTTCTCTTTGAGCTGTCGGAGAGGCAATGGTGGATTTGTAATGAGAGAGCTCCTCCTCTTTAAGAAGGGTTCTCTTTCATTATTCTTTTTTCTTGTTCTTCTTTTCCTTTTTAGGGAGAGAACTCTATAGAGGGTGGTGTCAGAAATTTGCTGGGGCCTGTTCTCCAGACCCGCCCACCTCCCAGACAGACATTTATGAGACAGAAAGAAGATGATCTAGAGAGTCTAGTTGATGTACAAATGATGGAAGGGATGTGATCATTTCCTGGAGTAGAGGAAATCTTGATAGGAGGACTGTGACAGATACCCACAGCTGATCTCCACTGCCTGTTCTTAGAAACTCATTTAGTGGTGGGCTGTGCAAGATAAGGCTGTCCATGCTGACCCTTTCGGGTTTACTTCCAATGTCATCTATGTCTTATCACTCTTGTTTCTTGGTCAGGCCTTTCTCTTGCCATAAAAGGCTTAGGGGGACCTAAACTCCATTTATCTACAATTCTGCTTATTAGCATCATGAGTTTATTGCCCTCTTATGCCTGGAGTTAAATGGGTTTTTTGAACTCTCTTCTAAAAGTCAAGTCATCCTTCTGAATCTCATCTCTGATTAGTAGAACATAAACTTTATTTCTCTATTTTGATTTTCTTTTTCTTGAACCATGACTTCCCCCTTTTGATTGGAACAGAAATGACTTGATTATATTCTTTCCCCCTCCAGAAATTGTATCAAAATGAGAGACATCGTGGGCTGTTTCTTGAGCTGTTCCTTGCATAATGTCTTCTTGATAGGCCAATTACAGTGAACAAAACATTTTAGATGACATCTAACTGGAAACTTGTAAACTACATTGTCACTTTGATTTCTGTTCTATCACTTACTATTGTATTTTTCCCTATTTTAGCTATAATCTTCCATGTGGTTTTTAATTCAGCCCAGGTTCTGAAACTTAAAAATGTGTTTGTGTGGCCAATATGTTACACCAGAATGGTCTCTTTTTATTCACAGTAAATGTGGGGCTTGGTTTATATGTGTTTGTACCAATTCTTGTTCCTAAAACTCAAAGCCCTTTGCATTTTTGTGGATATTACTAAAGAAGTTATTCATACACTGGTATTGCCATGATTAATACACACTCCATTTTGTGGCTTATTGCATCTCTGACTGTAGATGAAAAATTCTTGGTAGTTATGCATTCTATTTGAAGTTGTGATAAGAACTGACTTTTATGTTTACTCCTGATAAAGGGATTTTTTAAGATGTCTACTTACTGATGCAGCATTGGAAATCCTTTATAAGCTGAAAGGAAAATAACATCCCCTTGGCATCTTGGCTCCCATGTCTGGAAAGTCTCTACCTAAGGCCTTCAAGCAGCAAGTGTGGCAACATTGCCATCCAATAGAACTTTCTGCAATCCTGGAAATGTTCTATTCATAGCTAGTAGCCACATGTGGCTATTAAAATTTGGCTAGTGTGCCTGAAAAGTTTTTATTTCATTTTATTTCATTAATTTGAATTTAAATACTCACATGTATCTAATAGCTATCTTATTGGACTAGGTATAATCAGGAACAGGAAAAAGTTGATTATTGAGGCTTCTATTAAGTTTGTAAACTTTTCCCTTTTTCTCTCTTGTGTTTAACTTTGCCCTGAAAAATTAGTAATAGTTATAAAATTTTTGAGTCCTTATTATGTGCTATCTGTGCTACATGTTTTAATATGCACTATTTCATGTAATCTTCATTTCAGACTACAAGGGAGCTACTACTTCATTGTTGTTAAAATGGAGACAAAGAGAAAGGAAGTAACTTGCCCAAGGTTACACAGGGAGTTGGAGTTACAGCCTGAGGCCAAGAGACCCCATATGGGTGCTTTTATCTCTCTACCAGTGCCTCAGTCTGTTTGGGCTGGCATCACAAATTACCACCAGCTAGGTCATTTATAAACAATAGGAATTTATTCTCATAGTTCTGGAGCCCGGGAGGTCCAAGATCAAGGCGCCAGCAGGTTCAGTGTGTGGTGAAGGTTTGCATTTTCCTTTCAAGATGGCGCCTTGTTGTGTCCTCACCTGTTGGAAGGGACAAACAGACTCCCTCAAGCCTCTTTTATAAGGGCACCAATCCCATTACATGAGGGTTAGGATGTCCTTTTTGGGGGAGTGGCGTATGCAATTCAACCCACAATAGGAGCCTGTTTTTTTCTGTTAGGAATGGAACTTTCTTGCATTCTGAGAATGCAGAAATCTTGGGTAATTTTACATTGAGATTTTCTGGAAGAAGAGTAGTATAATGGAAAGAGTACCACATTGGAAATCAGGAGGGCTGGATTTGAATCATGAGGGTGTTTTAGTCCCTCCATTCCTTGGTTTTCCCATCTGTGAAATGGGGATAACAACGGCAGTAGACTGGTCTTGCCTCTTTTTCTGGCAGGCCTTGCTAAGTGAGTGATGAATGGAGGCTGCGGCCAGCACAAAGCCATTTCCTCCACAGGCTGAGCCTGCCAGTAATGCCTATGGCTCTTTCTCCCATATCTCTTGTCCCCACAGCAGGTCTCAGGGCACAGCCCTTCTTGAAAGTTCAGGAGAAGATGGGAAGGTGGTGGCAGAATTCAGCATGACATCGTATACCCATTGTTTTTAAGACTCCCAAGGATATGCTGGTATTTTATGATGGGTACTACCGGTAGGAAGGAAGTGGCAGGGGTGGTGGCACCCCCATGTAGCATGATGCTGGAGAGGAGGCTGAGCAGCTGAATGCCCCTTTCTGGGTCCAGCTCTGCAGTCACCAGCTATGTGGACGAGGTGGACTCACCTCTTCTCGGAGTCCCAATCGTTTCCTCTGTTGCCAAAGCAGAATTAGATTCTGTGTTCCCTTGGCTCTTTTCTGCCCTTCCTAACTTTCTCTTGAGGGATGCAGAATTAAGCCAAAGACCAGTGAGGCCTTTAAAAGGTTTTGCTTATTTGTTTAGCCCACACTCATTTTCACCTTTCTCAGACTTAGGTTTGCTTTGGAAGCATGGAAGTAAAGTTTAACCTCAGATGAGCAGCTTAACACGGGTACCTCCTCAGAAGTTAGGGAGTTAGATGTGGATCAAAGCTGCTCACCTTCCCAGTGTCCACAGGCTTGAAAGCTCAAATACACCCTACCACTGATATCGAGAAAGTCTGGCAGTAATTCTTCTAAATATCTCTTACTCCGTGGTCTTGCAATGAGTGGCAGTGTGTGTCCTTCCTTCTGTCCTCTGTGCCGTAGTCTTCCAGTAGGGCTCCTGGGCTTATTGACTCAGGTCTTGTGCTGTTCTTTTTCCTGTGTGAGGTTTATCAAATAGGAAAACACAGGAGGTAATCAGGCAAGTAAAGATGAAATTAGGACTGCATCCATTCTTGTCTCCAGATTAGCTGTGTCCCAAATTATACACAGAGATGGAATCCTGACTTTTATAAAATTTATCTGGTATTAGGAAGACAGAAACAAAAGAAGATGCCACCATTGTAAACAATAGCTAGCTATCATGCTGTGAGCAGACTTGCTCAGGTTGTTGGAAGGTGATTACTTGCTTCTATTATTATAAGTTGGCTTTTCAAGAAACTGCTTTGTTTAGTAGTATGCAGTGATTTGAGGAATGTGTTTTGTAAGTGATTCTCTTTTAAGTGGACATCTCAACTCATGATGCAGCTGTTCTTCTAAATAGTTTGCTATTGTCAATAGTGCTGCAGTGAACATATGCATACATGCATCTCTGTAATAGAATGATTTATGTTCCTTTGGGTATATACACCCAGTAATGGGATTGCTGGGTCAAATGGTATTTCTGGTTCTAGATCTCAGAGGAATTGCTACACTGTCTTCCACAATGGTTGAACTCATAAATGGGAGCTGAGTAGTGAGAACACACAGACACAGGGAGGGGAACAACACACACTGGGGCCTGTTGGCAGTTGGGGTGGAGGGAGGGAGAGCATTAGGAAAAACAGCTAATGCATGCTGGGCTCAATACCTAGGTGGTGCATTGATAGGTGCAGCAAACCACCATGGCACCCATTTACCTGTGTAACAAACCTGCATATCCTGCACATGTACCCCAGAACTTCAAAATTACAATTAAAAAAATTGCTTATGGTATATACTAGCTTTGCTCCTTCTTAGAATTCTGAAGGGAAAATTTATCTTCCAATTATGAATATGCCAATTTTCTAAAAATGTACAATAACTTCACAGAGGAGCTTAATGAGTGTTTAATATTCAGCACTGGATTAGATTACATTTCCATGGGAATAACAGAAAAATCCCCAAATAGCAGAGGGTTAAAGAAGATAGAAGTGAATTTCTTTCATACATTTAAGAAGCTAGAGGCAGTCGACCCAGGGATGGCATGGTCTATGGCATAAGAGAACAAGATTTCTTCTATCTTACTTATCTTGTCACATGTGTTTTTCTTTCCCATATATGTCATGGTCTAGGATGGCGGCTTACCTCCAGCCTTTACATCTACATTCTAACCAGCAGTAAAGAGCAAGGAGTGGCAAAGGGTACTCTCCCGTCCTCTAAGTGAACTTCCTAAAAGTTAAGTGGCCGGGTGCGGTGGCTCACGCCTATAATCTCAGCACTTTGGGGGGCTGAGGCAGACGGATCACGAGGTCAGGGGTTCGAGATCAGCCTGGCCAATATGGTGACACCCCGTCGCTACTACAAATACAAAAGTTAGCCGGGCGTGGTGGTGTGCACCTGTAATCCTAGCTACTCGGGAGGCTGAGGCAGAAGAATCGCTTGAACCCAGGAGGTGGAGGTTGCAGTGAGCCAAGAGCATGCCACTGCACTCCAGCCTGGGCAACAGAGCAAGACTCCATCTCTTCAATTATATGCTCATTCATATCATTATCTGATGACCTTCTTTTTTCTCCACTAGACTATAAGTTTCTTGAATGTAGAGATTATGCCTGTGTTTTCACTGCCAAACCTACTGTGGCTACCAGTGCTCAGCATGTGATGAACACTTAATAATATATGTAAAAAGAATGAATGAATGTAAAAAGAATGAATGAATGTATCAGTAGGCTGCTATTAGCTCCATAGTAACTTCAGTCTCCATATTAATGACAATAATTTTTCTTTTACTAATTAGTTTGTTTACAGGTTGTCTTTGTTCATTTTCTGCTGCCATGACAGAATACCACAGACTGAGTAATTTATAAATAATAGAACTTTATTTGGCTCACAGTTCTGGATGCTGGGAAGTCCAAGAGCACAGTGCTGGCATCTGGGTCATCTCATGGTGGAAGATGGAAGGACAAATCAGCACACCAGACAGAGAAAGAAAATCAGGTTGATTCTTTTATCAGGAGCCCAATCCTGAGACAGTTAACCCACCTGAGTGATAAAGACATCAATCCATTCAGGAGGGCAGAGTTGATAATGGAAACAGGAGAATCCTTCTGTTTCTACCTGTACAAACGGCTTTACACTCCATGTGTGAGTTTTCTCATTTAGAGATGTGGATAGTAGGGGAACCTGTCTTTGAGATACGTATTGGTTTGGATAGGCCATGCTGCACTAACAAATCTTCCCAAAATACAGGTGCTCAATACCACAAAAGTTTATTTCTCATCAACACAAAATCTGCTGTGAGCCAGGTGACTCCCCAGGGCAACTACTACCCATTCACTGACTTACCAGTGATCTAGGTCACCTCAAACTTGTGACATGCATTAAAGCCACTTTACTGCAGTGCTTTAAGGAAAGCAAGAGAGAGCTTGGGAGAAGGGGGATCATTATTCGCCCCCCATCTCTTAAGTGCTTCAGATAGCAAGGGACAGATGTCACAGCCACTCACAGCCCACTGGTCAGAACTAGTCACATGGCCTTACCTGATGGCAAGAGGGCAAGACCATGTGCGAGAGCACACACGAGTAGGAAATGAATCAGCCATGGCGTAACTGTCACAATTCAATATTTGACGATGATGATGACATTCTGAGAGATGTTTCCTTGAGAGCAGAAGTTTTATTTCTCCTTATCCCTCACCCCTTCCTCCCTCTCCACAAACAAACAGGTAGTAATCAGCACATGATTAATACCCTCTAAATGTCTGCTGAATAATAGAACACAAGGGGGAAAAAACAGCCGCATTCAATAAATGATAGCTTCAATGATGAGGAGGATGATGGCATTCCAATGAAGGAGCAATAAATTGCAGCTAAATACACCAGGAAGTTTTTGTGGTGATATTGAATGTATTTGAGCTGGCTATGTAGGTCAAATAGGATTTCAAGGGGCATGTGGCGAATCAAAAAAGAGGACTAATATGAACGATGTTCCCAAAGCATCAAGTGTCATGTGTGAAGGGAGGTGATTGCATGTGGCCAGGCCAGGAGAAAGGGATAGAGGCAGACATGAGCATTCTCATGAGGGGAGCATCTCAAGTATTAATCTGCTTTAAAAAAAGGGTTGACTTCAACTAGACTGATGGTGCAGCCCATTTATCACCAGGTTCCTGTCCCTATCCGGCTCTCCCTTTTTGCTCCTTCTACTTTCAATGTGCCAGATCCCTAAGAAAGGAAGGAGCTCACATTTTTGACAGACTCTGATATTTAGTGAACAAAGAAAGCCTTTCCCAGTCTCCTGACCTACCCTATAATTTGTATATACTTTGTGATAAAAATATGGAAAATGGGCTTTGAAACAAAAATATCACCTTTGTATTTTTTTTCCTGACACTTTCATCTAATCTCCCTGTTACTCTCCAGTAGCTGTCAGGGTTGGGTTAGCTCAATGTGGGCCTCCATCTCTCTCATCTATTTAAGAAAGAGAGGTTGGAGAGGAGACCTTTGATTTGTCTTTTCATCTGCTGTTTTTCACGTTTTCAGAGAGTGAAAACATGTCATTGGCCTTTATTCCCCTTTTCTGAGTAAAATATCCTTTCTATTTCTATGGAAACCCTCTGGAAGTGCTACCATTATTTTGGTAGAAGCCACTGATTCTTTATGCTGTAGGAATTGTTTCTCCCTGCTGTAAAAGTGAGGTATTTTTCACTGGATAGGGCCAGATTCTCTTAAAGTGTGTTCTATATTTCTTCTAAATGTATGTTTTTCATGATATCCCAAGAAGGGGGCAAAGATGCTAAATTTATCGTGGAACTTAAGGTGAAGGATGGTTTTCAAGACATCCCAGCTTAGAAGGTGAGGCTCCAAGTTGAGTTTGAGGGAACCTGGGGAAATAATAGCATTCCTAGGTTGAATGTGGTAGCTAACAATATCACACGTTTCTGAGAGTGATTAGGAGCTAAAAATGAAGGCTCTTGTGGAGTGGAATGGTACATTAATCAAGGAAATTGGAATCCTCATGCTTTCTTTATGCATACTGGAATAAATTAAGGTAAAAACTAATTCATCATGGCCATTCCACGATGCAGGCACCTTGCCTGGAAAATGAAAATTGAGGGAATGGAATTGCATTGGGGGGAAGGCACGTTACACTCGACCCAACTGAATTAATGAGTGCTTGGCAGGGGTCTGGCAGGCAAGTGAGTTATCAGCTTGTTGGTATCACTCTAGTAGTCTGGGAATTTAAGATAATGGGAAAAGAGAGGGAGGACTGGGGCATAACAGGCTAAGAGAAAGCAGACTATCAGATGCCCATGGGAGCAGAGAGCTTAGATGTCATTAAAAAAATGACCTGGCTAGCAACAAAGATTGATGTGAAGAGAAGAAAGAAAAGGGAAGGACCTTTTGAAAGTGCTTTTGGCTTGATCAGGAGGTAATTTATTTACTGTTTAACATGGCAAGAAATGCAAAATGAGATTCCTGGGTTGGAAAGGGGGTTTCATATTTGGCCATCAGTCAGGGGCTTAAAATAGAGTCTCCTGAACCTGTAGGCCAAACAGGTATGGCAGTTTAGCAGTCTGTGCCTCAGGATTAGCCTACAGCAGTGTTGGAGGATGGCAAATATCTGGTGATTGTCATGGCACATGGATTTAGAGATACAATGTAGAAGATGTGAAACCAAGTCAAAATATAATGCCAAAAATGTAAGGAGGAAGGTCTCTGGGCCAGACAGTTTTCATCAAAGTAATAGTTTCCATTTATTGAGATTAAACCATGAGTATATCATTAGATTTAATCCTTACAACAATTTAGAAGTTAGATCAAAGTATTGTGTCCACTTTACAGATGGATGGACTGAGGTTCAGAGACGTTAAGTGATGTGAAGAGAGCACCCAGCTAAGATAAGGTGGCTTAAGATTTGCGATACCTAATGCCAGCTAGGTATTAGGTATCTCAAATCTTAAGCCCCATCATGCAGAGTTCAAACTCTGAACTGCTGCCTTTCCTAAGAGACACATAAAAGACAGAATATGCTCATGAAGATCAAGGTAGGCATGTATCCTGACTTAGGCAGCAGTTAAAGGGCAAAAATACATGTTGGAAATCAAGATGGTTCCTGTGCACTTTTCTTGACACCATTACCTCAGATCTCTGTACTGATCTTTTTTTGTTTTGTTTACTGTTCTTTTCCCTTGCTTTATTTGTACCCACCATTTAGACTGTGGTTTTGATCTGCCTTCTCATTCTGTGCTGTTCTTTGTTTATATCTAAGCAGTCAACATATAATGGTGGTTAAAGGTGTGGTTTCTGCTGCTGGGTTGCCTGGGTTCAAATCCTAACTTGGCTACTTGGCTAGCTAAGCCAGTGGCTTTTTGTGATTCAGTTTCTTCATCTTTTTTAGTTACCCATGGCTATATAACAAACCGCCCCACAACTGAGAGGCTTAAAAAAATTACAATCACTTGGCCAGGCACGGTAGCTCACACCTGTAATCCCAGCATTTTGGGAGGCCAAGGCAGGCAGATCATGAGGTCAGGAGATCGAGACCATCCTGGCTAACACAGTGAAACCCCATCTCTACTAAAAATACAAAAAAGAAAAAAAAGTTAGCCGGGTGTGGTGGAGGGCGCCTGTGATCCCAGCTACTCAGGAGACTGAGGCAGGAGAATCACTTGAACCTGGGAGGTGGAGGTTGCAGTGAGCTGAGACTGCACCACTGCATTCCTGCCTGGGTGACAGAGCAAAACTCCATCTCAAAAAAAAAAACCACCACTTAGTTGTTCACAATTCTGCAAGTTGACCAGGGCTTGGGATGGGTGGCTTGGCATGGGAGGCTCATCTCTGCCCCCATGTGCTGTTGGCAGTGGAGGTGATCTGGGGGTGGAAAAGAGGAGTGGGGAGAGCTTGACTAGAGCTGGAGGATGCAAGATGGCTTTGCTCACATGCCTGGGGCTTCGGCTGGCATAGATGGAACTGCTAGGGCCTCGCTGACCCTCTCTGTCTCTCCATATGTTCTTTAATCATTCAATAATCTAGCCCAAGCTTCTTGACATGAAGGCAGGATCCCAGGAGGCCAAATGCAGAACCTGCCACGTCTCTTAAGGTATAGGCCCAGAAATATTAATATATGTCACATAACATCCCTTCTGCTCCATTTTATTGATCAAAGAGAGTCATGAGTCCAGCCTAGGCTTAAGGGCTGGAGAAATAGACTACACCTCTTGGTGGGAAAGATGGCATGTGTGTTAAAGATGAATGGAATTGTGGGAGGCCATTTTTGCAGATAATCTACAGGGAGGATAAATGATCTTTCCTAACTGGATTATTGATACAGGTAGTTCACATTACTGACTTACTTAATTCTGACCACAACTTTAAGAGTTATCAAGAAAAAAGTATAAGGATTTATAGACTGTGGGGTTCTATTTTAAGATGAAACATGCACCAGAGCAGATTTGAAGCAGGGCGTGAATTTACTGGCAGTAACCCTCATTATAAGCAAGTGGATGTGCTAAAGTGAGAAGTTAAAACATCGATCAGTTAGGTGATGTTTTGTTTCCTTCAAAGACAGGGATGTGCTAAGTTTTTCCAAACAGCTCATTCTCTCATAATTATCTACATTATAATTCAATTTCCATGAGGGTTTAACAAAATTGTTATTACAGAAATGAATTTGTTATTTGCAATAAAGTCTACTTGCTTGACAATCCAGAAATTTATAAAGGTTTTTCTTGTAAGTGGTTATTATAGGCAATATGCAATATTCCTGTCCAGTGCTTTTGACAACACCCATGTCACAGCATGTTACACATCATAAATACATGGAACCTTTTAGTGCCAGTGCTCCCATAACCTTGTTTACTGAAATTTATCGTGACTTCTGAAAAGGATCCCATGAGTGATGGCATATACAAGGTCATCCAGGATGGGATCACATAGGAGCCTTAGTAAATCCAGCAAGCTAAAAATCTTCAATCTCATGCTGTGTTATAGATATCAACAACTCATTTTCCCTTTTCATGTGAAATCCTGCAACGCTCCTTTTTTTGAAGCTTTCCATGTCCCACTCTTCACACACAGAGTGAAGCACTCAGTCTTCTAGGCCACTTCTGCGGGAGGACCATTATATGCCCATCTGTCTTAACTGACTTCAGGCATACTCAGTTGAGACCCCTAATGCTTTGCCCATAAACAGGCAGTGAATGAAATTTAGCCAGGTGGGAAGGTAAAACACAGAGGAAGAATGAGTGAATAATACCAGGGGGTTTGCCAACACAGAAACATCAGATACCTTGCTTAGGAGGCAGTTATGACTTCCTCAACCTTCTGCAGGAATAAATGGAAGAATCATTTAAGGGCCATGAGAAATATTGACTATCACTGTGCTTTCTGGGTGACCTAGAGGAAATTTAGATTGTGCCCAATTTTCATCTTTAAACACCACTGTCTTGGTAAGATTAGGCTCTACCTCTACAATTCCATTGTTACTGTACTTAAAGTACTCTATTGTGTTTGCTTGCCTCCTCTATTTATTTTTTTGTTTTTGTTTTTCTCAGTGGCAGGGTCTCTCTCTGTTGCCCAACCTGGAGTGCGGCAGCACAGTCATAGCTCACTGCAGCCTCAAACTCCTGGGGTCAAGTGATCCTCTCACTTCAGCCTCCTGAATTACTAGGACTACAGGCATGTGTTACCACGCCCTAATATTTTGTTGTTTTTATTTTTTGTAGAGACAAAGTCTCGCTGTGTTACCCAGGCTGATCTCAAACTTCTGGCCTCAAGCCATCCTCCTGCCTCAGCCTCCCAAAGCACTGTGATTACAGGTGTAAGCCATTATACCTGGCTACCCCCTCTATTTGGATATAAGTTAGGTTACAATAACAGAGACCCCAAAATATAGTGGCTTAAATAAGATGGAAGTTTTGTTTCTCCCTCATAGAACAGTCCAAGGATGAATAGTCCAGAGTAGTTGTGCCATCCTAAATGTGTGGCTTCCATCTCTGGGCACAAGAAAATGGCTAGAGTTACTGTCATATCCCAGCCACTGGGAAGGGAGGAAAGGATAATGGGGGGAGTGCAAGCAGCTTCCTTCACAAGATCATGATCTAGAAGTTGCAGGTATCATCTCTGCTCACATCCTATTGGCCAGATTTGGTCACATATTTATACCTGATTAAAAGGGAGGTTGGAAACACTAGACCTCAGCAAGGCAGCCGTGTTCTTCACTAATACTTGAGTTGGTGGTGGAGATTCTATTAAAGAGAAAAATGGGAAACAGTTATTGCAGGGTGATTAGCAATTTATACTCCTCATTACACTGTAAACTCCCTGAGGGTCAATACTTTTAATTATTTGGCACAAAGCAGGTACTCATGAAATGCCTGTTTAATTCAATTAAATGTAATTGTACAGAATTTTCCTGAATGTATATTTATGGTCATGTGTCTCTCTTATAAACTCCATGAAAACAAGGAATGCTTGTTTGAATCAACTCACCAAGATGTCATATAGCAGTTTTACACAAGGTAGACATTCGTTCATAGACAACAGGTACTTATGAAGCACCTACTGTGTGCCATATACTTTGCTAGGCTCTGGGGATTTAGCAGAGAATGGCAGTTACATAATCCTTCCCCTCCATAATCTTCATCTAGTGAGGATGGCTGACATCCTGCAAAAATAATTCTAAATAACTAAGTAAATAATCTTAAGAGTACAGAGTCTCACAAAGGAAAAGTCCAGGATGCTATGGGGTTATACGATATGGAACTCAACTCGGTCTACAGAGTTAGGAAACCCTCCCTGAGGAAGTACGTGTTGAGGTTAAGTCAGTCAAGAGGTAATTATTGAGCATCTTCTATACCCTGGGTACTTTTCTAGGAATTCAGGATAGAAAAGGAAAAAGGAAAGAGTAGAAAATGCCTAGAAGAGAGTAGGGAAGGACATCTCAGACAGAGGAAATGCCATGTGCGTTGCCCTGGTGAGAACTGGGAGAGAGCCAGGAATATTCCAGGAATTGAAGGAAGTCAACATAGCTAGAGCCAAGAGAGGGAAGGAGGAGTGGAAGAATGGAACAGGGCTGGAGAGGGGGGCAAGATTCACATCACGCAGGGCTTTGTAGTTTGCATTAAAGATTTGGATCTTAATTCTACAAACATTAGGAGTGGTTAGAGAATATAAGCCAAAGAATGGCATTCATTCACTCATTTTCATTTAACAGATATTTTGGGGACCTTTATGTCAAAGATTGATCAGGTAGTGGGTATAGAGCAGCAAATACAACATAAGTTTCTGAGATTAACTGCTTTCTGGTATCAGTTTTCCCCTACTTCTGCAATAATAAAACCCCTGCTTTTTGTCTGGGCCTGTGCAGAAATATAAGCCACATTTCCCAGCCTCCCTTGCAGAAGGCATGACCATGTGACTAGGTTAAGCTAATAAGATGTAAGCAGAATAATATTTAAAGGACAGAGGGCCTTGCCTCTTTTTACCTAGTCTTCCTTCCTCCTGGTTGGAAAAGAGATGCCATGACTGGGCCTGGAGATAAAAGCCTTGTAGGAAAGAGAATAAAAAAGAGAGAGAGAGCCTGAGCCCTTTAGAGATCTTGGAGCCACCTTACCAGCCCTGGACTGCTTACCTCTGGATGAAAGAAAGAAAGAAGTTTTAATCTTAAGTCACTGTTAGTTTAGATTTTCCATGACCAGCAGAGGAAGCTCATCTTAACTGGTATAACAGGTCAGGTTCCAGTTCTCAAAAAATTTATGTTCTATTTGGGAGAAACAGGTAATAAACAATGGAAGGGAAAGATCACTTGGAGATCAGCATTCAGAAGAATATAATGCTGGATGGTTCCTTCAGATTTATGGTCAAGGAGATGTCTTTGAAGAAGTGACAATTCAGCTGCTGCATGTGTGAAAGATTGCTGGCAGAGGTATAGCAAATGGGTTATAAGAGGGGGCATTCTCCTCCTATTAGACAGGGAAAAGGGATAGAAGGTAACAGTCTGATTTATGTTGGTTTTCTTTCTTTTTTTTCTTTTTTTTTTTTTTTGAGATGGAGTGTTGCTCTGTCACCGAGGCTGGAGTGCAGTGGTGCGATCTTGGCTCACTGCAACCTCCACCTCCCGGGTTCAAGCAATTCTCCTGCCTCAGCCTCCTAAGCAGCTGGGACTACAGGCGCCTGTCACCATGCCCAGATAATTTTTGTATTTTTAGTAGAGACAGGGTTTCATCATGTTGGCCAGGCTGGTCTCGAGCTCCTGACCTTGAGTGATCCACTCGCCTCAGCCTCCCAAACTGCTGGAATTACAAGTGTGAGCCACTATGCCTGGACTTACATTGGTTTTCTAAGATCAGTCCCTACATACTCTCATTCAACTGCCCAAAACCTGTACCATAAAAATACCAGAGGAGAAATCTCAAATAGAAGTCCAAGGGGACATCAACTTATTCAGCTTGCACCACCACACTCACAACAGTTACCAAAGTGTTCTTCTACCTCCAGCCAAAGGGACAGACTGCCCAGAACCTGAACCAGTGACCAGAGGTGAACACATTTGTGTTTCATTTGATGACAGACTTTGTGGTTGATCCCACCAACCTCCATCTGCAAATCACACATTTTAGACCAGCACAGTGGCATCACCCCATGTTAAAGCTGATTAACCCTTTGGAAAGTATCTAGTAGATATTTAGAAAGGAAAAGTATCCTCCTTTCTGCAGAGCATCTTCTATACCCTGGGTACTTTTCTAGGAATTCAGGATAGAAAAGGAAAAAGGAAAGAGTAGAAAATGCCTAGAAGAGAGTAGGGAAGGACATCTCAGACAGAGGAAATGCCATGTGCATTGCCCTGGTGAGAACCGGGAGAGAGCCAGGAATATTCCAGGAATTGAAGGAAGTCAACATAGCTAGAGCCAACAGAGGGAAGGAGGAGTGGAAGAATGGAACAGGGTTGGAGAGGGGGGCTGGGTCCTCCTCCTGCAGAGAAGCGGAACTTCACCCACCAGTGAGGACACTGTTTCCTTAGCACTCTGAAATTAGGACATTTGTTATTGGACTACAGGTCGTGTTCAGAGCAGTTGTTATATATGGTTTTTCTCTCCTGACTTTGCTCTGTCCTTTCCCCAGCATCACTTTGATTCAGTAGGGCTGACAGGCTGACAAAGATGCTCTTTTGAATGATTGGGGAAAAGATGTGGCATCAGCAATCTTGTCCTGTGGACAGAGCATAACCAGATACTTTACTGATCTCTTCTCCAAGCAAGCAGGAATTATAAGAAAGGCTTCTATAACCAGGGTTTGGAGGGGGCATTTGGATACCTTTTATGGCTATGGTACCTATTCATTACCTCTAACTTATATTGTTGGCATGAAAAAACCACCACACTTCTCCCTTATCAAGTTTGCTTCTTTCTTTGTTTTGAGACAGGATCTCACTCTGTCACCCAGGCTGGAGTATAGTGGTGCGATCTTGGCTCACTGCAACCTCTGCCTCCTGGGTTCAAGGGATCCTCCCACCTCAGTCTCCCAAGTAGCTGGGCCTGCAGGCATGTACCACCATGCCAGGCAATTTTTTTGTTGTTGTTGTTGAGACAGGGTTTCACCATGTTGCCCAGGCTGGTCTTGAACTCCTGGACTCAAGCAATATGCCTGCCTCAGCCTCCCAAAGTGCTGGGATTACAGGCATGAGCCACCGTGACCCACCAGGTTTGCTTCTTCCTATCAAGGTTAACATCGTTACCTAATATTTACCAGGGAGGTATGAAGAGGTTCTGAGATGATGATGGTAAGAACCCCGGAACTTGATGGAAGAGTGGTTCATGTCCTGAGTAAGGCATTTCATGATCTACAGGTGAGCGCACTGGCTAGGAATCTGAAGACTCTTGTTTTATTAAAAGTTGTAGGCCAGCCCACTCTCAGTACTCAGGAACTCTGTGAGGGTAGAATATCATAACGTTCACACTCACTGAGCTATTAGGAAGGCCAGAGCTATCAGTAATTCTGAACATGGAAGCTGATTAATCATTGCATTGACTCATTCACTAGGCTTCTGAACATCTGGAAGAAAACATAAAATAGTGATTAAGAGTGTGGATTGTGGAGGCAGGGAAGCATGGGTTCAAGGACCTGTTCCGCCACTTTTAGCTGTGAGACCTTGAGAAGGTAAGTCTCTTCACTTCTCTGAGGCTCAGTTTCTTCATATGTCAAGGAAGAATGAGGAAAATATTACCTTCCTCTGAGGGAAATGTGACAGTGATGTAAGTCATGCATGCAGAGCACTTAGCACAACACCTGGCACCTGGTAAACACTCAGTAAAAAATGGCTTTAAAATGTGTTATCAATAATGATTCACCAACTGAGTGAACATTTTAAATACACTGTATATTGATATTGTCTCTTGGCTTGATTCATTATTGGACTGGCTAGTAGTGTCACAGCCATTGATGAAACCTTGAGACCACACACTTTAAGATTTCTCATCTCTGTTTTTAAGTATGATTTTCTAAAAATCCAATTCTAAAGGGCCAAGCTTAGAAACTTGCCCAATCCCATGGCTTGGCAGCCTCAGAGAAGAGGCAATCGGACAGACAGTTCTGTACCAACAACAAAACTAGGAGAGAATGCAGCTTAGGAAAGAAGCAAAAAAAAAACAGCACTAACTGGAAGGTACGAAGTGTGAAAGAAGTGCTCGAAGGATCCTCAAAAGAAGGAAATTTAGAAAATGGAAATTTCTTGGTAGGTTGTAGAAACTTATGTGGTAGACAACATTGCATTCTCCCTTCGCACAGAGAGAAAGAGAGGTTGTGTGTGTGTGTGTGTGTGTGTGTGTGTGTGTGTGTGTGTGTGTGTCTGTGTGTGTGTGTGTCATTTTCCTTTTTCTTTTTTTTTTGAGACAGAGTCTGGCTCTGTTGCCCAGGCTGGAGTGCAGTGGCGTGAGCTTGGCTGACTGCAACCTCCACCTCCTGCGTTCAAGTGATTCTTCTGCCTCAGCCTCCTGAGTAGCTGGGACTACAAGCACCCACCACCACACCCGGCTAATGTTTGCATTTTTGGTAGAGACAGGGTGTCACCATATTGGCCAGGCTGGTCTCGAACTCCTGACCTCATGATCTGCCTGCCTCAGCCTCCCAAAGTGCTGGGATTATGGGTGTAAGCCACCATGCCTGCCCTTTTCTTTTCAATAAAATGCCATTTCCCCCCCCAGATATCTTCCTATCTCCATTCAGTGAAGAGGACCCTCTCTCCAGCCAAAGGGTTAGTTTGATGTGTTTCAGCCAACTGAGTAATTCCTCTTGCTAGTAAATTATTTTAAGGGTGGGCATAAGGCCTAGCTGTGGCCGATGAAAATAGTGTGACTGGCTGGGGGACTTCTTACAATTTTTCCAGAAGAAAATTCTACTTCACTCTTAAACTCAGGAATAGATTGTCTCTTTCTTGCCACAACTTGTTTCATCCCCGTAGGAATCCTGGAGCTGTTTGGGCAGCCATCTTGTGACCATGAGGAGAGTTATCCTGGAGTAAAACTCCTACATTGAAGATGGTGGAGTCTAAAAACTAGAGACAATAATTTTTCTAACGCAGGCAACACTTTGAGACAGTGACTAATTCTCTTGAAATATGCTTTGTGTGAACTTGGGTCTTGAACTAGAGACAGTAATTTTTCTAACGCAGGCAACACTTTGAGACAGTGACTAATTCTCTTGAAATATGCTTTGTGTGAACTTGGGTCTTGACATTACCCATGTGTGTCCTTGTCCTGTTCTCCCAATATCGAAAGTATAGAACTTGGTTTACGATATTATTTTTAGCCATTGCCTACTTGAGGGCCAATCACGGAAATGATCTATTGTCTTCAGGGGGCAAATTATCCAAGGGGCAAAGGGGTATCTTCTGGTAAATCAGCGGTGGAATAACAAGAGCAAGGTATTCTTAGCCCAATACATGAATCCTTCTCTTTGAACTGCCACTTGTTAACCATGGGAATTTAGACAAATTTCCTTTCTCTCAGCCTCAGTGTCATCATCTTTAAAATGATGTTAATAACACTGACTTTTTTATTTCCCTTGCTGTAAAGGATCAAGTAGGATCGTGTGTATAGAATGTACAATGACAATTCTACAATGGTATAGGAATGCAAAACATCAATGATACCGATAGCAATTATGATATCTCATCACAGGTCTACAGCTAAGGGGGAAGCATACTGTTGACGTTTTGAACTGCTTTCACTGTTTTCGTTTTATCTCTGTGATTCACCAGAAGAGAAATTCAAACTGACTTTTGTTCCAGGGTAACTTAAGAAGGACAACCCAGAGGGAATAAATGTATGCCTCTTTCTCTTAGAAGCATTAAGCAGTAAAAAAGAGAACTTACTCATCCCCTTTCACAACAGGTGAGGGCATTCCCCCACCTCGGGTTCCCATTTCACAGGCCAGATAAGGAGAAGTTTACTTTTCTCCCCGGTGAGAAACGGAATCCAGCGTGGAAGCTCAAGAATGATACTGATCATGTGTGGACACGAGCAAGCTGCTCTCCTGATTCAGATATCACAAGGTAAATGTCTTTTGGAGTTTCAGCACCCCATCTCAAGGGGAGTAGAGAAAACCTTATAACTTCTGCCTAAAAGACAAATCTCAGTATGTGTGTGGAGTGGGCAGTTTTTTTCCTTAAATTTTTGCCATTTTTCTCTAAAGGTACAGTCATGTGGCAGGCCATGGGACTGGCAGGTTTCTATGTTTATTTCATTAGAATTGGACTTTCAGAGAATTATACTTAGAAACAGAGGTGAGGCTAGGCACAGTGGCTTATGTCTGTAATCACAGTGCTTCGGGAGGCTGAGGTCGGAGGATCGCTTGAGGCCAGGAGTTTGAGACCAGCCTGGGCAACAAAGTGAGACTCTATTTCCATAAAAATTTAAAAAATTAGGTAAGTATGGTGGCACATGCCTGTAGTCCTGGCTACTTGGGAGGCTGAGATGGGAGAATTGCTTGAAGCCAGGAGTTTGAAGCTGCAGTGAGCCATATCACGCTGCTGAACTCCAGCCTGGGTGACAGAGCAAGATGCTAGTTCTAAAAAGTAAAAATAAAAGCAGAGATGTAAAAACTTAGGGTGTGTGGTCTCAAGGTCTCATCAATGGCTATGACACCACTAGTCAGACCAATAATGAATTCAGCCTGAAAAAAATATATATCAAAAAGAGGCTATCAAACCAACCATTTAGTGTTGTGGAAATTGTGGGTCTCAGTGAAATCACCTCTCTCTAGGAGTTGTATAGCAAATACATGGATGCAATTTTGGTTGCTCCAAGGATTGGAGAATATCTGTAGCTTTTGTTTTTCTGTTACAGATGAAATCATCTGACTGCTTTATTACGATTTCCAGTTTAGAGCCCAAACATGCAAATATTAAATGCATATTATAATAAGTGACTTTCTTTTTTCCTTCCTATATATTAGGAAGGAAAATGTTTGTTTATTTAAATTACATGTCAGTAGGTTATATTATCTGTGAATTTTATTTCAGAATGGTAATGAAGATGTGGCAAAATAAATGGCCGATAACCACAAGAGAAAACTTCCTTGTGGTTCAGCAGAATTCTTTGATTTTTATAACCAGTTGATTCAGGGTTGTGGGGATATAACCTCACCCCTGGCAGAAAGCATTTTGTCTGTGCCAACTTCTCCCAGCTCAAAAAGCGTTTGAAGAAAAGAAAATTCATTCACTAGCAAATAATTTAGTAATGAGTCAGTGGAGAGCTGGTACATTAGGAGAACAATTTAGAGGATGATTTTGTATGTTTCTGGATAATTAATCTGTTTCATGATTTATAGTACCGATTACAAATGTTTATTTGCCACATGTGACTCTCTCTTTCCTCCTAGGTTATTTTTGTATAGGTAGTTTATTTCTTAAGCTGTGTTTCTTTGTTACTAATTTTCAAAAGAGCTGAAATGTCCATGAGTAATTAATGGGGAACGTTGAGCTAGTTTAAATGGGCAAATTGTACTATGGTAGAAATTGCAACCCAGATCTCTTTTGTATGCTCACAAGATGCTGGCCCATTCTGTGCACAGGTTGATAGCTCATTTTTTTGTAGCACCTTAATCTTGAGGTAACCAGACTTTTTGATGATTGTTTTCATGAGCACAGAAAGTAAGCATGCCATTCCTGAGCTGAGATCATAAAGTGGGCCTGGCCATTTGCGTATGATGCAATAAGCCACCAAAGTCAGTGAGTGCAGATGTGTGTGAGAAAGTTTATTCATCATGCCTCTTAAAGGCCACAACTTGAGTTAAAATGTAAACATATTATTCCAAAAGCATAATTCATTATGACATTCTCACTTAGTCTTACTCTAAAACAAAGTACTTACAGAATTAGCCTGGAAACTGGAACATAACGAATAAGCCGTATCATGAGCCATATCACAGGTCAGTTGAGGTTGAAGGGACACTCCATGGTCTAGCCCCTCATGTAGAGGTAAGCTGAAAAAAATGGGAGCAAAATATTTGGTTAAGAGAGTCTAGCAAGTGATGGAGTGAAGTATGTGTTCAAGATGAAGCCTGTCAATAGAAAACACATGAAGGAACAGATTGGAGAAAGGTAACTTGTGTCCTTGTTCAAGTTCCTGTTCCTGTAGAAATAAGACCTGATGATTTTGGCACTCTTTCCTGTTAAGGAAAAAGATAGCCTTCTAAACACAGAGCTCTAGGAATCCACTACCAACTCAATCTGTTTTTTTTTCTTTTTTTTATTATTATTATACTTTAAGTTTTAGGGTACATGTGCACAACGTGTGCAGGTTTGTTACATATATATACATGTGCCATGTTGGTGTGCTGCACCTATTAACTCGTCATTTACATTACGTATATCTCCTAATGCTATCCCTCCCCTCTCCCCACACCCCACAACAGGCCCCGGAGTATGATGTTCCCCTTCCTGTGTCCATGTGTTCTCATTGTTCAATTCCCACCTGTGAGTGAGAACATTCTGTGTTTGGTTTTTTGTCCTTGCGATAGTTTGCTGAGAATGACGGTTTCCAGCTTCATCCATGTCCCTACAAAGGACACGAACTCATCATTTTTTATGGCTGCATAGTATTCCATGGTGTATATATGCCACATTTTCTTAATCCAGTCTATCATTGTTGGACATTTGGGTTGGTTCCAAGTCTTTGCTATTGTGAATAGTGCCGCAATAAACATACGTGTGCATGTGTCTTTATAGCAGCATGATTTATAATCCTTTGGGTATATACCCAGTAATGGGGTGGCTGGGTCAAATGGTGTTTCTAGTTCTAGATCCCTGAGGAATCACCACACTGACTTCCACAATGGTTGAACTAGTTTACAGTCCCACCGACAGTGTAAAAGTGTTCCTATTTCTCCACATCCTCTCCAGCATCTGTTGTTCCCTGACTTTTTAATGATTGCCATTCTAACTGCTGTGAGATGGTATCTCATTGTGGTTTTGATTTGCATTTCTCTGATGGCCAGTGATAATGAGCATTTTTTCATGTGTCTGTTGGCTGCATAAATGTCTTCTTTTGAGAAGTGTCTGTTCATATCCTTCACCCACTTTTTGATGGGGTTGTTTGTTTTTTTCTTGTAAATTTTTTTAAGTTCTTTGTAGATTCTGGATATTAGCCCTTTGTCAGATGAGTAGATGGCAAAAATTTTCTCCCATTCTGTAGGTTGCCTGTTCACTCTGATGGTAGTTTCTTTTGCTGTGCAGAAGCTCTTTAGTTTAATTAGATCCCATTTGTCTGTTTTGGCTTTTGTTGCCATTGCTTTTGGTGTTTTACTCATGAAGTCCTTGCCCATGCCTATGTCCTGAATGGTATTGCCTAGGTTTTCTTCTAGGGTTTTTATGGTTTTAGGTCTAATATTTAAGTCTTTAATCCATCTTGAATTAATTTTTGTATAAGGTGTAAGGAAGGGATCCAGTTTCAGCTTTCTACATATGGCTAGCCAGTTTTCCCAGCACCATTTATTAAATAGGGAATCCTTTCCCCATTGCTTGTTTTTCTCAGGTTTGTCAAAGATCAGATAGTTGTAGATATGTGGCATTATTTCTGAGGGCTCTGTTCTGTTCCATTGATCTATATCTCTGTTTTGGTACCCGTACCATGCTGTTTTGGTTACTGTAGCCTTGTAGTATAGTTTGAAGTCAGGTAGCGTGATGCCTCCAGCTTTGTTCTTTTGGCTTAGGATTGACTTGGCAATGCAGGCTCTTTTTTGGTTCCATATGAACTTTAAAGTAGTTTTCTCCAATTCTGTGAAGAAAGTCATTGGTAGCTTGATGGGGATGGCATTGAATCTTTAAATTACCTTGGGCAGTATGGCCATTTTCATGATATTGATTCTTCCTATCCATGAGCATGGAATGTTCTTCCATTTGTTTGTATCCTCTTTTATTTCGTTGAGCAGTGGTTTGTAGTTCTCCTTGAAGAGGTCCTTCACATCCCTTGTAAGTTGGATTCCTAGGTATTTTATTCGCTTTGAAGCAATTGTGAATGGGAGTTCACTCATGATTTGGCTCTCCGTTTATGTGTTATTGGTGTATAAGAATGCTTGTGATTTTTGCACATTGATTTTGTATCCTGAGACTTTGCTGAAGTTGCTGATCAGCTTAAGGAGATTTTGGGCTGAGACGATGGGGTTTTCTAGATATACAATCATGTCATCTGCAAACAGGGACAATTTGACTTCCTCTTTTCCTAATTGAATACCCTTTATTTCCTTCTCCTGCCTGATTGCCCTGGCCAGAACTTCCAACACTATGTTGAATAGGAGTGGTGAGAGAGGGCATCCCTGTCTTGTGCCAGTTTTCAAAGGGAATGCTTCCAGTTTTTGCCCATTCAGTATGATATTGGCTGTGGGTTTGTCATATATAGCTCTTATTATTTTGAGATACGTCCCATCAATACCTAATTTATTGAGAGTATTTAGCATGAAGTGTTGTTGAATTTTGTCAAAGGCATTTTCCGCATCTGTTGAGGAATCATGTGGTTTTTGTCATTGGTTCTCTTTATATGCTGAATTACGTTTATTGATTTCCATATGTTGAACCAGCCTTGCATCCCAGGGATGAAGCCCACTTGATCATGGTGGATACGCTGTTTGATGTGCTGCTGGATTCAGTTTGCCAGTATTTTATGGAGGATTTTTGCATTGATGTTCATCAGGGATATTGGTCTAAAATTCTTTTTTTGTTGTGTCTTTCCCCAGCTTTGGTATCAGGATGATGCTGGCCTCATAAAATGAGTTAGGGAGGATTCCCTCTTTTTCAATTGATTGGAATAGTTTCAGAAGGAATGGTACCAGCTCCTCCTTTTACCTCTGGTAGAATTCGGCTGTGAATCCATCTGGTCCTGAACTTTTTTTGGTTGGTAGGCTATTAATTATTGCCTCAATTTCAGAGCCTGTTATTGGTCTATTCAGAGACTCAACTTCTTCCTGGTTTAGTCTTGGGATGGTATATGTGTTGAGGAATTTATCCATTTCTTCTAGATTTCCAAGTTTATTTGCATAGAGTTGTCTATAGTATTCTCTGATGGTACTTTGTATTTCTGTGGGATCGGTGGTGATATCCCCTTTATTATTTTTTATTGCATCTATTTGTTTCTTCTCTCTTTTCTTCTTTATTAGTCTTGTTAGAAGTCTATCAATTTTGTTGATCTTTTCAAAAAACCAGTTCCTGGATTCATAGATTTTTTCAGCACCACACTGCAGTTATTCCAAAATTGACCACATAGTTGGAAGTAAAGCACTCCTCAGCAAATGTAAAAGAACAGAAATTATAATAAACTGTCTCTCAGATCACAGTGCAATCAAACTAGAACTCAGGATTAAGAAACTCACTCAAAACCGCTCAACTACATGGAAGGGTTTTTTTTTTTTGAAGGGTTTTTTGTGTCTCTATCTCCTTCATTTCTGCTCTGATCTTAGTTATTTCTTGCCTTCTGCTAGCTTTTGAATGTCATTCCCCTTGCTTCTCTAGTTCTTTTAATTTTGATGTTGGGGTGTCAATTTTAGATCTTTCCTGCTTTCTCTCATGGGCATTTAGTGCTATAAATTTCCCTCTACACACTGCTTTAAATGTGTCCCAGCGATTCTGGTTTGTTGTGTCTTTGTTCTAATTGCTTTCAAAGAACATCTGTATTTCTGCCTTCATTTCATTATGTACCCAGTAGTCATTCAGAAGCAGGTTGTTCAGTTTCCATGTAGTTGAGTGGTTTTGAGTGAGTTTCTTAATCCTGAGTTCTAGTTTGATTGCACTGTGATCTGAGAGACAGTTTGTTATAATTTCTGTTCTTTTACATTTGCTGAGGAGTGCTTTACTTCCAACTATGTGGTCAGTTTTGCAATAAGTGTGGTGTGGTTCTGAAAAGAATGTATATTCTGTTGATTTGGGGTAGAGAGTTCTGTAGATGTCTATTAGGTCCACTTGGTGCAGAGCTGAGTTCAATTCCTGGATATCCTTGTTAACTTTCTGTCTCCTTGATCTGTCTAATGTTGACAGTGGGGTATTAAAGTCTCCCATTATTATTGTGTGGGAGTCTAAGTCTCTTTGTAGGTCTCTAAGGACTTGCTTTATGAATCTGGGTGCTCCTGTATTGGGTGCATATGTATTTAGAATAGCTCTTCTTGTTGAATTGTTCCCTTTACCATTATGTAATGGCCTTCTTTGTCCTTTTGATCTTTGTTAGTTTAAAGTCTGTTTTATCAGAGACTAGGATTACAACCCCTGCCTTTTTTTATTTTCCATTTGCTTGGTAGATTTTCCTCCAACCCTTTATTTTGAGCCTATGCATGTCTCTGCATGTGAGATGGGTTTCCTGAATACAGCACACTGATGGGTTTTGAGTCTTTATCCAATTTGCCAGTCTGTGTCTTTTAATTGGAGCATTTAGCCCATTTACATTTAAGGTTAATATTGTTATGTGTGAATTTGATCCTGTCATTATGATGTTAGCTAGTTATTTTGCTCATTAGTTGATGCAGTCGCTTCCTAGCCCCATTGGTCTTTACAATTTGGCATGTTTTTGCAGTGGCTGGTACTGGTTGTTCCTTTCCATGTTTAGTGCTTCCTTCAGGAGCTCTTTTAGGGCAGGCCTGGTGGTGACAGAATCTATTAGCATTTGCTTGTCTATAAAGGATCTTATTTCTCCTTCACTTATGAAGCTTAGATTGGCTGGATATGAAATTCTGGGTTGAAAATTCTTTTCTTTAAGAATGTTGAATATTGGCCCCCACTCTCTTCTGGCTTGTAGAGTTTCTGCCGAGAGATCAGCTGTTAGTCTGATGGGCTTCCCTTTGTGGGTAACGCGGCCTTTCTCTTTGGCTGCCCTTAACATTTTTTCCTTCATTTCAACTTTCGTGAATCTGACAATTATGTGTTTTGGAGTTGTTCTTCTTGAGGAGTATCTTTGTGGCATTGTCTGTATTTCCTGAATTTGAAAGTTGGCCTGCCTTGCTAGTTTGGGGAAGTTCTCCTGGATAATATCCTGCAGAGTGTTTTCCAACTTGGTTCCATTCTCCCCATCACTTTCAGGTACACCAATCAGACGTAGATTTGGTCTTTTCACATAGTCCCATATTTCTTGGAGGCTTTGTTCATTTCTTTTTATTCTTTTTTCTCTAAACTTCTCTTCTCGCTTCATTTCATTCATTTGATCTTCCATCACTGATAACCTTTCTTCCAGTTGATCAAATTGGCTACTGAAGCTTGTGCATTTGTCACGTAGTTCTCGTGCCATCGTTTTCAGCTCCATCAGGTCCTTTAGGGACTTCTCTGCATTGATTATTCTAGTTAGCCATTCATCTAATCTTTTTTCAAGGTTTTTAACTTCTTTGCCATGGGTTCAAACTTCCTCCTTTAGCTCAGAGAAGTTTGATCATCTGAAGCCTTCTTCTCTCAACTCATCAAAGTCATTCTCTGTCCAGCTTTGTTCCATTGCTGGTGAGGAGCTGCGTTCCTTTGGAGGAGGAGAGGTGCTCTGATTTTTAGAATTTTCAGTTTTTCTGCTCTGTTTTTTCCCCATGTTTGTGGTTTTATCTACCTTTGGTCTTTGATGATGGTGATGTACAGATGGGGTTTTGGTGTGGATGTCCTTTCTGTTTGTTAGTTTTCCTTCTAACAGTCAGGACCCTCAGTTGCAGGTCTGTTGGAGTTTTCCGGAGGTCCACTCCAGACCCTGTTTTCCTGGGTATCAGCAGTGGAGGCTGCAGAACAGTGAATATTGGTGAACAGCAAATGTTGTTGCCTGATCATTCCTCTGGAAGTTTTGTCTCAGAGGAGTACCTTGCCGTGTGAGGTGTCAGTCTGCCCCTACTGGGGGATGCCTCACAGTTAGGCTACTCGGGGATCAGGGACCCACTTGAGGAGGCAGTCTGTCCGTTCTCAGATCTCCAGCTGCGTGCTGGGCAAAGCACTACTCTCTTCAAAGCTGTTGGACAGGGACATTTAAGTCTGCAGAGGTTTCTGCTGACCTTTGTTTGGCTATGCCCTGCCCCCAGAGGTGGAGTCTACAAAGGCAGGCAGGCCTCCTTGAGCTGCGGTGGGCTCCACCCAGTTCGAGCTTCCCGGCCGCTTTACCTGCTCAAGTCTCAGCAATGGCGGGCACCCCTCCCCCAGCTTCGCTGCTGCCTTGCAGTTTGATCTCAGACTGCTGTGCTAGCAATGAGTGAGGCTCCGTGGGCATAGGGCCCTTCGAGCCATGTGCGGGATATAATCTCCTGGTGTGCCGTTTGCTAAGACCGTTGGAAAAGCGCATTATTAGGGTGTGAGTGACCTGATTTTCCAGGTGCCATCTGTCACCCCTTTCCTTGTCTAGGAAAGGGAATTCCCTGACCCCCTGTGCTTCCCAGGGGAGGCAATGCCTCTCCCTGCTTCGGCTCATGCTTGATGTGCTGCACCCACTGTCCTGCACCCAGTGTCCGACAATCCCCAGTAAGATGAACCGGGTACCTCAGTTGGAAATGCAGAAATCATTCATCTTCTGCATGGCTCACGCTGGGAGCTGTAGACTGCAGCAGTTCCTATTCGGCTATTTTGGAACTGCTCCCAACTCAATCTGTTTTTATTTTTCTTCTTGAACTTTTAAATTCCAGGGTACATGTGCAGGATGTGCATGTTTGTTACATAGGTAAATGGGTGCCATGGTGGTTTGCTACACAAATGAACCCATGACTTAGGTATTAACCCCAGCATCCATTAGCTATTCTTCTTGATGCCCTCCATCCCCCCACACCACACTGACAGGCCCCAGTGTGTGTTGTTCCCCCTATGTGTCCATGTGTTCTCATTATTCAGCTCCCACTTATAAATAAGAACATTCAGTGTTTGGTTTTCTGTTCCTGCTCTAGTTTGCTAAGGATAACTGCTTCCAGTTCCATCCCTGTCTCTGCAAAGGACGTGATCTCATTCATTTTTATGGCTACATAGTATTCCATAGTGTATATGTACCACATTTTCTTTATCCAGTCTATCTCATTCTTGACACATGAAATGAAGCTTATCTTTCTGCACACACTGGGGTGTCTACTGTAAGTGATGTCAGCATATGAATGATCCCAGGAATATAATGGAGCCAAAGCTCAATCTGGAGATGTGCATGAAAACATTTCTTTAATTGGTACATGGAGTTGCGTAATAATTATGGAGTTCTTGTACTGGAAGATATCTCAAGTAGTCGGCTTGTCCATAGGATGAGTACCCTAAAATAGGTACACACAGAGGGAGGCACAGGCACATGCGTGTGCACACAGAGAATAATCTTTAAGCATATACCCACACACATTGACAGTCCAGTTAATCTCAGGGGAAGCAAAAGTCAAAACAAAAATTCAAAGTAACTCCTAAAGGGAAGTCATTTGTCAGTTGTACATGGAGACAAGAGATAACGACGCCTTTGGTTTTGCAGACACAATTGCCTAATCTATCATTAGGCACACTTTTCAGATTTGCTTTTTAATATTTGGGTTTCATGAAAATGTACAGCAAATATCCAGCTTACTGGTAGTATTCTCTTGTGAACACCTTATAGTTTTGGTCTTAACTGGGAACTTTCACCCTAACCCAGATAAGAAAAAGTAGATATGGCAATCAGAAAAATCTTGGTGATGCTCACTAGGAAACATGACTATATAATGAGAAATATCTCCTTTGCTTTATTCTGTTGGGAAACAAAATGTCTCACAACAACTAAATATATTGTATCTTTCCAATGTCTCCCCTTGGATTTTCTAACTTAATTCCTGAAGCAAATGGATGGTGCCTTGTTCTTCTCAGCTTTGATGAGTGTGAGATGCTCTGGAGGAACTGAATTTTGATGTTGTGAGTAATTCAATTTCTCAGGGCAGAGGCAATGGAGGACCAAACAGAGCCTAGAGTCTTCTTAGGAGCAAATAGAAAATGCCACAAGTCTGTCTACCCCCAGGCAGATTTATGGCTTGGTGTCTGGTGAATCTTTAGATTAACGCTCTCCAACCCCTATTGTCTAGACCCGGCAAAGGTGGAAGATTAATGTCAACAGGGAGGCAGCCCGCACTAGATGTTGGAAATACAGATCCTACCTGTGTCTGGGCTATAGATCAAAAAAAACTTTCCGTTTAGACAGACTCTGGAAAGAGATTTGCAAATCAGAGAGAGGCATTCATGTTGAGAGTGAAAAAGCAAGGTGTCTGAAAGAAAAAGAAGGTGCATAATAACTTAAGTGGAAAAGACCACAGCCATCTCCTGTCTTAACCTAGGCAACTTCTGGCTCCTGTTAGTTGGAAGTCGGGGCAAGGATGAGGGTAGAAACCTTGGCTGTGGTTACAAACTTCATTCTGTGGTGACAGACATGGGGTCACCTCAAAGATCTCACATGTAGAAGTTGGGTATTTGTTTAGCACCATTCAGTTCCCACTCAAATGTGTGGGTTTAAAAATTTGCTTTCATCGAAAAAATTTTAAAGGGTATGTTTGGAGAGATCATTTACCTTTTCTCCTCCCCTGAGGAAAGCATTTAGATGATTTACTTCTATGGGAGGTAGGAGGATTAAGATTAATCATAAAATGCATTCTGTCTGAAATATGAGCAGAGGGCTGGCTGACCCAGAACAGGAGTGCTCAGTGGTCCTGACTTCTAACTGGAAGGGTCGCCAATGGATATGGGGTGAGTTTCTAGGACTATAATTCACTCCTGGCTTTGATTCATTCTTTGGTTCCACTGTTTATTAATTCTTCATTGTTGATTTGTTCACTCAACAGCCAAATGCTACAGTTTCTTTAGTTCCGTGCTTGGCCTTAGGTTTTAAAGTCTTATTTATTTATTTATTTATTTTTGAGACACAGTCTTGCTCTCTCGCCCATGCTGGAGTGCAGTGGTACAATTTCAGCTCACTGCAAGCAAGCCCCGCCTCCCGGGTTCATGTCATTCTCCCGCCTCAACCTCCCCAGTAGCTGGGACTATAGGTGCCCACCACCGTGTCTGGCTAATTTTTTTGTATTTTTAGTAGAGACAGGGTTTCACCACGTTAGTCAGGATGGTCTCCATCTCCTGATCTTGTGATCCACCTGCCTCAGCCTCCCAAAATGCTGGGATTACAGGCGTGAGCCACTGCACCCGGCCAGGTTTAAAAGTCTTGACTGTCACAGTGGATCTCACCTGATGTCCTTCCAGCCTCTTTGCATTCCATTCCCCACACAGAGCCAGTGTGTATGCTTTAAAAATATAAATCACATCAGATGGTACCTTTACCTGACACCCTTCAATGCCTCCCCATCTCACTTAAAAGAACATCTGAACTCCTTCCCCTGCCTTCCAAAGCTGACGGGAGTAGTGCCTCACCTCACCTTGCATCTTATCCTTGTCCCCAATGCTTGCTGTATGATCTTTTCCTTTTCCTCAAATTTTTCAAATTTGGTGCACCTAGGGACTTTGCACTGATGTTCCCTTTGGTCCCGTATTTTGGCATGACTGGCTTCTTCTTGCCATTCAACTCTCAGCCTAAACGTTATCTCCACAAGAGTCCTTCCTGAAACCTGTATGACTTTCTTTCTTTTTTTGTTCTTGAGAGGCAGTGTCTCACTCTGTTGCCCAGACTGGAGTGCAGTGGCACAATCATGACTTACTGAAGTCTCGGCCTCCTGGGCTCAAGTGATCCTCCCACCTCAACCTCCCAAGTAGCTGGGACTACATGTGCGCTCCACCATACCGACTAATTTTAATTCTTTTGTAGTGACAGGGTCTTCCTATGTTGCACAGGCTGGCCTCTAACTCCTGGGATCAAGCAGTCCTCCTACCTTGGCCTCCCAAAGTGCTAGGATTACAGGCACAAGCCATTGTGTCCAGCTCCTGACTTTCTATCTTAATATCCCGTTTTATTTACTTTGTATCACATATTGATGTCAAGTATCCTCCTTTCTTTGTTTCACATTAAAATGTAAGCACCAGGAGAGCAGTAGCCTTGTCTAAATTGTTCACTGCTGTCCCCTCAGCATCTCAAAGTGCCTGGTACACAGGAGGATTTATTCAGTATGCATGGAATTAATGAATCCTAGGAACACTTCAAGATCTCTAATGGATATGTTTAAAAATGCAGATTCCTGCATCCCACCTTGGAGACCCTGAGGTGAATCGCAGGAATCCTTGCTTTTAGCAGTTCCACAAATGATTCTGATACATAGGAGTCTAGCTGTCTCTAAGCTCTTTGACCACCCCAGCAATAGAAACATTTTGAGGAAGGAATACAAAAATATATGTATTTGCTTATTTACAAATTATGTTCCTATATCACTGTGTTATGTTATATTTAAGTCATTTTTATTAACATAAAATCTCTTATATTCTTAAGTAGATTAATAATCTGTATGCTTAGCTTTGAAATGTTCTTGCTAATTATATTTTCATATTATCAATAGGTCAAGGTTCAGTATATATGAAAGTTAAGGATCATTATTAACAATAGTAAACACGAAAATAAGTTCAAATACTTTTTTTGATAATCACTTTCTTCCTGGCATTGCGGCAAATCTGATTCAGTCATCGATTTTAACATGAAAGAAGTATGGATTTGGAGTATGAGAAGTGTCTGTTCTGCTGTTTTCTTGTGGTTGCTTGTGTTTCCTTTTTTGGTATTATCTTCTAACTGGAGTTTCTTGGTAGGCATTAGATTACATAGTCCACTGTTCATTTTGGCAATTTAGTTATCATTGGATAATATGACTTTAGTGTGATATGTCAATGAGAAGATGTGAGGGCACCTCTGTTCATGTCTCCACAGTCCAGAACTCCTGAATGGTGCCCAGCTTACCTGGTGAGTGAGCCAGGATGACCGGGGTCACCAGGGTGAAAGTGTCTGTTGGTGTTACTGCACCTTAACTTTTAAGATAATAAATACAAAGGAGACTGATGGAAAGTAATACAGGATGAGTTTGGAGAGGATGGCAAGGCGTTTTAAGTAAGAGTAAAGAGTTTTGCTTTATCCTAAGTGCAAGGAAAATCATTGAAGGGTTCATGCAGATGGGTGATATGATCATATTTTTGGTTTTTGTTTTGTTTTATTTTTTGGAGAGTGCTTATTTTTAATTTTATTCTTTTAAAACTAAGGCACATTTGACAAAAAAACGCATATATTGATGGCATATGAGGTGATGTATTGATATAGGTATACGTTGTAAAATGATACAATCAAGCTAATTAACAGATCCATCACCTCACATACTTATTTTTTGTTGTGAATAGAGTTGAGATCTAATATCTTAACAATTTCCAAGTATTCAATACATTATTATCAACTATGGTTACTATCCTACAACAGATATCCAAACTTATCCAATTTGTGTTTATCAGATCACTTGGGTCTCCATGTAGAGAATGCACTGAAGAGGCCAAGGATGTAAGTCCAAAGCCCAGGGAGGAGACCACTGGAGTAGCTCAGGTAGCGTGGGGAAGATTGGAAGCAAAATTAATGGGGTTAAGTGTTAGACTGGACGTGGGGTGAAATGAGGGACAGAGGAACCTTGGTTGATTTATGGTTGCCAACTTCTATGTGAGGTATCCTTTCTTATCCAGGATTCAAATGTGGCTACTTTGAGAACCATTTCCAAAGCCAGCTTATTGGCCTCATCTGCTGCTAACATGCAGAGTTTAGCTTTTGCCTGTTTTTGGCAAAAGTGTGACTCACCATGTCAGGAGCATAGTGGGCTTGACTTAAGAGACTGTCAAACCAAGATGTTCCAACAGCTTTTCTTGAAAGTGAATGGATCACAACATTTTCAATAAAAGTTTATGGCTTTGGAATAAAAAAACAAACAAATGAGTTGTGACATGTTAATGATACTCATCATTTTTAGAAGAGGACGGTGAACAAATACATTGTCTTGAATAATAGAAATGTAAGTAAAAAGTCTAAAATACAGGATGACTAAAGACTTTCTGATGTGGACCAAAAATTATTGAATATAGAGCTAAATGCATTTTGACCAGATCTTACAAAAATACAGAATATCAACAGTAACATATCTGTAATATACAGTTGAAAGCCTGGCACCATGGGGATGCTCTGAATGAGATTCTTTCAGCTAAAAGTCTTGGCTGTCTTCAGTACCATCTTGCAAAGTGTAATGTCTTTTCACATTTTCAATTGAAATGAGCTAATAATTTGGCCTAACAGCCTGGTGCTGCCTAAGAAGTCCTCTCCCACAAGTCTTGAGTTTTGCATGTGAACAGTTAGTCATTAGTCTTCATTCTGTACCACTTACAGCTGGTCCTCATATTGTTCAAAGCAAGTGACATCATGAGTTTTCCCAAAGATTGTTAATGTCAGTGGTAATACACCAGCTTCTAATGATTCTAAATGCCCTCTGAAGTCCTCTATTCTCCCCCCAAAAATGTATTAACCTGAAATCAAAATTATTAATGGTTTGAGTATTGCCAACAGGAAATTCAGTGTTCTGTTTGTCTTTATAAAAACAATTTTAAAATCAGTATTATTTATAATATGCTGTCAATGTGCCACATTTGTTTGGCATATCCTCCAAAAAGGTTACATAAGCCTTTTCTTCTTCCAGAGGAAGGTTTTAATCAGGGATTTTTCTCTTGTATTTCATCTGACATGTTTAAGGACTTACTAACCCTTCCTCTGTCTTCTTTTTCTCTCTCTGCCACCTTTTCTTCTTCCTTCTTATCATTCTTCTTCTGTCTCCATGTCTTCCTCCCATTCTTCTCCAAGCAGCTGATCTTTGAGCTCTTTCATATGTGGCAGGTGACAAGGGCCCTCTACCTGAAGATCAGATAATTAAATGGGGGAGACCAATTCAGAAATAAGAAATTTCAGTATTAGTAAAAGGGACTCTGACAGACATAAATGATTAAGGAGACTTATGGGACTATCTGACTCCTATCTCTTCTCTGTTTTATTCATTCATTCATTCATTCATTCATTCAGTTAACAAATATTTATGGAGTCTCTATGTGCCAGACAGATAGTACTTAGAAATATGGAGTTTAAAGCCTAGGAGAAAAGGCAGTAAAAAATAATTGGATATATAACAGTAAAACTGCAATTGTGGTAGATGTACTCATGGAGAAGTTGCAGGTCCTGTGGGATCGCATAACAGAGGTAACAAACTACCTAGTTTGAATGCTGAAGTTTGGCTTCTCCTAATGCCTTGACATTTGCACTGTGACTTGACGGATGAAGGGAAGAGAGAGGTTAGAAATGCAGTGGGCAAGGGGCAGGGATGTGGGTCAAGGCCCCGTGATGAGGGAAAAAACCAGCATGGCTGAAGAATAGTCAGCTAAGGGAAAAATGCTGAGCAGGAGCTAGGGAGCTGCGAGGCTGCGCAGGACTGTGTAATTCATCCTGCAGATCTTGACCTTAATTTCGAGAGCCATGAGAAAACATTTAAGCAGGAGATAGACAGCATCTTGTTCGTTTCAGCATTTTGCTTTCCCTTAAAACTCCCTGGCCTTGACTTTCAGCCAGTTTCTCCAATGGATCTGGCAGCTGTGGGATTGGAGATCAGTACCTAGGAATAGTGTATTAACTGTAATTAGAGTTCATATACTGACACCACAAGCCAGAAAAACACACTGACCCTGGAGCATGGCCCAAGGACTTGCATGTCTACTAGTAGATATGGTGCTTGTGTTATGGAGGTTTACATAGTGAGGGTTGAAGGCAGCAATCAACTCAACACAATTTCTTGCCATCATGTTTGTATTATAGCCTGTGAAGCACTTGAAATGTTGTAGCTTTGATAAAGCATTTGTAAAGCACATTTAGATCAGCAACCTTCCTTTCTCTCTCTCTCTCTCTCTTTAAATGTGGAAGACTTCGTGATATTCACACCAGCAATTAGAAGTAAATGCTATATAAACTGATGACAGGTACCCTATTTTAATAAAGTTTAGCACTTTTCTCACCGTGTGTGCGTGTGTGTGTGTGTGTGTGTGTGTGTGTGTGTGTGTTTTAAAGGCCTCTTACCGTGGGCTAATTAGATTCTACCTCAGAGAGAAAGGGCACCTAGTCTCTTGAAAGTCTTTGAAATTGTTCTGCAGTTGAATGCGTGGTACTATATCTAAGTCAAGCAGGGTTGCATGTTACCACATGGGCAATGCAGCATCAAAGACTATGCTTAAATTGAAACAAAATTCTTTATTTTTGTTGTCATAAGAATCCCCGGCCAGGTACTGTGGTTCATACCTGTAATCCCAGCACTTTGGGAGGCCGAGGTGCCAGATCATGAGGTCAGGAATTCGAGACCAGCCTGGCCAACATACTGAAATCTCATTTCTACTAAAAATACAAAAATTAGCCAGGCATGGTGGCAGGTGCCAGCAGTCCCAGCTACTCAGGAGGCCATGGTAGGAGAATCGCTTGAACCCGGAGGTGGAGGTTGCAGTGAGCCGAGGTTGCACCACTGCACTCCAGCCTAGGCGAAAGAGTGAGACTCCGTCTAAAAAAAAAAAAAAAAAAAAAAAAAAAAGAATCCCCCAACCTTGAGTTTAAATTAAACACCAAAAAGAGCAAAAGAGCCAGGTAGAGTTGCCTTCTGATGTTTTCTCCTGATCTAAAAACTATTTTTAAAATAAATGTTTATGAGAGTTGTTTTCCAAGGAGAACCATCACTTCATCTCTCATACCATTCAAGATTTTCCACAACAAATTATTTTTTGTTTTGTGATTTTTGTTTGGTATGGAGATTATACAGAGCAGCCGTAGGTACTGAGGTTATTATATTCTACCAAGTTTGATTTATGAATTCCTTTTTTTACTATCACTATCATTCATTTGGGCTTCAAAATTGATCCTCTTTGTTATGTACATAGAAAGGATAATGATCATTTATGTTCAAGCAATTCATTTAGCTAAAAACCAAGGCTGGAATATTCTTACTGCTAATTTAATTCCACAAGTTGGAGATTATTTTCAATTTTTTTCCATTCATACTAGACATAGACATACAGAGCTAAAATCAGCTCGAAGGATCTATCTGGTCCATCTCTTTCTAGTGTAACTGGTAAATCACAGCTCTTTGGGGATTTAGCTCTAATTTAACATCATTAAATAATTCAGTGCAGAGATCTATGAAAGTCAACAGAAACATTGTGAAATAATGAAAAAAAAATCCTTCCTTTTTGGAAATGGTATAGAATGGGAACTGCATATTGCTGGATTTTAGTACTTGTCTTAGATTTTTATTGCCTTTTCCACCCTCCTACCTAAGAAATGACAACTAATATATAACTAATATAAAGCTAGGGTTTGTAGTAGTAGCCCCTTCTCATCTGGTTTCACATAAAAAATATTAGTAGTGACACCCAAAGATAGTTAAAAAGAAATTTAAATCTCTTATGAAGTCTTTCAAAGAATGGCTGATGGAGACATTGTATAGCAAGACTTCTTCTAATTTGCTTTCCCTCATCTCTTTATTTATTTGCAGTTGCCCTCCATTTCTCTCTCCTCCTGTCTCTACATTTCCCTGAACTTTCCCATAATCTCCTCCTGCCTGAATATTTCTCTTTGCACTTCCCCTCTCTATTCACCCCTTCATTATGTATGTCTGCTTAACCTCTCCTATGTCTTTCAATTCTCTTGAGGCTATCCATGTGTAGATAAAAATCAAAGACAAGGCAATTGCAAAGTGAGTAAGAAGGCTTTCTCCTTAATAGGGTAGGTAAGTTCGAGGAGGAAGATATAACCTAGACCTGTGCTTTCCACAAATGAATGTGCACATGAACCACCTGAGGGACCTTGTTAGAAAGCAGATTCTGATTCGTTAGGTCTGGGATTGAGCTCATATTCTGCATTTCTAATAAGTTCTCAAGAGAGTCTCTTGCTGCTGGTCCCTGGACAAGTCAACCTAGAGACCAAAAGAGAGAAGTCTTGGATGTAAAGAGAGCAGCTAGACATGATCTCCATAAAGATGATGACAGTGTCTGCATTATTTACCACTGTAGCACATGCTCTGATACACAGTCCACCCTGTTCAGTAATTTGTTTATTTATTTTTGCCTGATGATCTTGAATACAAACTCTGAAGATATGTTCCTTTCTTTCCTTTCCTGTCTTCTCTTAAAACTTGAAATGCCTAAGCAATGCTACATTTCTTAAAGCAACCCAGTTTATTCCAGGCATCCATCTGGCATGTGATTTACACTGAATCCAGAGGCACTCAAGTATTTTTGTCTGACCCTTGCAGTCTTCAGAGATTCATTCTTCACTCCCAAGTATACTCACACCCCACACTTGGCCATAGCTCACTTCTGACAGGCCAGTTTGGATCTTAATCACAGCTCCCAAAGTTTTAGTTAACATAGCTTCATCCATGAACTTAATCAGCAGGCTCTCCACTCTAACATTTCAACCATTGATCAAACAACAGCCACTAAATCATAGAGAGCCCTGGTTGATCCCTGAAAACTATGCCCATGCTTGATGCTGGGCCATTGATGGAAACTATTTTGTACTGCCTTTTAACCACTTATTTACCAGTTTTATTTCAACCAGATTGTCTCAGAATAACTCATGTAAGACCTGATTTTATTTTAAAAATGCAAAAATTTGGAAGCATATAATATAATAGAATTTTTCTTCATTCTTTCCCTAATTTCACTTCTCTCCTCAAAGGTACTCACTAGATAGATTTTTTTTTCTTTCTGGAGCTTTTAAATTTGCATTTTGCATCTCTCTCTCTCTCTGTCTCTGTCTCTCTGTGTGTGTGTGTGTGTGTGTGTGCGCGCGCGCATATGTGTGTGTGTACTGTTAGAAATATTTACTGTATATCCATGTGCTCTTCCCAATTCCAGTTTCCTTGCAGCTCATATTGGCCTTGAGACTAGCTTAGGCCCATATACTATAAACAGAAGTGAGGCCAGGCACAGTGGCTCATGCCAGTAATCCCATCACTTTGGGAAGCTGAGGCAGGAGGATTGCTTGAGGCCAGGAGGTCAAAATCAGCCTGGGTAACATAGCAAGACCCTGTCTCTACCAAAAAATTTTTTAAATTAGTTGAGTGTGGTGGCATGCATCTGTAGTCCTAGCTACCTGGGAGGCTGAGGTGGGAGAATTTCTTGAGCCCAGGAGTTCAAGGTTACAGCGAGCAATGATTACACCACTGCACTCCAGCCTAGGCAACAGAGCGAGACCCTGTCTCAAAGAAGAAGTAATATTTGTCATTGCTGGGCTGATGCATAATGGTAAGAATGAGTTTTCCATGAGCCTTCTTACTTTCTTGTGAAGACTGAGGAGGCTCCATCTTCTAAATGTTACATATGCAATGTGATGGAAGCCTGGGTCCCTGAATGACTATATGGATTAGCATTCTTCTCTCATTGTGCATATGAGTGTTATATATGTACCATGAACAAACTATATCTTCCTTGTGTTTAATCACTGAGATTTCAGAATAAGCTAGTTACCACAGCAAAACCAATTATAACCTAATACATGAATCTGTACTTAGGATATTTTTAAAAAATTCAAAGGATTATAGTATATATATTGATCTGCAGCTTATTTTTTTCTCTTAACATTTCTAGACATCAGTCCTTGTCAGTACATATCAACTATCCTGATGTTATAAAGTCATACTCTCAGAACCATATTTTGACATGTTAATAACCATCCACTTAACAAAGAGTCTGACTAAATTTATTTATAAGGTAAATATTGAATATATACATGTCTGTAAGTATGCATCTGTAAACATTTGCCATTTAGTCATTTGTAAATGCATTTACAATAATTATGTATAATTTTGTATGTAAAGTAGTATAACATGACAGGTTCTGAGAGACTTGAAGAGCATTCTCATGAAGAAAAAAAGTTGAAAGACATTTTCTGGAGATTAAAAAAAATTAAGAAGCAGCAAAGAATGTGCCAAAAGGAAAAAGAAAAATAGCCACTTGTCTTTTAGGAAATGTCATAGAAAAGCATCAATTTGTTTATAGAGGATAAAATTTAGTATACCTAAATCTTAAAGTCAGGGGGCATAATAAAAGATGAAAACATAAATATGACAACTACAAAAATGACTGAAAGTATAGCTCATTTTAGTTTTCAAGAGATGATCAAACAATATTTTTACATTTTTAATGAAAATGTTAAGAGGTCAGAGTTCAATTAACCTAGCGATTTTATTCTTGAAGCAGACTCACAGGATAGGAAAACTACATTGAGCTTTTATTTCTATTTCTGTTCTATGAGGTTAGGGAAAGCTTCATCTTTTTTGGAACATTGCATATATATATTTTTTCTTTTTGTTGTTGTTATTTTTTAGCATCTTTGCTTTTCAGTTCCCCTTCATTAAGCTGTGAATGGTTGGAGCTCAATGTAAGATAAGACTAGCTCACAGAATCAATTCTGTGTGGATATTGTTGTGTTTTGGTTGTTCAACCTCATTGTCCTTTCCTAACAGTACCCTGATTTCCTTTCAGGGAACCCCATTTTATGCTGTCTTGGCAAGACAAAGAAAATCCAAGTTGTGCATGGCAGTAAAGGGGAGCCTGGAAGCATCTCTGGCAGTTCCTTTCTTTCCCAATTCTGAAGTGGGAAAAAGTGAGAAAGAAGAGAAAGTGGAAGTAATGATGAAACAAATGTGCAAAGACTGACCCTTACTGATGTGCATCAATGAAAGGAGGACAAAGCAGGCTTCTACCTCCTCTTCTTTTTGTATTTTCTTTCCTCTCTTCTCAGTTTTTCCTATTTCTATTTTTCTTTCTCTTCATAAGCTTTCTTCTCAGTTTTTACACTCCCACATTACATTTCATCTTGGTCTTTGTTTTTCTTCCAATCCTGTAATTTATTTGGTACCCAGGGGATATATCTCAGGAAATCTGTTACCCTATGTCTCTTTGCTGTCTAGTTATTTGACAATGTTTCCTTCTCTAATAAAGTTTTCTCCTTCTTTATGTTCCCTCTCATATGTTATCCCTTCATTATATTAAGATACTCAAAGAAAGGAAAATGCCTTGGCTGTCTTTTCCACCAACCAAGCTGGATGTAATTCCACTGTTTGCTGAGAAAAGAATTGCGTGTGACTCACAGGGTTTATCTTTGTCCGGACGCTCTGTTCATCACGGGTTATGTTGTTTGGCTGTGAAAGATGTATATTATGCCCAAATTATGTCATCTGCCCAAAGATTTGCAACAAAAGCTGGTCCTGGTACCTCCAACTTCTGCACATACTGATTGCTTTGTTTAGTTCTCTGCATCTAATTTTTATATTTTTAAATCCTCTCCACTGAATTTTAGCTGGAGCAGCACAACCCACCATAATTTAAACGGTTTTATCAATTGTGCACAAAAGGCCAAATAGCTCCAAGCACCTTGCAGCTCCCTCAACTGCGACCTCTATTCCTGTCTCTTATTCTTTCCCTACCACTACCCTTCTCCCCAGTACACTCTTCCTTATATTTTATAGTAACAGTACTGTTAGAAAAATAACACATAAAGGCAAATTCTACTGGAAATTGTAAACCACTGGCTGGCCATCAGACCAGTATCACTGGTATTATACAGACATCTATTATTTCCCAGCAGAGGAAACGGATGTTGTCAGAAGTTCTTATTCTGCACCCGCTATAAAGACAATGAGATTATACAAATGCATAGACTCAAGAAATATGATCAATGCCCTTGTGGTTTCTGTGATCGGTTTCTGTGATGAATGGCAAGCTGCTAAGAAGGATCATTTAAAGTGGAGGGAGGAAACCTCAGGGTTATATAAGATGGTGCTTTTTAAAGTCAGCTTTGAGTATTTCCTTGTGCGTTTCATGAATCTGATTATTAGCACTGCTCATGATGATATAGTGTGGCTATCTCAGAGAAATATTGGGGCACATTATTATTTGATTGAAATAAATGGGAAGAAAGAAAACTATACTCAAAATATCATTCTTTTTATACCAGAAAGAAGTTCAAGATGACCCGGTCCAACTCCCTTATTCTTCAATATAGAAGCTGAGTCTCAGAGAAATTAAAAGTCTTGCTCATGTCACATAAGCATTTCTAGACAAAATCTGCTCCAGGATCAAGATCTCTGGTCTCTAAGATTGGTGCCCTTGTCACCTCTTTGAAATTCATAAATATGTAATTTTTCTCTCATGCTAATTCTCGTGATAATTTTTGTATTTCTCTGCATCGCTAGGTCATTTTTGATAGTTGTAACAAATTCAACAAATATATATTCATTAACAATTTTCCTTTTTTTTTTTTCTGAGACAGAGTCTTGCTCTGTCACCGAGGCTGGAGTGCAGTGGCACAATCTTGGCTCACTGCAACCTCTGCCTCCCAGGTTCAAGCAATTGTCCTGCCTCAGCTTCACCAGTAGCTTGGATTACAGGTGCCTGCCACCATACCCAGTTAATTTTTGTATTTTTAGTAGAGATGAGGTTTCACCATGTTGGGCAGGCTGGTCTCAAACTCCTGACCTCAAGTGATCCGCCTGCCTCAGCCTCCCAAAGTGCTAGGATTACAGGCGTGAGGCCAACACCTTTACTTTTTAAAGCTTATATGCAAAGAATTATGCCTGTGTCTTGAATAGCAGTGGGGGTAGCACAGTTATGTTAGTTTTCTGTTGCTGCTATTACAAATAGTGAGAAACCAGGTGACTTAAAATCGTTCTTTTTTTTCTTTTTTTTTTTTTTATTATCTTACAGTTCTGCAGGTTAGAAATCTCACAATAGTGGTAAAAAGTTTTGGGATTTAGAGCTCACCTGGCTCAGTTTGAATGACAGCTGTGTGATTTTAGACAACTCACTTAACTATTCTGATTCAGTTTCCTTTCCGTAAAATGTGAGTATTGATAGTACCTGCCCCTTAGGGTTGCTGTGAAAATTATAGAAGTTGATTCACATTTTACATATAGAGCAGTGCCTGGTACATTGTAAGTGTGTGCGTGGGTGTATGTGTGTGTGTGAGAGAGAGAGAGAGAGACAGAGAGAGAAAGTCTTACTGCTATAATAGTTCTTACTCTAAAACTTGAACAACAGAATTCCTATTTGGGAGCTTACAGTTGAATTGTCAAGAAACAATATGAATCATCTGAGTATTTGAATGGTTTCAATAAGATGAGTGGGCTTGGTGTACAAGAGAAGGCAGGACTTTTTGAGCAGGGGGCAGCACAAGAAAGGCTTATATCCAAAAGGAAAGTTGAATCCAAATATGGTTTATCCAGCAAGCAAGCTGGACAAGTGTTGCAAATAGACCTAAACCCGTTTATTTGTTCACATGTGTCAAGGTCTTTCAGCAAACATGGTTAGCCCCTAATAATGAGAGCTGGGTGCAAGCTAGATGTTCCCTTCCCTGTGTATAAACTTTTCTGCCAAGTGGTACGTTCATGAGAGCAAGGCTCAAACCAATTTCTGCCACACTTCCAAAGGTTATTCACAAGTCTCTGTAATCCAATGGCCGACTCTGCTCTCTGTTGTTTCAGGTTCTCCAATATCATATATGAAAGGGTCAGTTGGAGACAGATGTGGCTATGATCTGAGGTAGCAGTAACCTAATTGCATCAGGCAGCAGGAATATCCACAATGTGCGCCTACACAAGACTGAATGACACCACTGTGGCAGCATCATTAGGCTCCTGGCTCACCAGATTCTTATGCCCCATCTTGGTAAGGGTGACAGCTCCTCTATAGCTTTTTAAATCTAATCCATCCTCTTCACCAATGTACAAATTATTTCCAATGTCTGTTATGCTGATTATGAATCTTCTGGTTATCTTTAGGTATACAGCCATGCACTGCATAAAGACATTTCGGTCACGATGCACCACATGTATGATGGTGGGCCCATATGATTATAATAGAGCTGAAAAATTCCTATTACCTAGTGATGTTATAACTACCATAATGTTATAGCACAATTATGGTATTTTTAAAATAAATGTAAGTAGACAGTGTTCATAAAGTTTACAGTGGTATACAGTAATGTCCTAGACCTCCACATTCACTCGCCACTCATTCACTGACTCACCCGGAGCAACTTCCAGTCCTGCAAGCTCCATTCATGGTAAGTGCCTAATGCAGGTCAACCATTTTTTATCTTTTATACTGTATTTTTACAGTATCTGTTCTATGTTTAGATGTGTTTAGATACACATCTAAGCACATGTGTTAGATACTTTCCATTGTGTTACAATTGCCTACAGTGTTCAGCAAAGTAACATGAGGTACAGATTTGTAGCCTAGGAGCAATAGCCTATATACTATATAGCCTAGGTATGTAGTAGGCTATATCACTCAGGTTTGATTGAGCCACACTCAATCATAGTGTTCTCTGGTTCTTTGTGCTTGTATATTTATTCTCTCATCCTAGATCGCCAATCTAGTCATCATAGCCTTGAGAAAATACCTGTAGTGGTTCCTCTCAAATTTTCATCAAAAATCTCTCCTCTGAGTTTTAGTCTTATATATTCAGTTACTTATTTTTCTCATGGCATATTCATAATCTCATATAGTCAATTATTTATTTTTCTCACAGCATACATGATATGATGTTTGCACAATGATGGAATCACCTACTGACAGAATGTAGTCCTGTCATTGAGACACGTGACTGTATTTTAATGATCTCCATCTTCTATGTAAGTCATTCCTCCCAGTGTCTTGGTCATGTGTTCCTGATTAAAAGAGGGAAAATGCCCTGATTGGATGAACTGAGTGTGTAGGTACGGCTTGTCAACTTTGAGGTTTACTTCACGGCATCTGGGTAGGTCATTTTTGGATGAACTCTCAATGTAAGTGTCTTTAGGTTCTTTTCCCTTGACTTGGTCAGGTTCCCAGGTATATTAAGGTTCTCTAGAGGGACAGAACTAATAAGATATATAAATATATGTATGTGTGTGTATATATATATATATCCTCCCAAATTTTCATCAAAAATCTTGTGTATATATACATATATACATACATGTACATATAAAATACATATATGTATATGTATATATGTATATAAATACATATATACGTATATATGTATATAAATACATATATACGTATATATATATGAATATATAGAGAGAGATATATAGGAGCTTATTAAGTATTAACTCACATAATCACAAGGTTCCACAATAGAGACTCTAGTTCTTTGTGTCTTATATTTATTCTTTCATCTTAGATCACCTGTCTACTCATCACAGCCTTAATAAAATAACCTGTGTTGGTTCCTCCCACATTTTCATCAAAAATCTCTCCTCTGAGTCTTCGTCTTAAATATTCGATTAGTTATTTTTCTCATAGCATATTCTATTTAATATAGTTATTTGCATATCTAATTGTATCCTCATTTTCTTCTTAGACTCTGAAGTCTATTAAGAAGAAACTGTGTCTATCTTCCTTACCATTGTTTACCTAGTATAGTACCTGTCACATGGTAGGAATTCAATAATGTTAATGTTAGTTCATGTTCACACTGCTATAAAGATACTACCTGAGACTGGGTAATTTATAAACAAAAGAGGTTTAATTGACTCACAGTTATGCATGGCTGGGGAAGCCTCAGGAAACTTACAATCATCTTGGAAGGCAAAGGAGAAGCAGGCACCTTCTTCACAAGGTGGCAGGAGAGAGAGAGCACAGGGGAAACTGCCACTTTAAAAACCATCAGCTCGCCGGGCGCGGTGGCTCACGCCTGTAATCTCAGCACTTTGGGAGGCCGAGGTGGGCGGATCACGAGGTCAGGAGATTGAGACTGTCCTGTCTAACACAGTGAAACCCCGTCTCTACTAAAAAATACAAAAAATTAGCCGGGCATGGTGGCGGGCGCCTGTAGTCCCAGCTACGCGGGAGGCTGAGGCAGGAGAATGGCGTGAACCCGGGAGGCGGAGCTTGCAGTGAGCCGAGATCGTGCCACTGCACTCCAGCCTGGGTGACAGAGCGAGACTCCGTCTCAAAAAAAACCATCAGCTCTCGTGAGAACTCCGTCACTATCATGAGAACAGCATGGGGGAACTGCCCTCACCATCCAAGCTCCTCCCATCAGGTCCCTTCCCTGACACCTGGGGATTACAATTCGAGATGAGATTTGGGTGGGGACACAGAGCCAAACCACATCAAATGTATACTGGATTAATGAATACACACACACATACACATACACACACACACACACACACACACACACACATGAATATGACTTAGATTTTGGCCCTATATTCTTCATTCTCCACCATATTATGCCCTTTTTCTAGGACTGAATTGAAGACTTTTCAGATCATTGATGACTTGTATAGATCACTGCCCTTGTTTTATTCCCCATCCCCGATATGTGCCCTTAATAAGGCTTTAGAGAAAAGATTCATCCAGATGGTAACATACGTTTAAAATCAGACAGCTGAGGAAAAAAGTCATCAATTATATTAGGGGAGTTGAGTGTTGAGTAAGAGCTTTTTCTAAAACATCCATTTGATTTGTGAAAAACTCCAAACTACCAGCACTTAATTTCTTGCTCCAAATCCCAAATTAAAAAAGAACCATGGTTCTCCTTTTTTCATGTTCTATAGCCTTCCACAGGGGAGAAAGCGCATCATGAGACTGATCAGGCACCACCTGATTATGGGTTCTTGCCTAGTTCTGGAGTCTACATTAACTCCTGACATCTTTATTTGTGGAAATATTACTTTGGGGAACCAAGTAGAGCAGACATGAAAACCAGAGGATTTCTGACAGCTTCCTGGCTTGAAGTTTCCTTTTTAGTTTTTCACATTGCCTGAGGAAGATAAGCTAAAGATTACTGAAAAGAAAACAAAGCTTTGCCAGGTACTGTGATATGGAAAGCCAGGGCTCGCTGTTCAAAGAAGTACACCTCCCATGCTGTTGAAACAGCCTTGCTTTATCATGTGTTGAAATCATATTTTAGACTCTTGGCTATTCTTCCATGTCTCTTGTGGCTGAGCCTGTCTCTGATATGAGTTCAGCTGGGCATAGATTAAAAACCAATTCAGTTCAAAGAGCATTTGAATCTAAATGCTAACTATTCTTGGCCAGTAAAACAACCCCATGGGAGACTTTTTTTTTTTTATTTAAATGATGTAAAAGTCACAATTAGCTTGATAATGATTGGTACAATTTAGTCATTAAAATAGTCTAAGCCATTTTATTCACATTTTGAGGAGTTACTATACAACAGAAGCTATTGTGGGTACTATAGATATTGCAGGAGGCAGAAAAGTTGGAGGAAGACAGAAAAGAAGCAAATATATTGAAAATAATTTTGATAAAAGAATGATTAAATTGTATCAATCATTAACAAGCTAATTGTGTTTTTTTAAAATCACTTAAAAAGAAGACTCCTGTGGGGTTGTTTCACTGGCCAAGTATAGTTCATATCGAGGTTCAAAAGCTCTTTGAACTGAATTGGTTTTCTATCTAGGCCGAGTCAGACTCATACCAAGGATAGGCATGGCCACAAGAGACATGAAAGCATGGCTGAGAGTATAAATACCATTTCATATAAAGAGTGTGATGTGATAGAAAACATCTTAGAGTAGGTGTATGTGTATAGGTTCTTTAGACCAAGGTGATCATGGAAGACCTGTTTGAGGAGGTACATCCATGCTGAAAGCTGGAGAATAACAAGGAGCTAGTCATTTGAAGACCTATGGAACAGCACTCCTTGTGGGAGAAATGAGGCCAAAAACTTAGGTCATTAGAGAACTTGGTGTGCAGGCAGAACTACAGGACCAGTGTGGCTGAATATAGTATGGAAGGGGGGATAGTGTTTGGTGGTAATGTTAGAAAGGTGAGTGGAGCTTGAATCATGGAGGACAGTGGGTCTCAAAGACTCTGTTCGAAGTCACCAAAATACTTTGGAGAGTCCACAAAGCTAAAATAATTTTCATAATAATACTAAATATTATTTTCCTTTTTCACATTGGTTCTCTGATGAACATACAGTAGAGTTTTCCAGATGCTACATACAATCATTCCTAAATCTCTCAGATTGCTGAGGTCTCAGGGAAATCAACTCATCTGAAATTTAAGCAAAGACAAGTACATATAAAGAGAGATGGACTACTAGCCATACAAGCTGATAAGAAGTTTCAGCTAAAAATTTTAATGAATGAGCTAAAATAGAAGGTGGCTAATATGAGAGTATAGAATCCTTGGGAGCTGCAGACACAAGGGGGCTTGACACTCACTCTCAGGCTCTTTTTTGTGGACTTTACTGGATATTCATGAGAAAGATGAGAGGCAGGTAAGAGTCCAGAGGAAACCTCCGTTGTGGTGCAAGGCATGGAGGAGGGGAACAGCAACATCCCTAGGAAAGGCGTGAAGCCCCACCCAGGTCCTTCAGTTGGAAATATCAGACAAATAATTTAAATTATGTTTAAATGATAAATATAATTATCAAGCTAATGGATCTGGTAGAAAAATGAAGACCATGCAATGTCAGATGATGAACTTTAGCAGAGAGATGACAATTATAAGAAACAATCAAAATGCTAGAAGTGAAAAACGGATTAAATGCCTTTGACAAATTTATCAGTAAACTCAATACAGCTGAGGAAAGAATCAGTGCGACTGAAAATAGGCCAATAGAAATTACCCAATTTGAGACACAAATAAAAAAAAGGAACTGAGTATCCTAGAGTTGTGGAACAATATCAAGTGGTCAAATGGTCTAATATACCATATGATTGAAATCCTACAAAGAGAAAAAAAAACATGAAAGAAGCAATATTTGAAATATATGGCAGAGAATTTTCTAAAATTAATGATGGATGACAAACTACAGCTCTAAGAAGCTTAGAGAACAATACAGATGTTAAAAACCCTAGACACATCATATTCAAACTTCTGAAAACCAAAGATAAGGAGAAAATCTTGAAGGCCATGAAAAATAAAAACATGGCATAAAGAGAAGCAAAGATAAAAATTATGAGCCACTTCCCCTTAAATCTCTGCAAGCTAGAAGACAAAAGTGACATCTTTAAAGTGCTGAAAGAAACAAATTATACAAAATTATTACATGTACCCTGGAAATATGTACATCTATTATGTATTAATAAAAAAAATTTTAAAACCAAACTGTCCATCCAGAATTCTATATCCAGCAAAAATATCTTTCAAAAATACTTTTTCAGGCAAAAACTTGGTGAACTCATGACCAGCAGACCTGTTCTGCGGAAAAAATGTTAAAGGAAGTTCTTCAGACAGAATGTAATACCAGATTAAAGAAACTTGGACCTACATGAAGAAATGAAGAGCACTGGAAATGGCATTAAAGAAGGTAAGTATAAAATTATTTTTTCTTCATTTTAAATTGCTCTAAAAGATAACTTTCTGTCTAAAGTATATAGTAATGTATGGTATATTTATAGCATATGTATGAGTAAAATGTGTAAAACAATAGTAAAAAGAGGGGAGAGAGGAACCAAAAGAATATTGTTCTGAAGTTTCTTGCCTGCCATGTGAAACTGTATAATATTTGAAGGTAAACTGATTAAAGACATATATGTGTGTATACATATATATATACACACACACACACGTATATATACATATATACACACACATACGTATATGTAAGACCCTGGAAGAGCAACCACTAAAAATGTATTTAAAAGAGATATAAAAATATCCCAGCTTTAGTTTTTAATCTGGTAAATATCAATAGATATAACCAAGCTCTTTGCTTTCCTTACTAATTTCTAAAAGTGTGAGAGAGTCCTGAGGCCAAAAAGTTTAAAAGTTTTAAGGTAGCACCTTGAAGGCCCTGGTAAGGAATTTCAGTTTCACTATAAGTGCAATTGGAAGCCTTTTGAGGTTTAAGCAAGGGTATAACACACCACATTTGCATTATAAACAGATGTGGAGAATGGACTATAGAGAGCAAGAATAGAGGGAAGACCGGTCAGGAGGCTACCGTAGTCATCCTAGCCACGTGTGGTTGGGGCTTGTACAATAGCGCTGGCAGTGGCAATGGAGAGCAGTGGATGGATTAGGATGATTTTTAGACGTTGAAGGGATTGCATTTATAAATGACTTGAGGATGATGGAAAAAGATCAGTCAAGGATAATGCCTAGACTTTTCATCAACCTTATTGATGAAGTTTTATCCATTTAAAACATACACCAAGATGAGTATAGAAAGATATATATACCTATGAAACCACACCACTGTAATACAGAAATGTCAATTTTTTTAACCAATTCTAAACAATTCTTTGTGCTCCTTTGCAAGACCTCCTAGATTTTTTACTTTAGCAACTGAAAAAAATAATGGTGTACATTTCCAAGGTGCATCCATTAAGGAAGGAATATAGTTAGAAGAGGGAAGTGCATGGGAATTGAGAATTCTGGCACTAGATTGATAGGCTATTTCCAATGGTTATGCTTCATATCCTCCAAGAAGACTTCCATACCCATTGCTCCTTGCTTTTCTTCAGCTGGTCGAGAGCCCAACTCTGCCCCGCGATGGTACGCTGCAGTTCCTGCTATAGTACAGTTACTGTGCAGCTGCACTGTAATTGCCATTATATCCTCCAATACAAAGAGCGCCTAAAAACAATAACTGCATATTCCTGCACAGGGTTTGTACATATGGACATGCAATAAATGATTGCATAAATAATCATTCATGAATTCCTGATGAATAAATGAATATGAACAATTCTTAATTTGCTGGAGTTTGCCGTCATTAATGATGCCATTCTTCATACCTCACTGGCATACATACAAAAAAATCCACCTTCACCACCAGTTGCCTGTGGGCTGTTTTACTGGTGGAGAAACATCTTCCTTGATGTGACTCTGGCTTTTCCAGGCAACAGATAGTATCTGAAAAGGCATTTTCAGATTGGGATGAAAAGGCATTCTAGGATTAGAGTGATGATAACTGATCTGTAGAGATTCCAGCTTCTTGAGCTCTGAATGCTAACATAAGGCATCAAGACAGCCTTCAAAATATGCCCTACCCATATTTTCTGTAACATACTCAATGCCATTACAGAAATATCTCCTGGGTGAACAATGAGGAAGGCTTAACTTGTGCATCATATTGAAAAAAAAAATCTAAGTATAATACATATACAATTAAGTACATGATAAGTTTTTACACATGTATCTACCCACATAACTATCACCCAAATCAAGATATAGAACATTGCCAGTACCCCAGAATATAAGAGTAAACTAAGAGTAAAGAGAAGAAAATTGACTGGTCAGTCTGAATTTGTGAAATACACTAAAATACAGAGAATTATAGCTTAAAGTATATTTTAATTTCCATCTATTAAATAAGGAATGTGATTCAAATGCCAACTTGCATGCCATGGGAAACAGTATAACATTACTTGAAAGTAGATTGGTTAATTAAAGATGTAACACTAGGGCAACCACTAAAGATTCTTTTAAAGAGGTATAAAATTTAGGTAATACATGAGTAGCTATATTTATTCATCACATTTCTTGTTCTTTTACATGAAGATGTATACAAAACTTTTAAAATATTTTTAACTTGCTCCTCCAAACTCATTATATTTATACTTCCATTTGCTTCACAACTAGTTTTATCAAAGAGAACAGAAAGAAAAAAATTCAGCACAAAAACAAAGAAAAAGAAAAAATTCAGCACAGGCTCAGTTGAATAACTGAAATGTCCAAATTAGTGGGACCTGAGCTAAAATGGTTGTACAGGTAATAATAAAGAATTATGTTCTGCATTTCTTGTCTTGGTCAGCTGCATTACAGGTAATTAGTGACGGTGTTCTGGGGTGGGAAGACCACACTGCCTCTTTGAGTACCTTATGGATTCACTCGCCGATTTGAAATATGTCAACACTCAGAGAATGAAAACAAGGGATATGAAAATAATGTCTGCCTGCATATTATCTAAAGTCAGACTTACTGGAATAGTTTTAAGGGAATAATGCATTCATCCAGGAGAATACCGTAGAAGAGACTGACAGGCATTGCATAACTAATGTTCTTCCAATAATAACAATACCTTGCATTTATAAGCTGCTTTTAACTTTTCACTGGCTTTTACATATCTCATTTAAGAGCATTTTCAGTGTCTCCTAAAGCACACATAAATGCTGGATTTCAAACATAGAAGAAGCTTACAACTGATTTTGAAGTAGTCATAAATTGCTGTGGATGTACCCACAGGAACACGTCCTCTGTAACAAGAACAGTGTGTGTCTTTAAACCTCTAGTGTTAAGAGGCTGACAGTTGATAGATTACTGTAAGAGCCAAGCTCTTTTCCAAGTCCCCCCCAGGAATCATTTGCACTTTTTTCAGATATGGAGTATTCAGGATTGTTTTTAATTTGGAGCCAAGAGCTTTGTCTTCTCAGCTGATTCCTTTTCTTGTTTTTACCTGTATCCCCTTAAGCTGGGATTCTAAGGAGAGTGATTAAAATCAAACAGATAACTTCTTCTGTGGCCAGGGAGGGAACATTCTTTAAGGTAGGAGGAATTACTGGTAGAAGAAACAGCAGATTTTAAGTAAAACTTTCCAAAATGACATTAAACTAGACATTTCTTGGGGAGCTGGTATTGCTTGAGGGCACTATAAAGTTGGGGACAGATATATGGTGGTTCCAAAAATACTGGTCAAGGAGGAAAATAGAAACCTGCTGAGATCTATTCAGTGCTGTTCATAGTGAATAATCTGAGAGCAGAAAGGCTGCCACTGACTATATGTACAGTTACTGTGGTAGAGCTTCAGAGAATGAGTTTGGTTTCAGACTGGATTATGTTTGATTCCTAACTCCATGACCTAGGGTAACTTATTAAACCTCTCTAGGTCCTCAGGGTTTTCCCTGTACAATGGGAATATGCAGGAAAACTCAGCACAAAGAAGTTAAATTATCCACCCAAGGTCACACACTCAATAAGCAGCAGTGTTTGTGTTTGAACCAGGGCAAATGACTCCAGAGCCCTAACTCTTTCCCTCAGTGGCTTGATCAAGGCCAACATTAAGCCAGAGCATTATTTGCTTTTAATAGAGAGTCCATACGTCCCAAGTTGCCGGAGACAGTCCAGTATATGCCTGGTATAGTTATTAACAGCACCCCCTTTCACTTTCCAAATCGTCCTGGCCTTGTCTGGACCATAAATGTTATGGTCTTCCTCATCCTTGGTTACTCTTTATCCTCATCTCTCATTGGGCCTCATACCTCCATTTATCACCATTCCTTCAGGCCCCCAGGGCCTTATGATGCCCTGAGCTGCTTCCACTCCTCTGTGTTGCCACCTTTCAAGGCTAGATGGCTACAAATGCCAGCAGAACTGCCTTAGCTCCTGCAGACGCTGTAGCTACCCCTCTTCCCACCATGATACCCTTCACTCATCTTTGGGCTTCTCTGCCCACTCTGACACTATGTCTTGATTCCCCCTACTCACATGGTGGTCTTTGCTTGGGAATGATCTCAGCATCCACTTTGGATCTGGCATTTGTTCCTCAGTTCCATGCACTCATATGCCCCTGATTCCAAAAAATTCTCTACTGTGGTTTTGAAACAGCCTGGCTTGGCTTTGTGACTATGTTTCTTTTCATGACATGCTGATGATTGCAAATTATGACAAGTGTTCTCCAGCTGGGTGCCCTTCCCTAGAAAGAGGCTGTTCACCCTCTAGGAGGAATGAGAACATTGAATATCTACATATTTTCTGTTGAAAGTATCACTTTTTAAAAAATTATTCTTTTGCAAAATATTTGTTTCACATAAATGTGTATGTGTCTATGAATAGGTTATGAAAGACTTGCCTCTGATGTTACAAACAAAAGAATGTGAGATTAAAAAAATGAGCCTGTAATTTTTACCGTTAATTTTTTTTACCCTGTTAATTACCCTGTTAATTTTTACCCTGTTAATTACCTGTAATTTTTACCTGTTAAAGGGGTAAAATAGTGAGTTCTTTGCTTCTGGTCAGCACCCTGTTGTGTCTCCCTGGGGACTCGGCTGCAAGGCAACAGCAGCCTATTGACCCAGTCCCTTTGCTGGCCCATTCCACATGCACCCAGTGGCCTGAGGCTAAAGATTTGGAGGCAGGGAGCATCTTTTCTTGAGATCAGCTTCAGATCTTGATGGTCCAGCACCTTCTGCCATTTCAACTCAAAAGATCTAAACTGAAAGTCCTATTACAGAACTGGGGAGATCATTTCATGAGAAAGCATGTGCCAGACACACAGTGGCACACACAGTAAGTACCCAAATGTGTTCCTTCAACTAAAATGGAATTTAGAGTGGCTCTTCCTTAAAACAATTCGTAGTAATCATTCAATAAATTCCATAAACATTTAAAGACTCCTGATAATCTTCTCCATCTCTGTTTCAGTTACGATCTTATTATGACCTTATTTACCCTGTGACATAAATAGTATGGTTTCAGTGTCATCAGGTGAATGCCTAGCTCAAGGTCACACAGCTAGCCAATGCCTAGCCCAGGCCCAAATTCAATATTCTGAAAAATTCCCTCACATATCTCTTCACTTCTTTCCAACATAAAACCAAAATAGCCAAAGATGTGAAAATCTATCGTGTGACAGAATATTTCTTTAGACAGCTTGTTCAAAAAACAGACCTAGTATTGCATGTAAATGAACATTGTGGCCTTCATTTATATTCAGGCAATTTAATGTGTAGAAGTGAAGCACAGAGCAGGGTATGACCATTATCATGCTGTGTTCATCTAATGCATCTGGACAGCTTTGAAGATATACACGCAAAGAATTTGGCAAATGTAAATGTCCTCTGACATTTACTTGGTAGTAAACATAAGCATCCAACTTCCTCAGCTTCGTTTGCTTCATTACTCAAAGTATACTCTTTCCTCTGTCTTTTTCTTATCCAGTTTAAAAATTTCCATTAAATTACTTTATATTTTTTAAAAAATGTCAGAACACTGGGGAAAATGACAGGACTCTAAGTTCAGCAAGAATTTTATATCAGTAACTTGCCTAATGTAAAAACCGGAAAGGAGGAAAGTAAAGTGGGGGAAAAAACATTTAAAGTTGAATCCTTATACCCAAAGGAAATGGAGTTTTAAGTCACAGAATTTGCCTCTATGTCACAACTTCAGTGCTTAGCGAGGATCCCTTCCTTGCTAACATCTTGAACTTTTTCATTTCTGTGTTCATCAGGGATGGCTGATGTTTATAAAAAGAATTCTCAAGCTTGCTCGAATAAAGAGGAAGGTAATTTCAGGTTACAAGAAACACCTGGTTTAAGAAGAACATGAACTTTGGAATAAGACAGAATTGAGTTTGAATCCTGTCGCTACCAGTTACTAACCATGGGACTTGTGTGAGCACACTACTTAAGCTCTCCAGGTCTCAGTTTTCTCAGCTGTAAAATGGGAATAGTAATAGTTCTTTCTTTATAGGGTTGTTTGAGGATGAAATGAAACAATGTATGCACAATACTGTATGGTTATGTGTTCAGAAATATTAGCCATTGTTTGTTTATTGGATACTGAGTTTGGATACTGAGTCTTCATGAAGATGGAAATGAAAAGTTGATAGGAATGGAAAATACTTCTGTGTCCGGAATTGGTTCCTTCCTGTGGGTGTTTGGTCTCACTTCAAGAATGAAGCTGCGGACACTTACGGTGAGTGTTACAGTTCTTAAAGATGGTGTGTCTAGAGTTTGTTCCTTCAGATGTTCAGATGTGTCCAGAGTTTCTTCCTGCTGGTAGGTTCGTGGTCTCGCTTGACATCAGGAGTGAAGCCGCAGACCTTCGCAGTGAGTGTTACAGCTCTTAAAGGTGGTGCATCTGGAGTTGTTTGTTCCTCCTGGTGGGTTCGTGGTCTCGCTGACTTCAGGAGTGAAGCCTCAGACCTCCACAGTGAGTGTGACAACTCATAAAGGTAGTGCAGACCCAAAGAGTGAGCAGCAGCAAGATTTATTGTGAAGAGCCAAAGAACAAAGCTTCCACAGTGTGGAAGGTGACCTGAGTGGGTTGCCGCTGCTGGCTCAAGTGGCCAGCTTTTAGTGCCTTATTTGGCCCCACCCACATCCTGCCAATTGGTGCATTTTGCAAGTGCTGATTGGTCCATTTTACAGAATGCTGATTGGTCTGTTTTTACAGAGTGCTGATTGGTGCGTTTACAAACCTTTAGCTAGACACAGAGCGCTGACTTGTGCATTTACAATCCTTTAGCGAGACAGAAAAGTTCTCCAAGTCCCCACCCGACCCAGAAGTCCAGCTGGCTTCACCCCTCACTTCCATCTCTGTGGGGCCACACATTCATTCATTTTTGTCTCTTTTGTAGTCTTCCCCTTTTTTCTTTTAGTATTTTCTCTCTCTTGAGGGAACTACTCAGTTTTCTATTTGTGTCTCTTGACTTACATGGTCCAATGGAACCGCTAATCCTAAATCTACTTGACTATATTCTGGTGCCCATCAACAATTGACTATAGATTATCAATATCTTAGTTCAAACTAAGTTCAATAAAGACAATCTGATTAGCTGCTGGTCAGCCAATGGATGAATACTCTAGGTCAATTTTTCACTCATAATGTAGTCAAGCTAATGGTCAAGTTGTTGACTTTTAAGGTCAAATAAGTATTGCCATTCATCCTGACTTTGAGACACACCATGGTTCCTTCCACCACCCTAGGTCCTCTGGCCGGTAGTTTCAAGGCCTTGAGTAAAATGCTTTCCTTGTCTAAAATCCAAAAGGTCTGTTACTTAATATGTTTAGGCTTCTTGTAAGGTCTGCAAACCTTTCAAAGGGACATTTCAAAAGCTTCTGGACTTAGATAATTGTGTCAAAAGGGAAACAGCTGTTTCTGTATTTGCAGAGAAGAATGAAATTAAACAAATGCAGAGAAGAGGCTCGTGTATAATTAGAATTGGATTTTAGCAGTGTTTGGACTCACCACCCGGCAGCTTGATTCTTCTCTATCCAACCTCTTACCATTTCTTGATTCTGTCTCACGCTGTATACCCATCTTTCATTTAGCATTTCCCTTACGTTTCACTGGAATCCTTCGCTTCTTGCTTCATAGCACATTTCCCCGTCCTTAGACTTTATCACCACTTCTTTCCTTTCAAGTTTCTTTTGTTCATTTGCTTTTTGTTTGCATTGTCTGTTGTGCTTTGCTTTTGGCTAAGAGAAAGATAAAGAAGAAATATAAATTCTTACATTGTTTTTGTTTATTTCTGGGAACAATCATTTTCTCGTTTTCTGTGGTGAAATCTCACAGGCCTCATTCAAGCCAGTTTCAAAAACACAGTATTAATCTCTTGCTGTTTACATGTAAGCAATTTCAGTGAGTTTTCTAAATGTTTAAATACATGGTCAGAAGCTGTGGTTTACCTCCCAACTTTGTTTGGAAAAAACAAACTAAAACAGCAAGGCTTTTTCTCTTTAGCCTTGGTTCACGACCACAGAGTTTCTCCCTTGAATCACATTTTCATCATTCTGTTGTATCTTGAATGTTGTAAAGTCACAAGTAACTCACTCTGAAAATCTCTAAGTTCACATCACTCAGAAAATATTTATGTATGGTTATAAAGGTGTGAGCATTTTTACTTTTATTAAAATATCAGCAACTGTGGATCAGCAGTATTTTTAATTAGTTTGTCCCATAAATATTTGTTGAGCACCTACTAAGAACTAGAATCAAAAGGAGGAAAAAAATGTAGAGGGTAGATACATACTGGCAGTTGTTTAATGGAAGAGTAAAATAATAAATAGGTAAATTGCACAAGTGTATGAATTTCCATATGATTGTGGAATAATTATACTAAAGATTATTAGAAACTTTTACACATTGATTTTATCCTTAGAAGAGGAAAGATCACTGAATACAAGAGTTTTGAATGTTCTTCATTCATTTAAAAAACTAACTAAATTTCAATCTTAATGTGAAATGTTAACTTATGTCCACTTTGTATTCACACATTTGACAGTTATTTTCTGAGTCTCTCTTATGAATTATGTTTGGGCTCTGCTTTACAAATACAGTGATATTAAAAAAGTTGTTTATTGCTGAGTCAAGAATTAGGCAAGTAATCATGTACATATATTTTTAAAAATTAAGTTCAATGTTATGAAGAAAAAGTAAAGAAGCTGTGAGAGCATCACAGTAGAACTAATTTGGTCTGCGGTGTTATGATACTGAGCAGCATTTAAGCTTGATTCAGACAGGCCTGAGGGCAGATCTGACTGCACTACTTACTGGTTTTATGACAAGACCTCATCTGTGAAATGGGCACCCAAATAAATATTTCCTATTTCGACGGCTTATTGCAAAGATGAAACAAGCACTTATCCATAGAATAAGTGCCTTTAAAAAGCATTCTTTACTGATAATTCTAATAAGGCAAGCAGACTAGGAATCACAGAACAAGAGGTAGAAAAATAGACATATCTGGAAGCATCTATGCATTCAAAATCCCAGTGCAGGCAATGATGACCTGAATATCAGGCACTGTCAAGCCGTCCTTTATTCTGAAAGCCAGTGTCTCTGTTTTTGAATGTTATGGCTCCATTTCATCTTGATCCTGAAGTGGGGTGGAGGGGGGGGCGGGCAGTGTGGGCATCTGTGTGGGCCTGATCTTTGTGTTTTACATCCGTTTCCACTGTTAGCTGCACATCATCCATCTTGGTCCTTGACGTGCCTTGAAATATGAGCTTGCCTCCACCAAGCCTCTCTTCACATTCTCCTTTCCAAAGCTATAAGGAAAACGATTGCTTTTCAAATGTATTTAGGGCTTCAGGAAGGTAATAGCATGGACAGCCTGAGACCCAAATGCCCTACTGATTTCTTAAGCATGCAACTCAGAGACAGGCAGGCCAGCTGCTGCACACGGTCCTTTGTGAGGTCAGGTCTAGGAGGCCCTTTCCGTTCCCCAAGCCCAAGAAATGGTTTTGCAAAACTCAGCAAGAGTGAGGCAGCTTCTTCACCCATCAGTTTCTTCCTTATCCTGTGTCAGAGCTCTTAGAAAAGATGAGTGATGAAATATGTAGGTGCAGAATTCTGTTATATTCATGGGAGTATTATTCTGCATTCGTTAATGGTTTTGAAATAAAGACAAAAGCAGTAATAATAGCCAACATTTTTGAAGCACCTACAACATGCCGAGAAACATGCGAAACAGTGTCCTGGCATGCTCCTTTTTTGTTGTTACAACCTCATGGAGAAGGAACTATCATTATCTGCTTTTCAGGCATGAGGAAAACTGATGCTCAGAGCGACTGTCCCTCATCTAAGGCCTTCCAGTTCATAAGTGGCAGAGCTAGGTTCCAGCCAGGTCTTCCTGTTGGGTCCATTAGAACACAAGATAATGAGATGGTATCCATAGTTGTTTATACTCAGTCATTCACTCACTCACTCCACAGTGATTTATTTGTCGAGTACTTATTATCTTCCAGACAGAATTCTTGGCAGTGGAGACTGAGCAATAAGAAACAGGCAAAATCCTTACCCACATGAAGCTTATATTTTGGTGGAAGGAGACAGAAAATAGACAAAATAAGTATTTTATAGTGGAAAATGATAAATGCTAAGTAGAGAAATTAAGTAGGAGGGGGCATGGACTACTTTTAAATAGCGACACCATTTAATATATTTCAAACCTAAAGCTTATTCAGGGACTGACACTGGGAATGCACTTGATATAAGTTCTTTTCCTTCCTCCTGAGGGAATCTCAGGGAGTTTCATCTAGCAAATATACAATCCATTTGTACCTTGGCCCCCAAATGCATAGATGTTCACAAATATCCTGGAATTAGTGTGTTCTTTCATAGGCTCCTGTCTCATGAAAGTCACTAAGTATGGAAATAAGTGCTTTAGCCTTGGAAATTCTATAAAGACCTCTTTTGGTTAAGAGCGGATGTTGAAATGGGTTTGGACATAAATGTTGTTTTTCTATCCAGAATAAGTTTGAAGATATATATGTGATGGTAAAACAGAGCTGCCAGATGAATTTTCTATTTGCTTAAAATCCGCCAGCAAAATTTACTAGTGAAGAAAAGCCCTGGTCATGATTCCTATATCTTCCCAATACCCTGAAAAAGAAAAACCAGAAAATCAATTGTTTAAGGCTCAAGTTTGCATACTTGCCTCCTAGAATTCAATTAAAAAAAAAAAAACAACTTAGAGCGACATAGAAGATGGCAAATATGGGCCTTATACACATATGCATACACACCCACATGTGCATACATACATACATATGTTCCAATTTTCAGCCTTTCCCCAACTGTAACAGTAAGAATTTCTAAGATCATTGGGACCATTTCAATATGACATATACTATCAACGTGAATTTGTCACTCAGGAAAGCGCTTGGACTAAAGTAAACTTTTCTACCATTTTTGGAAAAAATGGTCAAATGAACAGCATAGATAAGATAGCAGGAGGTATGCATAGCTTTTTAAAATCAAACTGTTTTAAAGTGATTGGTACAACCCAAGCACCAGCCCCTGGCCTATAAAGAATGTGCTAAGTGCAAATGATTTTTATCTCTTAGCAGCTCCAGTGGGACCTTGCAGTCCTTTTAAAGTCATTTGTTGTTAGTCTCTGTCTTGAAAGCAGCACGACTACGTGTCCTTAAAAAGTGTCCACACTTCAGGTTTTCCAGTGATTTCAAGTGGCCATCACCCCGTTATTCCTAATTAGTGAGATTTGCTACTTGTGGGCTTTACCGTAGCTGTATGTGAATGTCCTGCAAATGACTGGTCACAGATTTTTAACATCCACATTCCACCCCTCTTCAGGTGCTGGCTTTCAGCCTGCCTTGCCCTTTTGCCAGTTTTAAGAGTTAGGTAAGTAGGTTTAATTTCTGTTTCAATATCTCCAGCTGTTTTTGAATCATTAATTCTGCTTTTACTGCAGTAGATTTCCTATTCATTACAGAATAAAAATGAACATGCCTCGGGTATTTCACATTCTCCCAGCCTTCTTTTGTCAAAAAAAAAAAAAGCCCCTTCTGTACCTCCTAAAATTTAATGTATTCTCTAAGCTAATTTGTGTCCGGTGGTAATATGCTTCTGTTGCTAAAAATCAAGTTACTTCACAGATTTGACCCGTTTTATTTATTGAGCTCAAAATTTTCAAGCCCTTCCCAAAGAGGTCAATAATATGGACTGTACTGTGAACCATGCCAGAAAGTAATTCTGTGCTTTCATCGAGAACCATTTCCTCCCTAAGTTTCACATACTATTATATCATCCACCCAGGAACAATTAAATTCTTATGGAAAAACCTGGCCTTTCACTAGCGAGATGAGGAAAAAATAAGAGGCAGTTAGATTAATAGGAAAATAATGCTGTTGTTGAAGAGAAACTTGGTAAACTATATAGCAAGGGTCAAAAACTCAAGTCTTTCCAAGGGATTGGTCAGTGACTTAAAGGTTTCACCCAGTCCAGGCAAAAGATATCAGAGGCCAGTGGGCAAGGTTGCACACAGGAGACTGAGTGCTCCATTTGACTCATTCGAGTTCAACATTTAAAGGCACAATAACTAGCAGCAAGAGATGCAGGTTGAACAAATCACACCTGTGGGCCATTAGCTTAGAAAACCAGCTAACTTTTAATGACTTGGGCGAGGTTAAGGAATAGGCCATTTAGATAGCTGATATTATAGATAACCAACTCCTAAATGACTTTCCAAATCACTTGCATTTGTCTTTAAGGCTGGATATTATGCAACTTGTTATGCTGTTACTTGGTGTTAGTGTAAGGCTATTTCCAGAGCAGAGCAAAATGGCCTCTTGATGTCAGAAATTCATTCTACTTGATCTTGGAGGAAAGCTATCCAAATGCCAACCTGTGTACTACTCCTTTCTGCGTCTCACGGTTTTATAACCTAGCTCCACAAGCCCTCTTGTTCTGTAGCATTTAGCCTGACAACTCAAACCTTTGGAAAAAAAAAATCACATGTATGTGTACCTATGTACATATATCATTGTTCTCACAGATAATGCTGCACTTTCTATCCACATATGGATTTCAAAGAAATTGTCTCTTTCACAATACTTCCTTTCACTCTTGCCATGTATGTCTCTAGTAGACAAAAAGGTCATGAATCTGGAAAAATGCCCTTTCATAGACAAGAAATATATTCAGGCTTTTTTTTTTTTTTTTTTAACATGTATTGAAACCAGACCCAGGAAACTGGAGGCAACTTTAATCATCATGTCAATTAAATGGTAGGGTGTTATTGTCTGTATGAATGAGATGTGCTTCTTGAATTGATGAGTAAAAAATTCCTCTGTAGTGGTTCTCATCTTACCATTAGCACCTCCATCCCTTAGAGTGTCAATATTTTGTATATTACCTCTGATTCCTCAATAATATACTCAAGATAGCACACCCTGGCTTCACGTTTTGCTTTTCCTTTCAAGTCTATGTTGTCAAAACTTACCTGTCTGGTAGCATTATTAAGCTTTGATATGTGCCACGTACTATGCTTTGCATATATTAGCTCATTTAAAAATGTCTCAATTCAGTTACATGGAAATCAGTTCAAGAGATCTATTGTACAACATGGTGACTACAGTTAATAAAAATATATTATATTCTTGAAGATTGCTAAGAGGGTGAATGCTGTGTTCTCACCACAAAAATAACTATGAGAGCCAATAAAATGTGTTAATTAGCTAGAACTGGTCATTTCACAATGTATGTATACTTCAAAACATCATGGTGTACATGATAATTATATATCATTTTACCAACTTAAAAAACCAAAAAAGTTTAGTTAATAAAACAAAAAAATTAAAATATAAAGATGTTTCATTGTGAAATACACAAAAATACAAGTTATAGGAATGTTTTTGCCAAATGGTTAAAAAGTACATATCTAAATCCACTCAAAAACCTGCTCATAAATGTTTATGGCAGCTTTATTCATGATTGCCAAAACTTGGAAACAACTAAGATGTCCTTCAGTAAGTCAATTGATAAATAAACAATGGTACATCCAGGGAACAGAATATTATTCAGCAACAAAGAGAAATGAGCGATCGAGCCACAAAAAACCATGAAGGAATCTTAAATGCAAACTGCTAAATGAAAGAAGCCAATCTGGAAACGATACACACTATAGAATTCCAACTATATGACATTCTGGAAAAGGCAAAACCATGGGTTGGGGGAAGGGAGGGATGAATCGACAGAACACAGAGGATTTTAGGGGAGTGAAACTATTCTGTATGATACTATCATGGTGGATACATGTTGTTATACATTTGTCCAAACCCATAGAATGTACAACATGAGTGAACACTAACATATACTATGGACTTTGGGTGATAATGATGTATCAATGGAGGTTCATCAATTGCAACAAATGTACCAGTCCGGTGGAGGATGTTGACAGTGAGAACTGTTGGAATGAGGTGGGATAGGAGGTATACAGGAGCTCTGTATTTGTGCTCAATATTTCTGTGGACCTAAATCTGCTCTAAAAAGTAAAGGCTATTAAAACAACAACAACAACTTACCTGTCCTCTGTCCCATTCCATCAGATCCCACATGTGAATGGCTGTGGGTGGCTGAATGTTACCCATCCTAGAGAGTATGTTGATATTTTAAGGCAGGATGAGAGACACTTTCTGGCAGGCCTCATATTGTATCTATATAAGTTAGTAATTATTTTTCTTAAGCAGAGGATTATCTCCAAGAGATGTAAAATACAACATGATGAAGTCTTTCTCCCTCAACCAAATACCCCTTAGAGCAACAGTGCTCAAAGTATAGTCTCCATCCCAGCAGTATCAGCATCATCTGGGAACTGGTTAGAAATGCAAATTCTTAAGTCCAAACACAGACCTACTAAGTCAGAAACTACAGGTAGCAGTGGTGGGGGTGGGGGGTGGGGTGGAGTGGGAGGGCACAATCTATGTTTTCATCAACCCTCTAGGCAATTCTGAGGCATATTAACCTTCCAGAACTACTTGAGAGTATTTCCCTCCGTAGCTCTGCAGGTAACCTGTTTTTTTCCACCAATCTCCCCAGCCAGATCATACATTCAAAAGAAGAGGGCTCACCTACTTGTTTATCATTAAACCCCAGGCTCTAGCATTAATGCCTGGCACATAGTAGGTGCTCCATGTATACTTGTTGAGTGTATAAACAAATAAATACATGAGTGATTGGCTAAATGCCTAATCCTCAGTGAGACATGGCAAATACACACTGTAACTTTCCTAGCCCATTATGCAGGCACAATACTGTGGGGTTAAGTAGGGATTCATATGAGCTCTACTGCTTGGGTTTATATCTTTGCTCCATCTATCAACTCTATAACCTTTGGTAAACCCCACCTCTCTTTGGATGTTGATTTTCTCATCTGCAACATGGGGATTATAATACTGTCTTAACCTCATAGGGTTGGCTTTTTTTTTCTGTTTATAAGATTAAATAAGTTGTGGTAGCGATGTTTGTTATGATTTTAGCACCATGGTTCTCTCTTTCCCAAGTGGTAGCCAGGACACTCTCCACCCAAACCTGCAGCAACTCTGACAAAGGTCTTAGTAGAGTTTGCCCTGCCCTTTTGTTAGCATAATATCGAGAGAACTAGAGTCCTGCAGACCTCAATCCAACTCCTATTTTGTAATTACCCACATCACAATTTATTCTGTCATTTATTGCTGCTCTCACTATTTACATTGCAAATAATGCATTGTGGAAATGTTTAAGTGGAATCTTTTAATCTGGTTGCATAAACAATATCAATGATCTGATATTACTTCCATGGTAAAGCCTTTCCAATCTTTTCTCACTTCTTGATAGAAATGAGAAACCTATATTCTTATTACCTTTACTAAGACCTCAAACTGTTGTCATGGTTAAACCATTAAAATACAAACAAGTTTTTTTTTTTTTTTTTTTAGCTTTTGCCACATGTAGTAATGTGCTATTTATTATCTCTTTCTGACTAATCCTCATTTTGTTTTTGATGCTCAGCATTTTCCTTTCTGTGGAGAGCCATAGATTTGGCAGAAGCTCAAGGAAAGGCTGAAAATACTTCTTAGAAACTATTTTAATCCCAAACAGTTAACGTTTGGAGAACAGGTTGAAACATATGTAATATAGGCACCAAAGCGTAGGCAATTATCTCCAAAGGACAATAAGGGACAGATAATAAAGGCTGTAGTGCCCTGAGGTCGAGGGTAAAGAACCAGAGAAATGCCTTCTTTGACTTCCCAAGGGTGACAGTGTCAACTGAAGAATGAAATGATAAGACAAATGAAAAAGCTCGATAACACCCAAATGGGTGTATTTATTCACATAGCTCAAACCTGACTACTGGAGCTCTTTTCTTGTCTGCTGACAGCCATTCTGAGCATTATAACAAGATCCAGAACTGGCTGTCTAGAAACCCTAAGGATGCTCTGGACAAAGTGGATGAAAGGTGACAAGGCAGAGGGGAATGTGTGCAGAAGTTTTGGCTCAAAAATCATGTGACTTTCAGAGGTTCTTTGTGTTGGCTTGAACCTTTGCACAACACAAAGACAATATAGTTCCTGTTTAATGTTTCTGAAGATGGAAGTGGATGTCCCAGAGTTAGGATTGCCTTCTAATTAAATAATGCCATTTGTGATGTCCTTGCAGCATTTCATGGGACAGGATGAGCTGCCTCTGCTCTTCCTTCCTGTAGTTTCATCCTGCCATTTAACCACATGCATTTACACACACACACACACACACACACACACACACACACACACACTCCTCAGTAAAGCACTACCCATTACAGTATTGCTGTAAGGCAGTATTAGTTATTCAATGTCTGCAATGCAGCTATTATACAATGTGAATTTCAGGAAGGACATACACTATCACAAACATAACACCACCTTGCAGGATCAGTTAAGAAAAATATGAGCTAAGGAGGCAGAAATCCTTGCTTAATATTACAGAGAAATTATGACAAGCTGTGAAAAGTTCCATAGGTTTTTGGTGCACTCAAATCTTTCCTTTAGGACCAACTTCTATGAAAATATACTACGCCTGGAATTTGCCCTGTCAAAGCCAGACATATTTTTTTAATTGAGTCTTGCTTTGAGAGTAGTGAATTTTTTTCATCTGTAATTTGCTTTTTATGTGAAGGGAGAGATGTTCTGTTTCTCTTCTTTGGGGGGGTTGTCATATTCCTGTAAAAACAATCAATGTTGGATCATTTATCTCCTGCTCCATCAAGCTGTGATGTGGGATGTAAGTATGTGTATGTTCACAATAGAGATTTTTCATTGCTATATTTTATAGTCATATTATTGGCAAGTGGCCCTCATTCATTTTCCAGACCATTTTGAACCCGATGACAACTCTTTAGTCTTTGTTTGTTAACTGTGTCCTGCCTGTCCACCTTTTCATGTAGTAATTGCTTTCAAGGAATAAAACAGAAATGGAGTATTGCTTTGTTTAATATTTTTCAAATCAAATACATCATAGCACAACCATCTGTAAAAATACATTTCAGCTTTCATCAAATTCTGCTACAGTTTTTTGAGGATTAATAATTCCTTCACATGGGTGTGTCTCTATGGCTAATGTAATATTTTTGAGCAAAGACTAGGTTATATTTATGTTCTGGCTTAAGTAAAAAAGAAAATGGCTTGTTGAAGAAAAAAATAATAGAATATTTTCACCCTAAAATTTTGTTACTTGCAGAACAAGTGCTTTTGGAATGAAAAATATAGTTGGGAAGCTTTTCTTGGTGAAAAATGTGGAAGTAAAATCGTATTCACTTTTTCTGCATGTAGAGCAATTCTCTAGCAACAGGAATATGGCTCCTAGTCACATACTAACACAGTGTGAACTGCCTGGTTTCCTTCCAAGGTCCCTTTCCTTGATTAGTTCTGGGGAAGGAGGTTTGTGTCTCAATTATTTTTTGTTGGCAACGGTGGTCCCTGTCTTTTCTGCCTGTCTTTGTCTCTCATATGCCATTCTCCTCCCCTTTCCTTACCCAAATCTTCACAAAGCCACAGCTGTTGCAGGTACCCAGGCTGGGAGGTGGGGCAGGCTGTGGTGGAGATTGCAAGATCATGTAGAACATGAAACAACTAGAATTTTATAAAGAGACATCACCATCTTTCAAAGTTCCTTGGCAATTGCTTTGTCTTAGTCTGGGCTGCTATAACAGAGACCACTGACTTACGGTGGCTTATAAACAACAAAAATTTATTTCTTACTGTTTGAGAGGCTGGAAATCCTAGAGCAGGTTGCCAGCATGGTTGGGTTCTGATGAGGGTCCTGTTCCAGGTTGCAGACTGACGACTTCTGGTTGTATCCTCACTGGCAGAATATGAAAGGGAGTTCTCAGGGGCCTCTCTGATAAGGGCACTACTCCCATTCTTGGAGACTCTACCCTCATGATCTAATCAATTTCCAAAGCCTTACCTGCAAATGCCATCATTTTGTGGGTTAGGATTTCAACATATGTTTTTTTGTGTGGGACATAAACATTCATTCCATTGCATTCCATCCTTAACCCCCCACCCCAAATTCATGCTCTTCTACATGCAAAATACATTCATTCCATCCCAACAGCCCCAAAAGTTGTAACTCATTCGAGCATGAACTCTAAAATTCAAAGTCTCACCTAAATATCTAAATCAGACATAAGTGAGACTTGAGGTATAATTCATCCTGAGGCAAAATCATTCTCCACCTGTGAACCTGTGAAATCAAACAAGTTATGTGCTTCCAAAATCCACTGGTGGGACAAGGATAGGATAGACATTCTCATTCCAAAGGGATAAATAGGAAAGGAGGAAGGGGTGTTAGTACCAAGCAAATCTAAAACCTAGCCAGCCAAGCCCTATGATATTTTAAAGACTTGAGAATAATCTTCTTTACCTTCATGCTCTGCCTTCCAGACCCACAGGGTGGCAACATCACTCGCATGGCTTGGTGGGACATTGCCCATGTCATAGTTCTCTTGGCTCATGCTCCCAACAGGAATTTCTCAGAGGCTGTTAGAGTCTTAGGTTCTGAATTCCCATTACGTTGCTACAGCTCCCAGTGGAGCTCCTGAGTTTCCCCTGGCTCCCCTAATTCTCTCTCTAGGTGTTTTGAGAGGAAACAGAATACACTCGAATTTGAAAACTGAGGAGAATTTAGAAAGGTCATAGGCCGAGTATAGGGGAACAAATTATGTACAACCATTTCTTTCTTAACACTTGTTTTGAAAATACAGATTTGTTCCAAAGTCATTGATGTATTCAGGGAAAATTTGAGCATAATTTTGTATTTGCTTATGTGTGATTTCATCCATAAGAAATATTAAGTGAACACAGAAAACTATAACCAGGTGAGCCAAGCAGTGTAGGGATACACAAAATGCAAGCACTTCAAGCATCCACCACCATCCACCCTCAGTTCATCACATTCTTGTGAGCCACACCCACACACATCCTATGTGACAACTTTCCCTGGGACTCCAGATAACCCATTCTCACTACTTCACAATAGCTCACAGGGTGCACCTCTCCCCATGCCCACTCCATAAGCAAATGCAAGGTCTTTCTTAAGGCTGAGTGCCATATTTCTAGTATTTATGTCTTTCTTATTCAACAAGTATAACACTGTACCATTTTTATTAGGTTCCTATCTTCTTAAAACATGTCACAGATGTTGTTTTTGTGTATTTGCCTCTGGCCCCATTTTGCCCTAAGTCCTGTGGTTTTTATTGCACAGTTTTATATAGTATGATGATTTTCAACAATGCCCGTATCGCTTTATAGCAGAACTGACTTTATGTTGAAGCACCCTGTGGCTGGCAACAGCAGGGAGCTATTACCACTCTTAGGTCTGAAGGAGGAGAGCAGAGAAGATGTCATGGGAATCCTGAGGGGGAGAGGGGCCCTGCAGGAGAAGGATGCCTTGCTTCCACAAATGCCAAGTGCTGCTAGCCCGTGAAGCAGCAGATGGAGAGCCTGGGTAATAAATACCCCGACCTCACTTTCCAGTCGTTGGCAGTTATCGCATGTTGGCAGAACCCTGCTGGAAGCCAGTGGGCTCAGGAGTCTGTTGAATGCAGTCTCCTGTGGTCAGATGAAACACAGGGCAGAGCAGGGTGGGGAAATGGATATGGAGGCTTCCCTTGCCCAGTGCCACTGGGGAAATTTTAATTATTTATTATGTAGATGAGCTTTATTTTTCTTTTTCTAGATCTCTCTTATCTGGTCGGAGGGGTTGAGGGGTGTTTTCAATTCTTTTATGTGATGTTCAGTAAGGTGCAACCACAAGAGGAGACAAGGAGTGGCTCAGGAAAGCAAAGTGTGTTATACTAACAGGTCCTAAAGATGGGGCATACCACGCAGGGACACAGAGGCAAGATAGCATGGTGGTCAGGAGGCAGGAAACAGAAACACAAAACAGGGGATGGACTGGAGCCATGGTCCATGGGGATTTCCATGGGAAAGGCAAGGCAGGGCAAAGTGAACAATTTAGGACTAGCTGGTTTGAGTAATTTGTGGTGGGTTCTAAATTATAGAGGTGGTCCCTAGTTGCCTGGAATCTGGCTTTGGGATGTTTAGGGCAGAGGAATATAGTCTCCTGGGGTGTCTGGGCCAAATAGAGAAGCCCAGGTCTGGGCTGCAGATTGGTTAGTTTGCATATCAAAGGCATGCCTGGCTGAGCTCTCCCTAACTCTAAGAGCTGGCTATTCCTGGGAGGGGCAGTCCCTCCCCAGCTAGAAAGGTTTTTTTTAACATGTCAAAACATCAGATTATATAGAAAATAAAAAATATATACAATACAAGGAAACTCATTGATGTGTTTTTCTAAACAAGGGAGAATTTTCTGCCAAAGAAGAGAAACTGCACTCTTCTCAAGTCAACCAATTCAAAGTAGCCAACTTAAAAAACATATATTTTTCCCACTTCTCGTTAAATATTGACACTTATCTTTATTTATGGTCATTTCCATAGGAACCGCTTTCTAAAGGCAAATATGTTTTCATCTTTAATGCTGGAATAGTGATGAAACATAGCAGAATTTTGCTGAGATTGATTGGTTAATGTTAAATAATTTGTTACCTTTTGTGCTTGGTCAATATAGTGAGAAGATATTTCTGAAATTTCAACTGCGTTTACAGCTATGAAAATAATGTTTCGGGGGGAGTGTTTTTGGCATCTTGTTGTTTTGGTAATGTATTTCTCTTCTTCAGTCATGCTGAGGTGTAAGAGAAAAATACTGAAGAATTGGGATAATTCACTTGCCTGCATACCTCCCCTTGAATAAGGAGATTAATTTTTTAATAGTCATATTACAAGACAACTGCCACTTTAATCTTCAACTACTGGGGTGGGAGGAAAGTAGCTTAAAATGAGCCCCTGTAGGGGCTGCCAATTTATCCGTTGCCCCAGCTTGATCTGAAATTCAGAAGAGACCATGAGCTCAATCTCAAAGGTGATTATACAAAAGGATGTGAAAACTTAAACCAATTTGTCGTTGATTAGGATTTGTCTTCCCTGTCCTGCAACAAGCCTGTCAACAAAAGGAGAGAGATTTCATACGGTCACATAGAGCTGAGATGTTTATGGAAAAAAAAAATACAAAAACTTTAATCTTCAAAAGATGAGTAAAATATATATTTTAAAAATTTCCCCGTTTCCTTTTTTTTAAAAAAAGAGGCTCATGTCTTATTTTTTCATAAGTAAAATTTATTTCAACATTAGCCTTAATTCACTATGTTATATGCTAAGGTGAAGCAGGAAGCTCATATTGGTTAACTGATGACTGGGGAAAATGATTTAAGGATATTGGCAGTGTTAATAGGGATAACGGAGATGAAGTTTTGCATGCTATTGGAGGTTCATAGAATTTTACAAGTTGAGATACAGCTCACATATCATAAAATCCACCTTTTTAGTGTACAATTCAATGTTTTTTAGCATTTTCACAAAGTTGTACAACCATCACCACTATCTAATTTCACAACATAGTCTTCACCCCCAAAAGAAACCCAATACCTTTAGGCGGTCACTCTTCATTCTCCCTACCCCCATCCCCTGGCAACCGTCAGTCTACTTTCTCTCTCCGTGAATTTGCCTATTCTGGACATTTCATATAAATTGAATCTTGTCATATATGTCCTTTTATGTCTGACTTCTTTCACACAGCATACTATTCTAAGAGTTCATCAACTTTGTGTTATGTTTCAGTATTTCATTCTGTTTTAATTGCCAAATAATATTCCATTGGATGGATATACCACATTTTATCTATTATTCAATTGATGAAAACTTGGTTCTAGTTATAAGCTATTATGAATAATGCTGCTATGAACATTTATGTACAAGTTTTTGTGCAGACACATATTTTTATTTCTCCTGGATGAATATATCTAGTAGTGAAATTTGGGGGCCATATGATAATTTTATATTTACCCTTTTGATGAAGTACCAGCCTATTTTCCAAAGTGGATACAAAATCTTATGTTCCCAATAGTATATGAGGATTCCAGTTTCACCATATCCTTGCCAACATTTGTCAGTGTCTCTTTTTTTTATAAGCATTTTAGTGAATATGAAGTCATATTTCACTGTGGTTTTTATTTGCATTTCCATAATGGCTAACCATGTTCAGAATCTTTTCAAGTGCTTTTTGGTCATTTGTATATCCTCATTTGTATATTTCTCTTTGGAGAAATGTCTGTTCAGATCCTTTACACATTTTTAAATTTGAGTTGTCATTTTATTGTGTATTATAATAGTTTTTAATGTAATACAGATACAAGTTCTTTATCAGCTATATGATTTGTAAATATTTGCTATCATTTTGTGGATTGTCCTTTTACTTCTTCAGTGGTGCTCTTTGAAGCACAAAAGTTTTTAATTTTGAAATCCCACTTATCTATTTTCTTTTGTCACTTGTATTTTCATGTTTTATATATAAGACAATATTGCCCAACCTAAGATCTTGAAGGTTCTCCTAATAGTTTTATAGTGTCATCTCTTATATTTAATCTGTGATCAATTTTAATTTATGTGTATGGTGTGAGAAAAAGATCCAACTTTATCCTATTGCATGTGGATATCAAGTTGTCCATTTGATATCCAAGTTGTCCATTTAAAGTACTATTTGTTGAAAATACTGTTTTTTTCTCCATTGAGTTTTCGGGCCCTCTTGTTGAAAATCAACTAATTATACATATAAGTTTCTAGACTCTCAATTGTTTTTCATGTCATGGAATGTAGGAATCACACGCTCAAATGATTGTCAAGGACATTGAGGCAGATGACATAAATGACTTAAACGTAAGACCTAACGCCATAAAAACCCTGGAAGAAAACCTGGGCAATACCATTCAGGACATAGGCATGGGCAAAGACTTCATGACTAAAACACCAAAAACGATGGCAACAAAAGACAAAATTGACAAATGGGATCTAATTAAACTAAAGAGCTTCTGCACAGCCAAAGAAACTATCATCAGAGTGAACAGGCAACCTACAGAATGAGAGAAAATTTTTGCAATCTGTCCATCTGACAAAAGGCTAATATCCAGAATCTACAAAGAATTTAAACAAATTTACAAGAAAAAAAAACAAACAACTCCATCAAAAATTGGGCAAACGATATGAACAGACACTTCTCAAAAGTGTCTGTGGCCTTGTGTTCTCATTGTTCAACTCCCACTTATGAGTGAGAACGTGCGGTATTTGGTTTGTTCTTGTGTTAATTTGCTGAGAATGATGGTTTCCAGCTTCATCCATGGCCCTGCAAAGGACATGAACTCATCCTTTTTATGGCTGCATAGCATTCCATGGTGTATATGTGCCACATTTTCTTTATCCTGTCTAACATTGATGGGCATTTGGGTTGGTTCCAAGCCTTTGCTACTGTGAATAGTGCTGCAATAAACATATGTGTGCATGTGTCTTTATAGTAGAATGAATGATTTATGCAGCCAACAAACATATGAGAAAAAAAAGCCCAACATCACTGGTCATTAGAGAAATGCAAATCAAAACCACAATGAGATACCATCTCACGCCAGTTAGAATGGCGATCATTAAAAAGTCAGGAAACTACAGATGCTGGAGAGAGGATGTGGAGAAATAGGAATGCTTTTACAATGTTGTTAGCTCAACCATTGTGGAAGACAGTGTGGCAATTCCTCAAGGATCTAGAACCAGAAACACCATTTGACCTAGCAATCCCATTACTGGGTATATATCCAAATGATTATAAATCATTCATTCTACTATAAAGACACATGCACACATAAGTTTATTGCAGCACTATTCACAATAGCAAAGACTTGGAACCAACCCAAATGCCCATCAATGTTAGACAGGATAAAGAAAATGTGGCACATATACACCATGGAATGCTATGCAGCCATAAAAAGGATGAGTTCATGTCCTTTGCAGGGCCATGGATGAAGCTGGAAACCATCATTCTCAGCAAATTAACACAAGAACAAACCAAACACCACATGTTCTCATTCATAAGTGGGAGTTGAACAATGAGAACACAAGGCCACAGGAGGGGAACATCACACACCAGGGCCTGTCAGGAGGTGGGGAGCTAGGGGAGGCATAGCATTAGGAGAAATACCTAATGTAGATGACAGGTTGATGGGAGCCGCAAACCGCCATGGCACGTGTATACCTGTGTAATAAACCTGCATGTTCTGCACATGTATCCCAGAACTTAAAGAATATATATATATATATATATATATATATATATATATATATATATATAAAAGAAATAAGTTATGACTAATGATGCAAATAGTAGACTATAGTGGAACAGAGCAGTAACTTCTAATCAGGAGAGTCAAGCAAGTCTTCACATTGTGTGGACATCTGCACATCCAGGGTGACAGATTAGCACTCACCAAGATGAAAACATGCAAACACGTGGAGATGCAGAGCTAATGGATTCCATCTACACTATGTTAAATCAGGTCAAAGATTAATGAAAAAAATTTGATCATTCTGAATGTTTACCTGTTTATCATCAATCGACTACATGTTTGATATTTAAATAAGCAATTGGGTAATTGATGGGATTTTACTTTTAATTCAGTTGTTCAGAATAGCCAATAACATACAATTTGCTAAATGTTGAGAGAAAACTTTATTGCACTCCTAATTTATTTTCAAGTTGCAGAGGGGAATTTGGAAGTAACCAAGAGGTTGTTTGGGGAAAGTGAAGTTCTATAAGATGGTCAAGCCTTCTTTCTTCGTTTCACAGAGAGGTACTTTGGGTATTTACAAATTATGTTTACAGCAGGTTGTTTTTACTGCTCAATAAAATTATTGTGTTTTCTTACTTTTGCAGAAGACCTATTTTTCTTGAATTTCTCAGAAAAGGTGGTATGCTAATCTGAGAAGCAGATGCCAAGGTGAAATTAAATGAGCAAGGATTTAATTAGCAGAATCATCTGTGAGGGAAAATGGGGCAGGAGCTGGTAAGGTTGGGAGAGCCATCAGAGAGTAAAATAAATCTGCCCTGAGTGACTGCAGAAGGAAGAAAGGTTGGGTCTAAGTTTCTTAGACTGTCATGCTGTCTAATGAAGTTTTGGCAAGGACATTGGGGAAATCTTTGAGCCAAAGATGCCTGTTATAGGAGTACCACGTCTCCCAGGAATAGGACTGCTTTAGTATCTCTACCATGCCCAGTCACTATCCAGGAGCAGCTTGTGAAAGCATGGGCTGGGTGCAGACATGGTGGGGGATTTCAGATTGTGGCCACTGACTATTGGTGAATTATACTCCTTGTAGTTGAAGTCTGCAAGGAGTATCTCATGGCAGTCAAAAATGGTGATTTCATTAGGATATAGATTAGCCGTCATAAGAGACCCCAAAATACTGTGGCTTAAGCAAGAGAGGATTTTATTTATTTCTCAAACTGGAAGCTCAAGCTGAATACTGGGGATCTGGTTTCCTTCTATCTTGCTGCTCTGCCATTATTCACATAATGGGTGGTGGTCCAAGATAGCTCACCACCATGTCTGCCTTCTAGCCCACTGAATAAAAGGGAGAGAGAGGAAGGGAGGCTATTGCCTTTCCCTTGAAGGGCATGAGCTTGTAGTTGGGTACCTCCTTTCTTCTAATATTTTATTTGCCAAAACTCATGCTAATTTGTATTAGTTTCCTATGGCTGCTGTAACAAACTACCATAAATTTAGTGGCTTAAAGCAACAGAAGTTTATTCATTCACAGTTCACTTTTTTAGGGATTGAACTCAAGGTGTCAGCAAGGCTGTGCTCCTTCTGGAGACTGTGGAAGGGAACCCCCTCTTTGCCTCTTCCAGCTTCTGGTAGCTATTGCATTCTGCATCGCTCCAGTCTCCACATTGGTGGTCACATTGCCTTCTCCTCTGCTGTATGTACTGTTCCTCTGCTTCCTTCTTATAAGGGCATTTGTGGTTACAGTTAATGCCTCCCTGGATAAGCCAGAATAATTTTCCCATCTCAAGATCCTTAACGCAATTGCACCTGCAAAGCCCCTGTTACCTTATAAGGTAACATTCTTAGCTTCCAAGGATTAAGACCTGGCTATCTTTGGAGGCTGATACAGTTTGGCTGTGTCCCTACCCAAATTTCATCTTGAATTATAGTTCCCATAATCCCCACATGTCATGGGAGGGACCCAGTGGGAGGTAATTTAATCAATCATAAGGGTAGTTACTCTTATGCTGTTCTCATGATAGTGAGTGAGTTCTCATGAGATCTGACAGTTTAGTTTTATAAGGCGCTTTTCCTCCTTTTGCTCAGCACTTCTCCTTCCTGCCACCCTGTGAAGGACATGTTTGCCTCCCCTTCTGCCATGATCGTAAGTTTCCTGAGGCCTCCCCAGCCATGCAGAACTGTGAGTCAGTTAAACCTTTTTCCTTTATAAATTACCCAGTCTCGGGTACGTCTTTATTAGCAGCATGAGAGCAGACTAATACAGACGTCATAATTCAGCCTACCACATCAGTCATTTGGCCACACTTAGCTACATGGGAGCTTGGGAATAATAGTCTTTTGCTGGGCAGCTATGCATCTATCATAGGTTAGGGGATTCTTTCAGTAAAGATAGAGGAGGAGAATAAATATTGGGTTTCAATTTTCTTTCTCAGAAGTTTCTTAAAGGTATTGTAGTTTGAATCTTAGAGTAAAAAGCTTCACATCATCAACTCCAAGTTCTGCATTTCATTGAGTACTTTGAGATCCAAGAGATGTTGGAGTGAAAGTAAATTTCTTTTGCCTGTCCATCATTTATTATTCATTCCCCACTTTTTCTTGTAACATTACTCTGATTTTCCTTCAGGCAAACACCCCCTCCCAAATTGTAGTTCATATAATATGTGGTGCATGTACCCGAAACCTGGCCAATTTGAATTTTGCATTGATTTGAATTTGAGTCTGAGATCTAAAGGGATTTTCCAAAGACCATGGGTCTTTTATGGAAACTATTGGGAATGGGTTGCTCTCTTTCCACTGGGATAGCTAAACCAATAGACATAAACTGGAAGTGCTAGTAACTATCTTCCCATAGGATCTGAAAAGCCTGCCTGAAAGTGAAGCCAACCTACAGAAAAAGAGGAGCTGAGGAATAGGGGTAAGGGGGAACATGTTCTTCCTTTAGGTGCCTAGATCTAGCCACAGCTGAACCAAATATACCCCCATGCTTGTATGTGAGCCAGTAAATGGCTCTGCCCTACCATTTCTTTCACTTGTTCTTTTGCTGGTTGGATTGGATTGTGAAACTTGTAACCAAGAGGCCCATCTGCTGAAAAATGAAATGATGTGCTAATGGAAATATGTCAAGTGTTAACCAAAGTCAAGGCTACAATTCATGTCTTCTTTTAAACTACTCTCTTTTGACTTTCCTTCATTTCACATAATAGCTGTTGACCAGTTTCTTTTTATTGCACTTTTGATTTTTAAAGATGGCTTGAGTTTTTATGTGATTTCCTCTCATCTAGCCTGCAAGTTTCAACAGTTCACGAAAAAAAAATTATTGACAAATAAAAGTTGTGACAACATTGAATACCCTAGTTTAGTTTGGGAAATAAGAAAGGCAAAGAGAGTAATTTTTGAAAACCAACAAGAAGTAAGGAAGAGATTGATGACCTTTTTTTGTTGTTGTTTCCAGCAGATTTATAATGCAATAAAAAATTTGTTCTGCAATCATTTAGCCCATGTGGTCGATATTAAACGTTTTAGTCAAAACGGTTCATGTCTTCAAGAGGCTCTGAAGCTTTTTTATTTAAGTTAAGGATGCCGCTAAAATGTTGAACTCAACATTCCCACTGAAGTTCTTTCAAGACTGTTATTGTGAATAGTCCAGTTTTAAGAAATTCCAGATGAACTGTACAAACCAAGATGAAAGATGAAGCATAGCAGCAGCTGCGCACAAGAATTATGCAGAAGTATGCAAATTGTAACCCCAGTGATGATGGAAATGTTAACCTTATGTTTCAGTAATAATAACTACTCTGATCTAATAGTGAGCCAAAAGGCACAAAGGGCATTTGGAGCTAAGAATTAGTAAGTAAAGAAAGCTTTTACCTCCTGCATGACATCAGGTTATTTGTCTGAAATACCTTATTGTTTAGTGCAATTTGCCACAGAAATATTAACACTGACATGTTCATGGCATAGGTACTTGTCATTAAATGTAAACCTGTTTTATAGAATTTTGAGCCCTGAGCTCCCATAAAACAGGGTACTGATTTATTTTTATAGACGCTGAATCCTTGAACTTAATAAACCTTCTGACAGTGATAGAATTCTGTGGCACTTATAGGTCAATCCTTTCTGTGTCAAGAGGGGAAAAAAGAAAAGCTAAGGAGTTTGAGAAAATGGCAAAGAGAGGGTTCTAGAGTTGGGAAAGTGCTAAAACATACTGGAAATAATAATTGCCATCACTAATTGAGTATGCACTGCGTGCCAGGCACAATAAAGTACTTTATAGTTATGATATCATTAAGACCTCAGAATAGCCTTATGGGTTGGAGAAAAATAGAGGCCTCCCTAAGGTTTCAAAGCTGGAAAGAGATGGGACAAGATCTGTTCAGGTATATCGTAGCTCTTAAATGTTTTGATAGAGTGTCAGCACCCTCAAACGTCATCTTGCAACATTATGCCAGAAGCTAGGATGCTGTGTTTTCCTCTTGTGTAACCAAAGTTTGTCAGGTGGACTTTGGAGTACCTTCCTGTTTTCAAGTCTTTCTGTTTTGATTTATTTTAGGTATTGAAAATCAATGTTTATTTTGTAAGCAATTAAATACATTATTTTATGAAAATAAAATAGAACACTGCAAGTATGTCTTGAGTTTGCTTTGTCTACCATCTCTACCTTGTTCCCTCACTTCCTTTTTGATGGAACTCCATCCTCACCAGCCCCTAAGATTAATCTTGGTCATGCTTGACACCTATTTCTCAGGCTGGGAAAGTCTAGAGAAGCTCTCCAGGAGGACTCTAACTAGATCCTGTCTTTCTCAGAGCCTCTTAGCTGTTTGTTCTACAATCTTCACTATGCTCCTTTCATGTCATGATCTGATGATTTCCAGCTCCTGCCATCATGCTGACTTCCAGCCAGTAGGGAATGAGAACAAAGGAAGAAGAGGGCGGGTTCATTTTCTTTAAAGATGCAAACTAAAGGATACCTGTATGACTTCTGGTCACATCTCTACTACCCAAAGCAAAATTACTTGATTGTATCCCTTGTGTGTTGGTGTAGTTATGGTGGATAGTGCTAATAGTTTCCCAGTATCCATTCTTCCTTTACCTTTTCAATAATGGATTCTCCAAATTTTAGCTAGACAGGTAAATGACTTCCAGGTGACAGTCTCCATTCTCCAGCCTTCCTTGCTGCAGTTGTAGAATCTAGCCAGTACCTTTTTCTGGCCTGACAAGTATGTTTCAAAGCTGACTAGGCAGACTGTGGGGCTGACCACCTTGGAGTTTCTGTAACACATTACTGATTGCAAATTAGACCTCATCCTCAGAAATTTCTGGAACAAACACCTGGGTGGCTCTGGCCTCCGTGTATGCTCAGCATATGGCCACCCTAGCTGCAAGAGAGGCTGAGAAATATTATCCTTAGTTGGAAAGCGTATGCTCATCTAACATTTTGGGTGGGTTTTTTTTTTTTAATAGAAAAAAAGATCAGGATGGAAATTGGTTAATCAAAACATATGCAATGCAGCTAGATCAATACTCCAGGGTGAACTTTGTAGCCATAAATATATCTATTCAAAAAGAAAACAGAAAAGTAGTGAGCCCAGAACTCAACTCAATCTAGAAAAAGAAGTTTATTCCCTAAGAAAGTTAAAAGAAGAAACTAATAAAGGGCAAACATTAGTTAAACAGAAAACAAACAAAAAAGATGGTAAACAAAAACAAAGTCCAGTTGTTTGAAAAGGTGAAAACAATAAAGTGGAGAAGGAGAACAAACATCTGGCAAGACTTAGAAACAAAGACAGAAGGCACAGAGAAAACGGGGTATAATTAAATATGAAATAGTGACTTAAAATATTGGAAGGGTAATTATACTTTGATGCTAACAAATCTGAAAACTTATGTAAAGTTGACTCTTTTTCTAGAAAAAAATTTAGGTTACCAATATGACATGAGTAAAGAAAAACGATTTATGAAGCTGTCAAAGAACTTGATTTAGGAGTCAAACATCTATCCATCCTCACTTCTGACTACTCCCAGCCCCCTGCAACTCATGGCCCAGACCATTTTTAAGTTGAGTTTTATCACACAGTCAAAAGAATAGGTAACTTCTAGCTTCTGCAAATTGTTTGACTCTACCAAAGAAAAACTTCCTCAATTCTGGTTTTGAGAAAACAGTATTCTTGGTTACTGTAGTTGATGCTGTGGCAAATTGCCTAGATCTACCTTTTACGAACAGGGCATACATTCCGCCAGCTGCTGGGAATGGTGGCTGCTGGCCATGCACAGCTGAGTCTCTTTCCAGGAATTGCCTTTTGCTGGAAGGACCTGCCTTGTCCAAAATTACATTCTTTTCCCGGGAAGAGCCAACTTCCAATTACTGGTAGATGTAATGGCACAAGGGCCTGGTCCCCTTGAATCAGTTTGAGACAACTTTGAAAGACCATCCTAGTTCTATCACTGAGGCTTCCACTGCACCTACATCACAGTTTAACTCTACCCTCTGCCCTTGCTCTGATAGGGATTGTTACTGAACTTAGCTTCCGGAATAAACTTCCTGCACTTACATGTCTGCCCCAGAGTTTGCTTCCTGGGAAACATGACTGAAGACAATAACAAAACTGGACAAGGATAATAGGAGAAAGGAAACTTATGGGCTGGTTTAACAAATACATTGTGATGAAGTTGGTTTTTTTCTCAGGAATCTAGACAATGTAACATTTGAAATCTGGTAATGGACTTCAACAGCAAAAGCAAAGAGAAAGACTGGATGTTTGTGTCACTAGCAGAAAAAGAATTATTATAATTCAGCTTCAATTAATCAGAATTTAAAAAAATTCTTTCCCCCATCTTATGAGAAAAGCCTGGCAAATTCTAATCTAGGGGCATCCTTCACTAAACCTCACCAACACTCCTCTAAACTGTCAAGGTTATGAACAGCAAGGAAAGTCTGAAAAACCCATAGCTGAGAAGAGCCTAAGGAGACATGATGAGAAATCTAATGTGGGATCCTGAAGAGGATCCTGGAACAGAAAAAGGACATTGGCAAAAACTAAGGAAGTCTAAATGAACTGTGGATCATAGTTAATCATAATGTATCAGCGTTGATTCATTAATGGTAACAAATATTTCATGCTAGTGTAACATGGTAATAAGAGGGGAGCTTGGAAGTAGGGTATGAGAGAACTCTCTGTACAAGCTTTTCAATTTTTTATTTTTGTAAATTTGAAATGTCCTAACAAAATCTATTTAAAAAAAAAGACTGAAGGGAATTATACCAATATTAGTGGCTGTTTTTATCTGGCTTGTTTTGAAGATAAGATAATGCTTATAGGGCCGGGCACAGTGGCTCACGCCTGTAATCCCAGCACTTTGGGAGGTTGAGGTGGGTGCATCACCTGAAGTCAGGAGTTCGATACCAGCCTGGCCAACATGGTGAAACCCCATCTGTACTCAAAATACAAAAATTAGCTGGGCATGGTGGCAGGCGCCTATAATCCCAGCTAACTTGGAAGGCTGAGGCAGGAGAATCGCTTGAACCCGGGAGGTGGAGGTTGCAGTGAGCTGAGATCCTGCCACTGAACTCCAGGCTGGGTAACTTGAGAGTGAGACTCGGCCTCAAAAAAAAAAAAAAAAAAAAAAAAAAAGATAATGCTTATAAGGTGCTTAGCACAGAACCTGACATATAGTGAGCATTCAATAAACCTATTAATATGACCTGCTATTGATTATATCTTCTTTATACTTTTCTATGTTAAAATTTTTATCATAAACAAATATTGCATCAGTAATTTCTTTTTCAAAGAAGAGCGACTCCTAGGATACTACCTGATATGCTCTGAAGAGAGAGTGAGGCAACTCAATGGCACCTGGAACTGCTCATTGAAATCTCACTTTGCCCCTCAATTCTAGAAGCCAGTGTCTTTGCAAATGATAATGGGAGGATTTCCTGTTATGTTAAGTGCTCCCAGAAGGTCTAGCCTTTCTTGAAATAATTCTCTATTTGAAGGATTTTGGAGGAATTCATTCTTCCTAGGAGTCAGTGTGGAGGTTGATTTTACCCCTAAGGCAAGCATCAAGAAGGGCCACTCCTCCTACAAGTGTTGAATTGTGGACAAGGCTGATTGCCACCATCTTCATGACCTCATGCACTAAGTCCTCTGAGGCTGGAGGGTACAGGGGTGCTGGGGGCTCCAGAAGACAAGAATGCCTGGAATGGCAATGATGAAAGCATGCTAGGAAATGATAAAGTGATAAATAAAGGAACTTCTAGGAAGCCCTATGGATCCATTTGAGGCTGAATGTGAGAAGGGAACTAAAGTTGCAACGTATAGGTCAGGCTGCAGCACTCTGGGGCTTGCTAGACAGGAGTGGCGAAAGCAGGTGTGAGCATGGCCCACACTTAAGAAACAATATGGCGGTTAGGGCCAAATGGGAAGGAAAGAATCATGGGAGATCACTTATTAAATATATTTTTTTGTATCTTTTGATAAGCAGACTTATTTACCAACCTCTAGTGGATAATCCCATGCTGCAAGTGGAAACAAAGCCAAGAAAACAGCCAATCCAAGCCAGAAATCCATTGTATACTGCCACATGTTAGGACCACTACGGTCTCACAGCACCGAAAATAGCAAAATGGTACCACAGGCCCAGCTCCCAATCCCTGGAGAACTTCTACTCATCACCCTGGAATGACTCAGTGAGGAACATTGGTCCAAGCTAACCTTTAGAAAAGCAACATAAACAAAATATTCTTTTGGCAATTAAGGTAGCCATCTCTATCTCTTCTACTTTCTCTTCTATCATTTTATCTTTTGTTCTACTATTAAACTGAAACTGTCATTTAAAAGTTTGTGTACAAGTACTCAGATATCTGTACTTTAGTAATATTTTTAACATTTTTAATAAGGAACTGAATGATGTGATGGAAGTCGCACTAGAAAAAATAAACTTTCATTTTTTAAAATTATACTTTAAGTTCTAGGGTACAAGTGCACAATGTGCAGGTTTGTTACATATGAATACATGTGCCATGTTGGTGTGCTGCACCCATTAACTCGTCATTTACATTAGGTATATCTTCCAATGCTATCCCTCCCCTCCTCCCCCACCCCATGACAGGCCCCAGTGTGTGATGTTCCCCAACCTGTCTCCAAGTGTTCTCATTGTTCAATTCCTTTGAGTGAGAACATGCGGTGTTTGGTTTTTTTCCTTGTGATAGTTTGCTGAGAATGATGCTTTCCAGCTTCATCCATGTCCCTACAAAGGACATGAACTAATCATTTTTATGCCTGCATAGTATTCCATGGTGTATATATGCCACATTTTCTTAATCCAGTCTATCACTGATGGACATTTGGATTGGTTCCAAGTCTTTGCTATTGTGAATAGTGCCGCAGTAAACATGCGTGTACATGTGTCTTTATAGCAGCATGATTTATAATCCTTTGGGTATATACCCAGGAATGGGATGGCTGGGTCAAATGTTATTTCTAGTTCTAGATCCTTGAGGAATCACTACACTGTCTTCCACAATGGTTGAACTAGTTTACAGTTCCACCAACAGTGTACAAATGTTCCTATTTCTCCATATCCTCTCCAGCACCTGTTGTTTCCTGACTTTTTAATGATCACCATTCTAACTGGTGTGAAATGGTATCTCATTGTGGTTTTGATTTGCATTTCTCTGATGGCCAGTGATGATGAGCATTTTTTCATGTGTCTGTTGGCTGCATAAATGTCTTCTTTTGAGAAGTGTCTGTTCATATCCATCACCTAATTTTTGATGGGGTTGTTTGTTTTTTTCTTGTAAATTTGTTTAAGTTCTTTGTAGATTCTGGATATTAGCCCTTTTTCAGATGAGTAGATTGCAAAAATTTTCTCCCATTCTGTAGGTTGCCTGTTCACTCTGATGGTAGTTTCTTTGCTATGTAGAAGCTCTTTAGTTATTTAGATCCCATTTGTCTGTTTTGGCTTTTGTTGCCATTGCTTTTGGTGTTTTAGACATGAAGTCCTTGCCCATGCCTATGTCCTGAATGGTATTGCCTAGGTTTTCTTCTAGGGTTTTTATGGTTTTAGGTCTAACATTTAAGTCTTTAATCCGTCTTGAATTAAGAAAAAATAAACTTTCTTAGTCAATAAAAAAATGTATAGCTAACATTATATTAATGGTTAAACATTAGAAGCATTCCTTTTAAGGAAAATATAAGCAAACAATGCCCTTGGACATTATCCACATTTAATATTAACTGGACATTCTAGTTAACTAAATAAGGCAAGAGAAATAAAATATAACAAAAGTAAAATGGAAGATACAAAATTATTTATTTGCATATGATTTTTAACTTTGCAAATCCAGGAAAATCTGCAAACTAGCAGTAGTTAGAGAATTCAGTACATTTTTTGGATAGAGGATCAATATACAAAAACAATAGCATTCTTGCTTTAACCAATTCGAACAATTAATAATACCCCATTCAAAAATCTGTACAGCCGTTTAAAGCAAACCTGAGAAATGATATGCAAGAACTTTTAAAAAAGAATTCTAAAATTATTGAAAGATATAAGACAATCCTAAGTGAGAAACCACATTATTAAATAACAAGACTCCATATCATACCCATATCAATCCTCCTCAAATTGATCTATAAATTCAGTGTAATACAAATTCAAGTTCTGTTTAATAAAAGGGATTGTTAAGTTCTTGTACTTAATAAAGCTGTACCACTTTTACCTCACCTCTTCTTAAAAATCAGCATGTACTTGTCATGGGCTGCTTTTTTCTTTTTTTTTTTTTTTTTAAGTGTACAGATAGATTGATACTAAAAGGTAGCCTCTTGTTCTCTTTTGCCACTGTAATTGTTTCCAAATAACATACAAATATTTAGAAAAGATTGTTTCTCAGATCCCCAAATTCATTGCAATTCTCAAGCTGTGTTGAGAGGATTGACTTCAAAGAGAAGAAAAGTAATAATTAAAAAAATGCGACTATGATTTTTTAAAAATAAAAAAGTCTTTTTGGATCTATGACAGAATTATGCCATAAAAATAATAGCTAGCATTTAGAAAACACTTTCTATGTGTCAGGCAGTGTGCTAAAAGCCTTGTGTAGATTTTCTCATTTAGACCTCAAATTAATGTGTCATTATTAATTAGTCTCGATTTATTGGTGAGAAAATGGAAACTTGGAAAAATTAGGGAACTAGCAAGGTCACCTAACACATAACCAACTTAAGGAACAAGGAGTCTAAAAAACAGAGTTGGGTTTTTAAATACAAAGTGGCACAGCCTCTTAAGCATAATTCCCCATATATTGCTTGTGTTAGAAAACAAGATAAGTTGGGGATTAAGAGACTTATATCCTCATCCAAGCTGGATGGCAATATACTCAGAGGCTTTGTTCTGAGTCTGTCTGTTCATGCACAAAAATTGTATTAAATGCCTAATATGCACAGAACACTAGTAGAGGTACTGGAAGAACATATAGTCCCTACCCTTTAGGAATGGACAGCCTTTTAAGGGAGGAAAGGGAGTGTAGTAGTGACTATTGTTTCTCTGGAGAAACATCTATTTAAGTCCTACAGCCTCAGTTGTGACTTTCTTAATGCACAAAATCTAATGTGAGTATCTTATTCTGAATGGTTAATACTTCCTCCTCTTGGCAGTGACAGAACTGAAAATTCCCGAGACATTTCCCATTAAATATATTAAGCATTCAAGACAAATGCATTGGTAATTCTGCTCAAGATACATAATTATCACATGGGAATTATTTATGAAGCACGGATGTCAGCAGATAAAGTTTTGAGTTAGAATTGAGTATGCAAATCTTCAGGTTAGAACACAGTGTTGTGTCTCCATTTTTAGAGGAGAGTGAAAAATGTAGTTAGACTTTTGAAAATGTGGACGTTTTTTAATATGACTGTGACTATGAATTTTATTCTAGAATTATCCTTTGATACTTAAAAAAGAAACACACATTTGGATTACTTACATATCTGTAGACACAGCAAATTATATGATTTCTTCACCCTAGTTAAGTCAATCCTAATCATGGTACACAGCATGCATTAGCGGGGTGGCTTCTCTCAAGTACCTATTATGAGGTTAGCTCATCCTCCCGGCCAAAACTGTTTTATGAGCTTCCTCTGAACAAAGTGTTATTTTGCCAAGTCAGTCACGGGCCACTGCTTGGTTGTGTTTCAGGTGAGGAGGTGGCACATTCTTTTACGACCAGGCCCAAGGTCATTTTCTCATATCACAGATGCCATGTATCATATTCTAGATCAGTGGCCCTCACCCTGGAGTGATTTTTCCCTCCAGCGTACACTGGGTAACGTCTGGCAACATTTTTAGTTGTTACAATGGGGGTGGAGGTGGAGAGTGCTCCCAGCATCTAGAGGGTGGAGGCCAGGGGTGCTGCCAAACATCCTGCAGTGCGTGGGACAAGCCCCCACAGCAAAGACTTATCTGGCCCAAAATGTCAGTAGTGCTGAAATTAAGAAACACTGCTCTGGAAGGAGAGCGTGGCACAGTCACTTAACATTTTTTTCTTTGTTAGTATACAGACGGAATACTAAGAATATTTAACACATTTGAATTTAGGATTCAAGCTACATTGTCCAGTGTACTACGTAAATTGAACCCATGGCAGGGCAGGTTAGATATGTGAGAAGTGCTTTCCTAATCGATTTAACCTGTCCATGATCTTTGGTCATGGCATGGAGGCCAACCATAGAACGAGCCCTTCATTTTTTAGAGGGCAGGATTTTCCTAGAGCCTCACTCTTCTCCTTTCCCACTGCAGCTCTGTCCATTCAGCAAGATCCTAAGGATTGTGTTCAACTTAGGATTGAACACAGTCCTAAGTGTGTTGTTATTCAACACAGATTTGTTCAACAGAATTTTATGTGATGATGAAACATTTTCTGTGTGTGCTTTCCGGTATAGTAGCCATTAGTTACATGCAGCTACGACATACTTGAAATGTGGCTGGTATGCCCGTGAAATGGATTTTTAAATTTTATTTAATTGTAGTCCATTTAAAAGTCAATGTAAAGAGTCACATGTGCTACTGGCTACCATATTGGACAGTGTAGGTTTGACATCTTCACACCTCTCTAGGTCAAACCTTCCTTGGGGCTGAAGTCAGGCATAGATTGTCATCATTGTCAACTTCCTCCCATTTTGCTTCTGAATCTTTGGAGAGGGATATTTGGGCCCTGAGAGGGAAGGTGGACAAAGAGGTTCCCATGTGACTTGGCCTCCAAAGAAATACCTGCAAAAAAAAAAAATCAGATATTTTGAACTCCCAAAGTTAGACTCTTGGAATTTACAAATCTGTATGATATATATAGCCTGTCTTCTATAAGTAATTTTGCTAAAAGTTTCTCTGTCTGTCTTAGACTTGTGATTATATGAGTACCCTTCCATTAGAGTGATGGAACCTGGTTCTTAAAGAGAAGACTGGGTCTTCCAAGAATAAGAGATTGTTATTCCAACAGAATTAGTGAGCACATTATATTTTTCCTTCCCCCTCTTCCAGCAACATTCTTTGAAGTTTGCCTCCCCAACCACAGCCTCCCTCTCATTTCCCCCCTTTCACCTTCACCTATTTCTTCTTTTCTCTCTCTTTCTCTCTTGCTATTTCTTTGATTACAAATCCTCTACCACTCAGCCCATGATTATTTCTTCTACTTTAAGAAAAAACTTCATTAAATACTCTTTGGGATTCCATGTCTATGCCTAACTAACAGAAAAAAAATATCTGTAACTGTGCCATCTCCCCCTACAGGATAAGATACGTGGTTGTCTGGAATTGTTAGTTTGGGTCCTCTGAGAAGCAGATGCTGTGACAGGATTAGATGTGTGAGCATTTTACTGGGGGAAATGCCTGTGAAGAAAAATGGGGAGGAGCTGGAGGAGGCAGAAGGAATCATGGAACTGCCCGCAGGTCTCACCCTGTGAGAAGAGGGGAAAGGAAGGAAGGCTGTGTAGGAAGAGTCTAGACTACTGTGCTCTTCTGCAAGGCCGAAGAGGGATCTTTCAGCTAAAGCTGCTCATTAGAAGAGCTCTCATATCCCAGGAATGAGTCTGTCTGAGTGTCTGTGCTGTGCCCAGTCACTGGCTAAGAGCCACTGGGAAGAATGGCTTCAGTGCAAATATGCAGTAGGTGGCTTCGAAGTTATGGCCGGTGATCAATAACATCTGTCCTCCATGAAGTAGGGGGTCTGAGATGTATGTGGCCAGCACAGCTGGGTTAGACCTAAGCTGTCCTGGACTTGGAGAGAACAGACAGGGCTGCTTATGCCATGAGCTGCATCCAAGAAGTGTTTCATGACTGATAGGGTAAAATACTTGTTAGTTTAGAGGAAACTTATAGAATATTTTTGGCCATTCTCTTTCCTGCATTGTACATTATGAGATCCTTTCAGTTTTTCCCAGTCTCCAGGCTCTTGCTCATGTGTTCCTAAGCACACACATTCTTTCTGCCTGAAGTGAGTCTTCTGCAACCATTTCCCCAGACCAATTGCTTCAAATTTCCACTAACCTTCTCTCCACAGGAGAGTACGGCTGACTCCCAGACTAAAGTAGATGCCCTCACATCTCTCTGGAATTCTTGTAGCCTAAGTTATTTTTCTTATTTAATATTGTCCTGTTGTCTACTAAATATATCACCCATGAAGCCATAAGCTGTAGCTGTCTCATATTTACCACTGTATTCCCAGGGCCAGGCATAGAGCTGATTAATATTTCTTGAATGAATGAATACTTTGTGCAAGATGTGCTAAAGTAAAAAAAAAAAAAGATGTATAAGGCAGTCTTCACTCTCAAACTTCTTACAATCTAGGATAGGTTTCTCAGCAGATGATGGTGCAAAACTATCAAAATTAATGAAATAACTGAATTAAAGGGCTTTTCAGAAGACTTAAGGCTTTAATTTCCTAAGTCAAGAATTGTATAGCCGGTAGTTAAAATTCTACCAAGTCAAAATCTTATCAAGCCCACTTTCTTTTTTTTTATTTTATTTTTATTATACTTTAAATTTTAGGGTACGTGTGCACAATGTGCAGGTTTGTTACATAGGTATACATGTGCCATGTTGGTTTGCTGCACTCATTAACTAGTCATTTACATTAGGTATTTATCCAAATGCTATCACTCCCCCCAACCCCACCCGACAGGCCCTGTTGTGTGATGTTCCCCAACCTGTCTCCAAGTGTTCTTATTTTCCAATACCCACCTATGAGTGAGAATATGCGGTGTTTGGTTTTCTGTCCTTGTGATAGTCTGCTCAGAATGATGGTTTCCAGCTTCATAGAGGTCCCTACAAAGGACACGAACTCATCCTTTTATATGGCTGCATAGTATTCCATGGTGTATATGTGCCACATTTTCTTAAACCAGTCTATGATTGATGGACATTTGGGTTGCTTCCAAGTCTTTGCTATAGTGAATAGTGCTGCAATAAACATACTTGAGCATGTGTCTTTATAGTAGCATGATTTATAATCCATTGGGAATATACCCAGTAATGGGATGGCTGGGTCAAACAGTATTTCTAGTTCTAGATCCTTGAGGAATCACTACACTGTCTTCCACAATGGTTGAACTAGTTTACAGTCCCACCAACAGTGTACAAGTGTTCCTATTTCTCCACATCCTCTCCAGCACCTGTTGTTTCCTGACTTTTTAATGATCGCCATTCTAACTGGTGTGAGATGGTATCTCATTGTGGTTTTGATTTGCATTTCTCTGATGGCCAGTGATGATGAGCATTTTTTCATGTGTCTGTTGGCTGCATAAATGTCTTCTTTTGAGAAGTGTCTGTTTATATCCATCGCCCACTTTTTGACGGGGTTGTTTGATTTTTTTCTTGTAAATTTGTTTAAGTTCTTTGTAGATTCTAGATATTAGCCCTTTGTCAGATGGGTAGATTGCAAAAATTTTCTCCCATTCTGTAGGTTGCCTGTTCACTCTGATGGAAGTTTCTTTTGCTGTGCAGAAGCTCTTTAGTTTAATTAGATCCTATTTTTCTATTTTGGCTTTCGTTGCCATTGCTTTTGGTGTTTTACTCATGAAGTCCTTGCCCATGCCTATGTCCTGAATGGTATTGCCTAGGTTTTCTTCCAGGGTTTTTATGGTTTTAGGTCTAACATTTAAGTCTTTAATCCATCTTGAATTAATTTTTGTATAAGGTGTAAGGAAGGGATCCAGTTTCAGCTTTCTATATATGGCTAGCCAGTTTTCCCAGCACCATTTATTGAATAGGGAATCTTTTCCCCATTTCTTGTTTTTGTTAGGTTTGTCAAAGATCAGATGGTTGTAGATATGTGATATTATTTCTGAGGGCTCTGTTCTGTTCCATTGGTCTATGTCTCTATTTTGGTACCAGTACCATGCTGTTTTGGTTACTGTAGCCTTGTAGTATAATTTGAAGTCAGGTAGTGTGATGTCTTGAGCTTTGTTCTTTTTGCTTAGGATTATCTTGGCAATGTGGGCTCTTTTTTGGTTCCATATGAACTTTAAAGTAGTTTTCTCCAATTCCGTGAAGAAAGTCATTGGTAGCTTGATGGGGATGGCATTGAATCTATAAATTACCTTGGGCAGTATGGCCATTTTCACGATATCGATTCTTCCTATCCATGAGCATGGAATGTTCTTCCATTTGTTTGTATCCTCTTTTATTTCGTTGAGCAGTGGTTTGTAGTTCTCCTTGAAGAGGTCCTTCACATCCCTTGTAAATTGTATTCCTAGGTATTTTATTCTCTTTGAAGCAATTGTGATTGGGAGTTCACTCATGACTTGGCTCTCTGTTTATGTGTTATTGGTGTATAACAATGCTTGTGATTTTTGCACATTGATTTTGTATCCTGAGACTTTGCTGAAGTTGCTTATCAGCCTAAGGAGATTTTGGGCTGAGACGATGGGGTTTTCTAGATATACAATCATGTCATCTGCAAACAGGGACAATTTGACTTCCTCTTTTCCTAATTGAATACCCTTTATTTCTTTCTCCTGCCTGATTGCCCTGGCCAGAACTTCCAACACTATGTTGTCGAATAGGAGTGGTGAGAGAGGGCATCCCTGTCTCGTGCCAGTTTTCAAAGGGAATGCTTCCAGTTTTTGCCCATTCAGTATGATATTGGCTGTGGGTTTGTCATAAATAGCTCTAATTATTTTGAGATACATCTCATCAATACCTAGTTTATTGAGAGTTTTTAGCATGAAGGGCTCTTGAATTTTGTCAAAGGCCTTTTCTGCATCTGTTGAGATAATCATGTGGTTTTTGTCTTTGGTTCTGTTTATGTGATGGATTATGTTTATTGATTTGCATATATTGAACCAGCCTTGCATCCCAGGGATGAAGGCATCTTGATCATGGTGGATAAGCTTTCTAATGTGCTGCTGGATTCGGTTTGCCAGTATTTTATGGAGGATTTTTGCATTGATGTTTATCAGGGATATTGGTCTAAAATTCTCTTTTTTTGTTGTGTCTCTGCCAGGCTTTGGTATCAGGATGATGCTGGCCTCATAAAATGAGTTAGGGAGGATTCCCTCTTTTTCTATTGATTGGAATAGTTTCAGAAGGAATGGTACCAGCTCTTCCTTGTATCTCTGGTAGAATTCGGCTGTGAATCCGTCTGGTTCTGGACTTTTTTTGGTTGGTAGCCTATTAATTTCTGCCTCAATTTCAGAGCCTGTTATGGGTCTATTCAGAGATTCAACTTCTTTCTGGTTTAATCTTGGGAGGGCCTATGTGTCCAGGAATTTATCCATTCCTTCTAGATTTTCTAGTTTATTTGCATAGAGGTGTTTATAGTATTCTCTGATGGTAGTTTGTATTTCTGTGGGATCGGTGGTGATATTCCCTTTATCATTTTTTATTGTGTCTATTTGATTCTTCTCTCTTTTCTTCTTTATTAGTCTTGCTAGTGGTCTATCAATTTTGTTGATCTTTTCAAAAAACCAGCTCCTGGATTCATTGATTTTTTTGAAGGGTTTTTTGTGTCTATCTCCTTTAGTTCTGCTCTGATCTTAGTTATTTCTTGCCTTCTGCTAGCTTTTGAATGTGTTTGCTCTTGCTTCTCTAGTTCTTTTAATTGTGTTGTTAGGGTGTCAGTTTTAGATCTTTCCTGCTTTCTCTTGTGGGCATTTAGTGCTATAAACTTCCCTCTACACAGTGCTTTAAATGTGTCTCAGAGATTCTGGTATGTTGTGTGTTTGTTCTCATTGGTTTCAAAGAACATCTTTATTTCTGCCTTCATTTCGTTATGTACCCAGTAGTCATTCAGGAGCAGGTTGTTCAGTTTCCATGTAGTTGTACAGTTGTGAGTGAGTTTCTTAATCCTGAGTTCTAATTTGATTGCATGTCATCTGAGAGACAGTTTGTTATGATTTCTGTTCTTTTACATTTGCTGAGGAGTGCTTTACTTCCAACTATGTGGTCAGTTTTGGAATAGGTGTGATGTGGTGCTGAGAAGAATGTATATTCTGTTGATTTGGTGTGGAAAGTTCTGTAGATGTCTATTATGTCTGCTTGGTGCAGAGCTGAGTTCAAGTCCTGGATATCCTTGTTAACTTTCTGTCTTGTTGGTGTGTCTAATGTTGACAGTGGGGTGTTAAAGTCTCCCATTATTATTGTGTGGGAGTGTAAGTCTCTTTGTAGGTCTCTAAGGACTTGCTTTATGAATCTGGGTACTCCTGTATTGGGTGCATATATATTTAGGATAGTTAGCTCTTCTTGTTGAATTGATCCCTTTACCATTATGTAATGGCCTTCTTTGTTGCTTTTGCTCTTCGTTGGTTTAAAGTCTGTTTTATCAGAGACTAGGATTGCAAACCTTGCTTTGTTTTCGTTTTGCATTTGCTTGGTAGCTGTTCCTCCATCCCTTTATTTTGAGCCTATGTGTGTCTCTGCACATGAGATGGGTCTCCTGAATACAGCACACTGATGGGTCTTGACTCTTTATCCAGTTTGCCATTCTGTGTCTTTTAATTGGGTCATTTAGCCCATTTACTTTTAAGGTTAATATTGTTATGTGTGAATTAGATCCTGTCATGATGATGTTAGCTGGTTATTTTGCTTGTTAGTTGATGCAGTTTCTTGCTAGCATCGATGGTCCTTACAATTTGGCATCTTTTTGCAGTGGCTGGTACCGATTGTTCGTTTCAATGTTTAGTGCTTCCTTTGGGAGCTCTTGTAAGGCAGGCCTGGTGGTGACAGAATCTATCAGCATTTGCTTGTCTGTAAAGGATTTTATTTCTCCTTCACTTATGAAGCTTAGTTTGGCTGGATATGAAATTCTGGGTTGAAAATTCTTTTCTTTAACAATGTTGAATATGGACCCCGACTGTCTTCTTGCTTGTAGAGTTTTTGCCGAGAGATCTGCTGTTAGTCTGATGGGCTTCCTTTTGTGGGTATCCTGACCCTTCTCTCTGGCTGCCCTTAACATTTTTTCCTTCATTTTAACCTTGGTGAATCTGATAATTATGTGTCTTGGGGTTGCTTTTCTTGAGGAGTATCTTTGTGGTGTTCTCTGTATTTCCTGAATTTGAAAGTCGGCCTGCCTTGCTAGGTTGGGGACGTTCTCCTGTATAATATCGTGAAGAGTGTTTTCCAACTTGGTTCCATTCTCCCCATCATTTTCAGGTACACCAATCAAACGTAGATTTGGTCTCTTCACATAGTCCCATATTTCTTGGAGGCTTTGTTTGCTTATTTTTACTTTCTCCAAACTTCTCTTCTCGCTTCATTTCATTAATTTGATGTTCAATCACTGATACCCTTTCTTCCACTTGACGAATCAGCTACTGGAGCTTGTGCATGTGTCACGTAGTTCCTGTGCCATGGTTTTCAGCTCCATCAGGTTATTTAAGGTCTTCTCTATGCTGTTTATTCTAGTTAGCCATTCGTCTAATCTTTTTTCAAGGTTTTAAGCTTCCTCGTGATGGGTTCGAACATCCTCCTTTAGCTTGGATAATTTTGTTATTACCAGTCTTCTGAAGCCTCCTCTGTCAACTCGTCAAAGTCATTCTCCATCCAGCTTTGTTCCATTGCTGGCGAGGAGCTGAGATCCTTTGGCGGAGAAGAGGCGCTCTGGTTTTCAGAATTTTCAGCTTTTCTGCTCTGGTTTCTCCTCATCTTTGTGGTTTTATCTACCTTTGGTCTTTGATGATGGTGACCTACAGATGGGGTTTTGGTGTGGATGTCCTTTTTGTTGTTGTTGATGCTATTCCTTTCTGTTTGTTAGTTTTCCTTCTAACAGTCAGGTCCCTCAGCTGCAGGTCTGTTGGAGTTTGTTGGAGGTCCACTCCAGACCCTATTTGCCTGGGTATCACCAGCAGAGGCTGCAGAACAGCAAATATTGCAGAACAGCAAATGTTGCTGCCTGATCCTTTCTCTGGAAGCTTCATCTCAGAGGGGCACCTGGCTGTATGAGGTGTCAGTCGGCCCCTAATGTGTCTCCCACTTAGGCTACTCAGGGGTCAGGGACCCATGTGAGGAGGCAGTCTGTCTGTTCTCAGAGCTCAAACACCATTCAAGCCCACTTTCATATTAGATAAAACTGATAATAAATGCTTTATCTGCATGTAAATGAATATTCCTAGGAGGAGAGTTTTATTTATTTTAAATTTTTGGTTTTTTTTTAGTAATTTCAGCTTATTTTAGATTTGCGGGTACATGTGCAGGTTTGTCACATGGGTCTATTTCATGATGCTGAGGTTTGAGATATGAATGATCACATCACCCAGGTAATGAGCATTGTAGTATACTCATAGTACTATGCCCAGTTGTTAGTTTTTCAACCCTTTCCCACCTCTAGTAGTCTGCAGTGTCTACTGTTGACATCTTTATGTCCATGAGTACCCAGTGATTAGGTCTCACTTATAAATAAGAACATGTACTATTTGTTTTCTTTTCCTGCATTAATTCACTTAAGATAATTATCTCTAGCTACATCCATGTTGCTGCAAAGGACATGATTTCCTTCTTTTTATGGCTGTGTACTACTCCAGGGTGTATATGTAGCACATTTTCTTTATCCAGTCAACTGTTAATGGGTACCTGGGTTGATTCCCTGTCTTTGCTATTGTGAATAGTGCTGCGATGAACATAGGTGTATGTGTCTTTTTGGTAGACTGATTTATTTTCTTTTGAATATATACCTAGTATTGGGATTGCTGGGTCAAATGGTAGTTCTATTTTAAGTTCTTTGAGAAATCTAGAAAGATAATTTTAGATGGCATTAAGGAAAGTGACAGTAATAATTGCATTATGTCAATGATACCTTCTTGCCCACTGAATCTGGCCCTGTCACAAGCCAACCAATTATCTTTTTCTTTTTAAGACGATTTAAGATAAAGTTTCTGTTACTCATAACCAAGTAGTGTGCTGAATAAAACACAATAGGAAGAGTTTGAATTATTTAGGAGTATACATTTTTTTCAGTATAACATTGAAAGCAGATATTAAATGTAAGTAATGAATGTACTAAGAATCATTGCATAAATAAATAACCCTTTATAGCTTCATAACTCTCCATAGTTTATAGAATGCATTCACATACAGTCTGTTCACAGTTGCTGTGTAAGATGGGCAGTGATTGTCAGTCTTCATCCAGCTTCATCCAGACACTTCTTCAAAGTCAATGAAAGTCATGTGAATAATCATCATCAAAACTGAGCTCATCTTCCTCCTAACACTTCCATTAGTTCCTAATGACCTTTTGCTAGAAACTCCATGAATCAATGGTTCTAGGTTGCTATGACCATCTAACAAAAGATACAAGTAAATAATGTATATTAAGAATAATTCAAGTGTGTATGTGTGTGTTTCAGTGTAAGGTGAACAATACAAAAAAACTTATCTGGTAATCTACACAACATTCATGTACAGCTGCCATTTTTTAAAAACCTGGCAAAAACTTCCAAAAGAAAATATTATTAGTCCTTTTAAAGAGGTGCTTAACTAGCAGTATTTAGCTTTGATCTCATGATCCAAAGTAAACTCAACAACTTTTCTCAAAGAACCAAGACTTTTAAATTAGATCATTGACTTCCAAAATCTTGGCCAAGAAATCTGACATGTAAACTATCTTCTGCTCCATTTATCTAATGTGAAGAGATGAAGGTCCAAGATGAAACCTGGCAGGATTTGAACCCAAGGTTCCGGGAAGTCTAAATGAGCCTAATATTATGTTTGGCTGAGAATTGTTCCCCCTGGCAGGGAAAACACACAGCTTCAAGCCTGTTGATGCTGACAAAGCTTTTTAAGATAAGGGATTAAAATGCTCCCTAAAAGCAGAAACTCTTGGTGTCTGCCTCAATGCAACAGGTAGGTAGTTCCAAAACACTTGTGAAAAAGGTCTTTGTTTGGGATATACTCTCTCTGGAAAGGAACAAGGAGCTTATTTATCTGTGACCGAAAAAGAAAAGAAAAGGGCAAGCAAGCAACTTCTTTCCTTCTTTAATAAGAGTAAGGTGCAGGGAGAGAGACAATCTCACACTACTCTGAGAAACACTTAAAAGCAGGCAATTTTCTCCTCCCTCAGGCTCTGTGGTTAGGTGGTTAAAGTCTGAACCAAAGAGAAAGACTAGCAGCTTCTCTTCACAGCTTAGATAATCATTTCCTGTTTGTCCTTAGGCAGATTGCCTCATCATTTTCAGGAGCCTTGATTAAGAGTGTCTCAATTTACCCATCTAAAATAATAGCTGTTTCATCAGGGGTATTGTGGTGTTTAATTAAAGCCTGTGAAGGGTACTGAGATCCTCAGATAAGACTCTGTGTAAACACTAAGTAATGTATGTCTGCATATATACAGATATAAGCTAGGCCTGCAAAATTGAATTTATCTGACAAATTTTTTTTCATCCCATCAACCTGCCTCAAACTAGTTTTGTTGCCCCAGACTTAGAATAAAAATTCCTTCAGGGCAGTATACTCCAAGAATTGCCAAATGCTTAGATAAGGTGCCTTGGTAAAGCTTTAAGTGTCCCAGCCAACTTTAGGTCAGCTACCTTCTTACAATGCTTCCCAGACCTCAGGTATTCATTTCACAATTTCATAGATTTTACTATTTCTGCTTACCACCTGTACCATTGTTTAATATTTTCTAAATGGGATACTTATTTGCCTTAAAAAGTTTATTTAGGGCAAAAATTTCATGTGACTATTGTGCATAGAAAACAAGTGTTTTTCAGTAGCAAAGGCATAGAATCAACCTAAATGCCCATCAATGGTAGACTGGATAAAGAAAATGTGGTACATGTACACCATGGATTGCTATGCAGCCATAAAAAAAGAACAAGATCATGTCCTTCGCAGGAACATAAATGGAGCTGGAGGTCATTATTATTAGCAAACTAATGCAGGAACACAAAACTAAATACCAAATGTTCTCACTTATAAGTGGAAGCTAAATTATTAGAATACATGGACACAAAGAGAGGAGCAACAGGCACTGGGGCCAACTTGAGGGTAGAGGGTGGGAGGAAGGAGAGGATCAGAAAAAAATAACTATTAAGTACTAGGCTTAGTACCCAGGTGAAAAAATAATCTGTAAAACAAACCCCTGTGACAGAAGTTTACCTGTTTAACAAACCTACACATGTACCCCTGAACCTAAAATGAAAGTTAGCAAAAAGAAACGAAAACAAGTGTTTTCTAATATACATTAATTTAAGTACATATCTATTCAAAATTTTAAAAGTTTACTCATGTTATTTAAAAATTATCTTGTATATCAATAGTTTATGCATATCATGTTTAGATGAAGTAAAAAGTAAAAGATCATTCAAAATTGCATATAATCTCCAGATGATTTATATTTTATATATATAACACATTTTGATGCTATTCTTTTTGGCAGCTTTATCAATGAGCTATTGTAGTATAACAAACTACAGAGGTGTAGAATAATAATAATTTATTATTCTTTAAGGGTCTGTGGGTTGGCTGGGCAATTCTGCTGCTCTGAGCCAGGTTTGGCTGATCTTGGCTGGCCTTGGTCACACGTCTGTGATTAGCTGGCAGATTGGCTGGGGCTGGCTGGTATAGGATGGCCTCAGTCACATACCTGGTGGTTGTCCAGCTCTTGTCTTAGGGCAATGCAGTGACTGGATCACATGTCATTCATCTTTCAATAGACTATTCTAGACGTTCCCAGATAGGGTTTAGGGTTCTAAGAGAAAGCAGAAGTTGCAAGGCCTCTGGAGGACTAGGTTTGGAAAGAGAACCACCTAGACTCTCCCACATTTTACTGGCTAAACAAAATTACAGTGCCAATTTAGAGTGGTTTTGGTGGGGTCCAAAACTCTTTAGGGTTCCATATTCCTCCTAGTTTTACACGAAGCCATCCCTAGGCTGTGGCCGTCATCCTCATGCTCCAAGTAGCTGCTGGAGTTCCAGCCATTACATGCTGAGTTTGACCAGCAGGAGCCTGCAGGAGGCTGGTTAATGGTCCCTCAAGACATCCATGTCCTAAGTTTTACAACCTGTGAATATTACCTTATATGGCAAAAGGGACTTTGCAGATGTGATTAAATTAAGGATCTTCAAATTGAGAGTTTATCCTCAGTTACACAGGTAAGAATAATGCAACTACAGGTGTCATTGTAAGAGGGAGGGAGAGGGAGACTTGATTGTAGCAGAGACAGTAGGCAACATGATGACCAAAGTAAGATACGACACTGTTGGCTTTGAAAATAGAGAAAGGAGACAAGTAATGCAGCTCTGGAAACTGGAAAATGCAAGGAGATGAATTCCTCTCTAGAGTCTCCAAAGGGAGCATGGCCTGATGACACTTTGATTTCAGCCCAGCGAAACTAATTTTGGACTTCTGAACTCTAGAACTGTAAAATAATAAATCTCTTTTGTTTTAAACCACCAAGTTCATGGTGATTTCTTATAGCAGCCACAGGAAACTAAAGCAGAGGCTCACTAGATGTTCCACATAATACTTCCATTTTAACTCATTGGTCAAAATTTGGTTACATGGCTACATATAGCTGCAAGGGTGCCTGGGAAAGGTTTTTTTTTTTTTTTTTTTTTTTTTCTGGATGTCATTAGTGCCTCCTAAAGAAGAAGTGAATGCTGTTGGAAAACAACTCATCGTGTCAGCCACAGATGGAGAGATAGTAATCAAAGTACATTCAATATATACTGAACATTTAACAAATGTCAGGTATGTTCTGGGTTCTGGTTATACACTGGTGAACGATAGAGGCAAAATTTCTGCTCTCATGTAGCTCATATACTAGAGAGGGAATACAGAAAATGAACAAAGCTATAAATATATAAGGTAAAAAGGGATGTATGCTATTAAAGAAATAAAGCAGGGGCTGAGTATAGAGTTGGGAGATTCATGGCTATTTTGGAAAGGATTTTACAAAAGAATATGAGAAGCATCCTGTCATAAGATAATAGGGTGTAGTAGGCCAGGTGGTCAACTGGATAGTAACTGCTGTGACTAAAGGTATTTGAAATCAAACTTAGAATCTGCTTCCAAAATGACAATGTGAGGAGCTCTGTGGCTCTCTGCCCAGTGGAACAACCATAATTGATAAAAAATATTTTTTTAAGAAGCTAAAGTCTCTGAAATTGTTATAATGGCATATAGCAGATGATGAAATATTTTTTTAAATCGACTAAATCTTATTAAGAACAATGAGCATCTGTAGCATTTGAGTCATGACCTACTCTCTCCCTATCCTCCCTCCCCTGCCCCACAGTTCAAAGAAACTCCATTCCAAAAAGATGTGGCCAAGAAGATAGGGTACCCTCCTCTCTAAGCTCCAAGTCAAGTGGTGTAGAATCTTCCCTGGAGGGGCAGGTTTTTAGCATTTCTGATTCTCCTGTGCTCTGTGATACAGAGGCTAAATTCCAGGTAAGTGTGAATGAGAGGTTGGGGGATTCCCTTTCTCTACTCAGCCGCCAATCACAGGACAGAGGATCTACTCAGTTATAGCAAGCTGAGAATACTATAGCTCAGATGACACTCAACCCAGATCTCTCATAGGTAGAGGTTTTAGGCCAGCTGTCAGCAAAGGCTAGTCCAGAAGACCAGAGGCTGCTTCCCTCACTCAGTGTCCTGCTCATAAAGCAGGAGTGTCTCTTCAAGAGAAATGGGCCGCTCTTCCCAATCCTAGCTCCACAGAATAGGTACAGATGTTTTGCCAAGGGAGACAGGTATAAGAACAGAGTTCTGAAGTTTTCCTCTTAGGAACTGACTTTATTTGGAAGAAAGTGTGGTAAAGAAAGTTCAAGCCTAAGGGTGATCTCAAAAACTTGGAGATTTTTCGTGGTAAGGAGGCTGGTTGCAACATGAGAACAACAAACTAAACTATAGACCAACTAGTTTATTGAAGAGAACCAGGGAAAAAGCTAAGAAGAGCCTTACTTGGATCAGAACAAACCTCGAAAACTGGATTTAAAGCCTACCCTTGCAAAGGGGGCCTGAATTTATTTGCATCAGACTATGGGGCACTTTATGCTCCAGGAAATTGCCAAAAAATGATAGAGCAGTGAATCAGCAATTAGTGGAGCCTAACAGCTGGGTGTGATACCAACAGAAGCAGACAGCTTAACAGAAAGTTCAGAAAAAGAGACAGTGAAAGAGAGCCCTACTAAAAACACTCTCATCCCAGTTTAACTGTGGGCATGCCCAAGCTTCTTACTAAAGAGCAACAAAGTTGACAAGATCCCTTTGGCAAGTCTGATCATGAAAAAAAGAGAGACAGAGAGAAGACACTGATTGCTAAATTAAAGATTGGAGGAGGGGTTATTACCACTAACTTCACAGAATAAAAATGATTACAAACATATATTATAAACAATGGTATATCAGCAACTTAGATAACCCAGATGAAATGGACAAATTCCTAGAAATATACAAAGTACCAAAACTACTCAAGAAGAAATAGGAGAGCTGAGTAGATCCATAAAACACAAAGAGATTGAATTCAGGAGTAACAAAGTTCCCACAAAAAAAAAAAAAAAAAAAAAAAAAAAAAAAAGCCAGAACCAGATGAATACACTGGTGAATTTTACCAAAACTTAAAAAATTAATATCAATTATTCACCAAATTCTCCCAAAATATAGAAGAGAAAAGAACATTTCCCAGATCAGTCTATGAGGGCAGCGTTACTCTGATACTAAAATCTGACAAAGACATCACAAGAAAACTACAGACCAATACTTCTTACGAATATAGACACAAAATATTCAACCAAATACTAACAAACTGAGTTCCATAATATATAAAAGGGGTTATATTCCATAACAATGTGAGATTTATCCCAGGAATGCAAGTTTGGATGGACATTTAAAAATCAATTAATATAATATATCAGTAGAATCAAGAACAAAAAACATATAAGCATTTTGATAGATATAGAAAAAGTATTTGACAAAATTCCAGATCCCTTCATAACAAAAGCAATAAGACTAGAAGGAAATTTCCTTTACCTGACTAAGGGCACGTACAAAAACTCCACAGCTAACAGTTTATTTATGTATTTATTTAATTTTTTTTGAGACAGAGAGTCCTACACTGTTGCCCAGGCTGGAGTGCAATGGCATGATCTCAGCTCACTGCAACCTCTGTCCCCCGGGTTCAAGCGATTCTCCTGTGTCCGCCACCCAGGTAGCTGGGATTACAGGCACGCACCACCATGCCTGGCTATTTTTTCTATTTTTAGTAGAGATGAGGTTTCATCGTGTTGGCCAGGCTGGTCTTGAACTCCTGACTTCAAGTGATCTGCCCACCTCAGCCTCCCAAAGTGCTGGGATTACAGGCGTAAGCCACCGCGTCCAGCTGCTGACAATATATCTAAAGGTAAAAGATGGAAAGCTTTCCCTCCAAGATCAAAAACAAGACAAGAATATCCACTTATGCTATCTCAACCTTATACTTGAGGTTCTAGTCAAGGATATTAGGCAAGAAAAAGAAATAAAAGACATCCAAATTAAAAAGGAAAAGTAAAACTACTTGTATTAGCAGATGACATGATCTTGTATATAGAAAACTCTAAAGAAACTATTAAAACTAATAAATGAGTTCAGCAAGTTTGCAAGACACAGATCAATATTCAAAAATCAACTGTATTTGCACACTGTAGCAGTGAACAAACTGAAACTGACATGAACAGATTAAATCCATTTACAATAGCATCAAAAGAGTAAAATACTGAGAAATAACTTTATGAAAGAAGGACAAAATTTATACTCTGAAAGCTATAAAACACTGTTGAAAGAAATTACAGATAACCTAAATAAATAGAAAGTCATCCCATGTTCATGGATTGAATTACTTAATATTGTTAAGATGTCATTACTCCCCAAAATGATTCATAGATTCAATGCAATCCTTTTCAAGATCCAAAGTAGCTTATTTTTTTGTTTGCAAATATTGACAAGGTGATCCTAATGTTTATATGAAAATTCATGGAACCCGGAACAGCTAAAACAATCTAGAAAAAATGAGAAAAATGTTAGTGGATTCATATTTTGTTGCTACAAAAATGTAGCAAGTGGATTCACTTGCTACAATGCCAGTAATCAAGACAGTCTGGTACTGGCATAAGGATAAACATATACATGAGTGGAGTTGAAACGAGAGTCTGGCAATAACCCACCACATTTATAGTCAGCTGATTTTCTACAAAGGCATCAGAAGAATTAAATGGTGGTAAGAATAATCTTTTCAACAAATGATGCTGGGAAACTTGATGTCCGCCTGCAAAAGAATTAAGTTGGCCGTTTCCCTCACATCTGACACAAAAATGAACTCAAAATAGGTCACAGATCTAAAGGTAAGAATTAAAACTACAAAACTCTTAGAATAAAATAATCTTTGTAACTTTGCTAAGCAATGGATTCTTAGGTGTGACACCAAAAGCACAAGCAACAACAACAAAATAAATAACTTGGACTTAATCATTATTAAAAGCTGTCTCACTTAAAGGACACCATCAAGAAGGTAAAAAGACAACCCACGAAATGGGAGAAAATATTTGCAAATCATATATCTGATAAGTGACTTTTACCTAGATCATATAGAGAGCTCTTACAACTCAACAATAAAATGACAACCCAATTAAACAATGGGTAAAGATGCAAATAGTCATTTCTCCAAAAAACATATACAAAATGTCAATAAGCACATGCAAGGATGCTCAACATTATTAGTTATCAGAAAAATGCAAATTAAAATTATAATGAGCTACCACTTAACACCCATTAAGATGGGTATAATAAAAATTACAAATAATAACGTGTTGATGATGATGTGGAGAAATCAGGATTCTAATACACTACCAAAGGGACTTTAACATTTTGAAGCTGCTTTGAACAGTAGTCTGACAGTTCCTCAAAAGTTTAAACTTAGAGTTACTATATGATCTAACAATTCCACTCCTAGATGTATACCCAAGAGTAATGAAAACATATTCACACAAAAAGTTGTATACATATAAATGTTTATAGCAGCATCGTTCATAATGGCCAAAAAGTGGGGGAGAAACCCCCAAATGTCCATCAGTTGAAGAAAGGGCAAATAAAATGTGGTATATCCATATGATGGAATATTATTAGGCCATTAAAAGTTATAACATGTTACAGCATAGATAAACCTTGAAAACATGCTGTTAAGTGAAAGAAACCAGTCAAAAATGCCCACACATTGTAAGATTTCATTTATGTAAAATATCCAGAATAGGCAAATATATAGAGACAGAAATTAGATTAGTCATTTCCTAGGCCTGTGGGATTTAGCTAAGGTAGATGGGGAGTGACTATTCACTGGCATAGAGTTTCTTTTGGGAGTGATAAAAATGTTCTAAAATGGACTGTAGTGATGGTTACACAACCTTGTACATATACTAAAAACCACTGAATTTTACACTTTGTAAAGGGGTGAATTGTATCACATGTGAATTACATGTAAGTTTATATATATATAAGAGAATATGCTAGCTAAAAGAAAACTAAATAAACTACAATAACAAAAAACACATCTGGGGTTTTATTCAGCCCATGCATAACCAAATTGTGGTGCCTAAGGTAGAGTCTTTATAAGATCCCCTTCAACTTCAGGATGTTCATTTTATGGTAGAGAATCCTAACCTAGGAAAAAAGGAATTAATATCTGGTATACAAGACCAAGAAGGGATTATATTTATTCAGCTGACTAGCCTTAAAGAAAAACAAGGAGGAAAAGCTATGCATAATTGACCAAGCGGAGGAAAAAAAAGTTGGCTTCTAATCTCCAACTTAAAACAACATGGTCTGAAGACTAAAATTTTCTCCATGGCTGAGAACATCTGATCTTATGAACCCAGAGGCAGGAAGGGGTTTCTTGGGAAGAGCGAGCAGTTCTGTGTTGATCAGGCGCTCTCAACCGTGGAGAAAATTTTAGTCTTCAGACCATGTCCTGTTAAGTTTGGGATTAGAAGCCAACTCAGTTTAGAAATAGGAGTCCTGGCTAGGCGCGCTGGCTCACGCCTGTAATCCCAGCACTTTGGGAGGCCAAGGTGGGTGGATCATGAGGTCAGGGGTTCAAGACCAGCCTGGCCAACATGGTGAAACCCCGTTTCTACTAAAAATATAAAAATACAAAAAAATTTGCCGGGCGTGGTGGCGGGCACTTGTAGTCCCAGCTACTCGGGAGGCTGAGGCAGGAGAATGGCGTGAACCTGGGAGGCGGAGCTTGCAGTGAGCCGAGATCGCGCCACTGCACTCCAGCCTGGGCGACAGAGCGAGACTCCGTCTCAAAAAAAAAAAAAAAAAAAAAAAAGAGAGAAAGAAAGAAAGAAAAAAGAAATAGGAGCCATTGGTTCAAATTCAGGTACTGCCAACCATTATTATAAACTTGGACTTACCATCCCCAGGCCTCAGTTTCCTTATCTATGAAACAAGACAATCAGTGCTATTCTGAAAACTTGTTGGGAGGATTAAATAAATATGGTTACTAAGTGCCTGACATATTAATTTCCATCCATCCTTTTGTGTGTTAGAAAACCAAGCCGTAGAGTATAAAATGCTACAGAAAAAATATTTCTTCCAGTTCACTAGCATGGATCCAAATCTACCACCCTGTTCCATATTGTCATTTCTCCCTTTTAAAAAATTCACTATGTACGGTCTTTCTGTATTCTAGGGGAAGCCTAATTGGTTATCAGCATAAGAGTATGTGATTTAGAAAATAGTGTTATTTCATCTAAGTGAGAAAGAATTCTCTATCACCACCACTACTACTACCAAATAGCACCAACCTGCTGCCTCTGGATTTCTCTCTCTCTCTCTCTCTTTTTTTTTTTGAGATGGAGTTTTACTCTGTCACCCAGGCTGGAATGCAGAGATGCAATCTTGGCTCACTGCAACCTCTGCATCCCAGGTTCAAGCGATTCTCCTACGTCAGCCTCCCGAGTAGCTGGGATTACAGGTGCCCGCCATCACGCCTGGCTAATTTTTGTAGTTTTAGTAGAGACGGGGTTTCAACATGTTGGCAAGACTGGTCTCAAACTCCTGACCTCAGGTGATCCACCTGCCTCAGCCTCCCAAAGTGCTGGGATTACAGGTGTGAGCCACTGCACCTGGCCTGGATTTCAAAGTAAATTGGGATAAAGGACAGAAAATGATTTCCCCAGACAAAATAGAATTCAGCTTTGAACATGTAAGGTTTCTAAAGAATAATCTGGTATTAAATCCTGTGCATGCAGCCAAGTGCTGCAAAGAAGAAGTACAAGGTGTTGCTGGAGAATATAGAGCAGGAGGACCTAACTTTGCTCAGCTGGGTCTTAAAGGAGCTGCATCACCATTTCCGCTTCCCCACCACTCCCCACCGAACAGTTTGAAAGTGGCCTTTTTGAAGTTGGTCTTTTAAGCAATCATTTGCTGTCTTTAAAAAGTTTTAAATGGCTGTCTCAGTAAAAGTGAAATCAATATTCCTTCAGCCTGGGCTTTTAGCAGATAATGTCTCCCCATAAATCATGAGCATAATGACATTGGAATAATTCATCATCTCATTACATTTACAGATGATGCGCCACATTGTTCTGAGGTGAAGGTTATCTTCCCTGCCTGGGACTCCATCCAGAAACAAATAAAAGACCAAGGAACCTGATTATTTCATGGTCCGTTTATAGAAGTTGTTGTGGATCAGTTTTCTGTCTGTCAGCTACTTTTTCTTTACAGTCCTTCCTTGAACTCACTGCAGGGATATATCCTTCTAGCTCAAGAATTTCAATAACCTTTAAAACTTTATTTGTTGAAGAGGCACTTGTCTAGGTTGAAGATGTTCTGTGGGCTTCTTTTTCTATCAGTGCCAGATCTAAGGTCATTGGTAAAACAGTCAAGGATTTATTGAGCAGCTACTATTTGTCAGGTTATGGCACTGGATGCTGACGTGTTCTGTTCTCGTTGAATGTACCATCACAGTGGGGAAGATCATCAAGAACTCTTTACAAATAATCATACCATCATTGCTAGTGGTAAGTACTGGGGAAGGGAGACAAAGGGTGCTATTAATAAAAGAACCTTCTACTTGATCGGGTGGGGCATGAATTATAGAAGGCAACTCTAAAGCAATACTTAAGATCTAAACGTTAGGTATATGATATCTGTGGACTCAATACTTGATGAAGGACAGGATGAATGAACAAAAGCAACAGCAAAGAAGCAAGGGAATGGATAAATAGTTCAGATAATGGCTCTAGATGTCGAGGACTCATTCTTTACCCAGTCAAGAAGAGCTGAATTGGTAACTGTCAATGAAGATATGCGTAGACCTGTGGCATTATCCCTTTAGCACAAACCCTTACTATTTATACAGACTGCTGAAGTCCTGGTTTGGGTAAGTGCTTCAGAAGTAAACAGACTTGACTGTAAATTTCAGTTACCATGTTTGGTTAATTCCATTGAAGCTTTTAGTAGTAATTTCTGAATCCCAATTTCTTCAACTGTGTAATAGGAATAATAAGACCTCTTAAGGATGCTGTGAAGATTAAAAGAGAACATGTGTACCAATGCAGGAAGATACAGAGATTAAGAAGCTAGGCTGGGTTCCCTAGCAAGTTTTGTTTGAATCCCTGCTGGGCCACTACCTAGCCACGTAACCTTGGCAAATAGCTATTCTTTAACACAACATGTATGTTCCATAAAATCACTGCATTATGCTAAATTGGGCAATACAAACCACAGAGCTTATGAGGAAAATGGGGCTCAGGGCACAACACAAAACCACTTTTTCAATGACATGTTAAAAAAAAAAAGATAGAAACCTAATGTTAAAAGAAAAAGTTTAGATAAATTAAATTTAGTAGAGTTTATTTCAGCAAAGAATGATTCATGAATTGGGAAGCCCCCAAAATTTGACTTAAGTAATTTTACTAGACAATGAGTGTTACTTCTTGGTGAGCAAGGGATTTGACTTGTTACACAGGAGAGCTTGAGAAGGCTTCATGCAGCCATGTGGGGGGCAGTCAGTATTTATAGACAGAGTAAGGAAGTGAGGTGTAACAATAGCCTGATTTGTTATAGTTTGGTAGTTTGCCTTATTTGACATGGTGTGATCATTTGGCAGCCTGTAATTGGCTGAAGCTCAGCCGCTATGATGGGCTGAGACTCAGCTATTTGTCACAAGAATATACTTGTAAGTTAGGTTGCGTTTTGATACATATGGACTCAAGATATGGAGACAGCTTTAGGCCAAATTTAATTTGACACTAAAAAAAAACCAGTAGACAACTTTACACTTGATAAATTGCTAAAAAATAACATAAATACAACAATAAATATGGCACTCCGCCTGGAAAAAGACCTAGGGTTTGCCTATGGAAGTGAGGTGGAAAGGGTTGCAACTTGCCAGCTACTGTGAAGTGGCAGGAGCTGGTTATCTGGAATCCTAGGGAAAGTTGTAGCACCAGTTGAGGATGGCGTGGCTCATAACACACATCAACCATGTTGGAACAAACGTGCATTGTAGCAGAATCAGATGTGCTTATCCTTGCTCTGCCTCAGTTCTCTCATCTGTAAATAAGAATGATCGTGGCACCTGCCTTGTAGGGTTGTTATAATCATGATTATACTAGATGGTTCCAGGTAAAGTGTTTAGCACTGGGTCTGGCATATAGGTTTGGTGTCTTTCCCCTGGGCATTTATCATTCCATCTTATGTTAAATTTCACTTAAAGAATTTTACTAGAGGGCTGGGTGTGACGGTTCACACCTGTAATCCCAGCACTTTGGGAGGCTGAGGCAGGTGGATTACTTGAGGTCAGGAGTTCGAGACCAGCCTGGCCAACATGGTGAAACCTGTCTCTGCTAAAAATACAAAATTTAGCTGGGTGTAGTGGCAGGTGCCTGTAGTCCCAGCTACTCAGGAGGCTGAGGCAATAGAGAATCTCTTGAACCCAGGAGGCGGAGGTTGCAGTGAGCTGAGATCGCGCCACTGCACTCCAGCCTGAGTGACAGAGCGAGACTCTGTCTCAATTTTTTTTTTTTTACTAGAGGATAAGTGTTACTTCTTGGTGAGCAAGGAATTCAACTTGTTGCGCAGAGCCTGACAAGGGCTCACAAACCTACACAGTCATGATACCTATGCAGGGTCTCCTACTCCTGTTTCTCAAACAGGCCTGAGAGGGGAGGCTGAAGACCATTTCTTCCTGGGGAGGAGGCAGGAAGGAGAAATGGCAGCCATGGCTCCCTAGACTCAAGGAAGAGACGAGGACCACGGGTAAGTGTTCCCAGCCCACCAAGAGAGTAGTTCTATATTAGCCATCGCCTCCGTTCCCACTGTTCCTGCGCATGGTGCTGGAGTTGAGTCATATAACCTCTCATTAGCTGTAATCCACTTCCTGGTGACTCTCCAAACTGAACCTGAATTCCAGAGATTTCCCTATCAGTTATCACAGTTGGCCCAGCCTGCCCTGAAACCCAGATAGGTAATTTCATCTTTCATCTGTCCTCCTTCCTGAGTGTCTGCAGACAACTGGCTAAGAACAGATATGAGGGGGCCAGGGCATGACTCACAGGGTTTTGTTGGCTGAGCTAGAGAACAAAGGAGACCGGCTTGTGTGAGGAACATGAGAGTTGTTTGCAGGACACTCCTGAGGCATCATTGCAGGGGGCTGTGTGGGCTTCCCTGGTGTGGTTTGCTTCCAGCTAAATCTCCTGCAAGCTCCTGAGTCATATACTCCTGAGTCTGTATGTTTCTTCTCCATGGGTTTCTACTCCAACCTGTGTGCTTGGAGGGTACAGTGCTGCCTCCTCCTTAGCCTCCATCCCTGGAATGCCTCATTTTACAGGAGATACCCCACTCTCCTTCCAAGAGTGACCTCAACCCCTATACCTCCATTGCCACCTTCTATTGTCACTCCTGGCTCTGAATTCATCCCTTGTACCCTTACCAATAGCCCCTTGACACTTCATCATGTATGTCTCTGGGACCCGAAGTTCTTTGATCATTGTCTTTTATTGTAACCCCACCTCCAATCATCCAACTAAGAATAGAAGGGTGGTGTGGTTAAGAGCACAGTCTTTGGAGGCAGACAAATCTAGGCTGGAATTCTGCCTTTTCTGCTTATAAGGGGAAAGACACTTCACTTCTCTAAGAATTAACTTTCTTATCTGCAAAATGGGAATAGTGGTGCCTGCCTCCTTGGGGTTTCTGAGGATTAAATGAGTAATGTCTGTGAAATACACAGAATAGCACCTGACAGATTAAATACTCTATTAATGTAGCTGTTGTTATAGTTAAGATGCTTAACTTCTTATGAACAGTGGCAGTGGCATTGCAGAGCTAAATCTACACAGTAGGAAATTTACAAATATTTATCCAATGAATGAATTATCACTCATCATTAATGTTGAGTGTTCAGTCCGTATATTTTATATGAATGATGCATTCATTCCATACATTTTTTAACAAACCATACTTACATTTGCCTTTTATTTTTTATTTTTTAATTTCAATAAATTTATGGGGTATAAGTACACTTTTGTTACTTGCATAGATTGCATAGTGGTGAAATCAACACTTTTATAAAGAGTATCCATCACTCGAATAACTTACATTGTATTCGTTAAATAATTTTTCATCATCCACTCCCTCACCCTTCTGAGTCTCCATTGCCTATCATTCCACATTCTACATCTACATGTATACATTATTTAGCTTCCACTTATAAGTAAGAACAGGTGATATTTGTCTATCTGTGTTCGACTTGTTTCACTTAGATAATTACCTCCAGGTCCATCCATGATTCTGCAAAGACATGATTTCATTCTTTTCTACAGCTGAAGAGTATTCCATAGCGTGTGTGTATATAGATAGATAGATAGATAGATAGATAGATAGATAGATAGATACATAGATAGTCATTGCCCCCTGGAGTTTCAAATCCAACAGAAGAAATATAATTCAGGGAATTTCACATTCTTGACTTTTTCCCCTGTGCAATTGTCTCCTCATGGAATTTTGGCACACATTTACTTAAAAATACACACATACACACACACACAGTATTTGAGCACATCGGGGAATAAAATATAGAACTTGTCTAGCAAAATGATTATATATATATATATATACACACACACACACACACATGCCCATCCCCACCCCCTATTTATGTATATATATACACACACACCACATTTTCTTTATCCAATTATCCATTGATAGACAATAAGGTTGGTTCCATATTGCAGCACTTAGTGCTGTAACAAATATATGTAAGTATCTTTTGAATATAATAATTTTTTCCTTTGGATAGATGCCCAGCAGTGGGATTGCTGGATCAAATAATAGTTCTACATTCTTAGAGATCATTTAATATGTGCCAGACTCGAGAAGGGAAAGAGGATATAGGAGTAAAGAGGATAGATAGTCATTGCCCCCTGGAGTTTCAAATCCAGCAGAAGAAATATAATTCAGGGAATTTCACATTCTTGACTTTTTTCCCCTGCGCAATTGTCTCCTCATGGAATTTTGGCACAAATTTACTTAAACACACACACACACACACACACACACACACATAGTATTTGAGCATATCAGGGAATAAAATATATAACTTGTCTAGCAAAATGATAAGTGACATAGTCAAAATATTGATGAACTAACAGGCGAATGGCAAATGCCAAAGCCCTGAAATCAATTAGGCAGCATCACTAAATGTCAGCTACCAGAATAATTCCACCCCTTGTGGCCTGCCTGGTTTTCATGAGGTTTGTGGTCTGCAGGATTATAAGGTTGGATTTAGAGGCTGCCTTATCATTTTGACTGGATTCCCCATTTAATGAAAAAGGCCTAGTCACATTCAGGAAATATTAGCGAATGGTTTTTAAGATGAAGGAATTAGCTTAATTGGTTGAATACACATTAGACGGAGCAGTGTTTCTGAAAGTATGGATTCCAGGGGACAGCATCCAGTATTGTTTTGGTTTTGTTTTGTTTTTAACAGGTATCTCCAGTCGATTCTGCACAGGTAGTATACACAGAGTATAGTTTGAGAAATACTGCTTTAGAAAAGGTAGATGGATTTAATTCCTGAAAGTCATAAAAATATGGTCAAAATGGGTGTGAGCAACACCATTAGACAATCTGAATGAGAGTGGGTGTAAATTTGTACAGTGAGAATTACATCTAGGTGGAGAAATGACTTGGAAGCTTGAGTTGCAGTCTGGATTGCTCCACATTTACATTTTCATACATCCCAGAAGTATGGAATCCATTTCCTCAAACTTTAAGCTTTATTAACTCAACCTTGGTCTCACAGTGCCTGCATAGCACTTTGGAGATAGAAAATACTAAAAAGACTTCTTTGAAGGGCTTTTCTGTTGATTTGGGAGAATAAGGTATGTTCATAAGGCTTTTAAATATCAGCATGGGTTAGCAGATAATTAGTTGTTGATATGAACCCTAGAAATAATCAATGTAATGGGAATTCAGAAGTAGGAGAGTTCTGGTCCAGCCAGCAGGCTAAAGGCAGGCCACGTTGAAGGTGAGGGACTGTATGAGCTCTATAAGGGATAAAGGGTGTATCCGGGAAGAAAGTGACACTAGGGCATCCCTTGTGGGGACCACAGCACAAATTCTGTGGGAAAGCGTTGAAGAGTGTTGGCTTGATATTTCTATCAGACATTGGTTCTCAGAAGGAATATGACTATCAGAAGGCTTTTCAGAAATCTTTGGGAGTGATTTAGGTTGTCACAACTGGGGAGATACTACTGTCATTTAATGAGTCAAGTCTGGAAGTTGCAGGCATCCTACAATATGTGAAGTAGACACAGAAAATAGTAAATTTTCCTGAGTCCTGGATGCCTTTCAGATGTCCTGCTGGACATTCATGTGGTTGAAAACCTGCATATATTTATTTTATGTATAGCCTAGACTACATGATTGATAGATATAGATATAGATATATAGACAATGCTTTAGTATTATTATATTTTCCAGGACTGCAACTACAGAGGATAGGTTGTAGTTGACTACCTTCAGAGTTTTACCAAGCATTGTTCACCATTTCAGAATATCATATCACCAATCAACAATGACAGCACCACTCATGGAAATTTCACTTTGAGAACTGGTTTAAGTTTGTAGCTGTCAGACTCACGGTAATTCTGTGCATATATATATGATTGTCCTTAGTTCTTATTTCAAACCGTCAAATGGAAAGTGAAGGAATGAACAATATTCTGTGTGTATTCTAACTTTTCAAAAATCAACAATGATTTTATATAAATGGATGCACAGATCAGTATGTTTCTAGTGTAATCATGCCTGAGCACTTATATTTTAAAATGTTATTTTAAGTTAATTTTCTCTATTTCTCCTCTATCTTGTAGTGAAGTCATCATGTTAATGTTTTTCAAACTGTTGGCTATGTTGTGAAATATTCATAATAGAAAGGAGATGTAGGGCTTGATAAGCATTAAAAACTCCTGGATTAAGAAATCAAATCTGAGAATTACAAGGTCATATTTGCTTAAATTCACTGTAGTGGGGGCTGGGATGGGCATGGAGTGGGGTGAACTTCTGTTCAGCTTTACATCTTTCTCCCTAGTGCTGCGATAACTGGTTTGCTCAAATACATCAAGTTTTAGTAATTTATTTTAGCAAGAGGTAGGTAGATAGGCTTTTTATATTTTTTCAATATTTAAATTATTTATATCTGGTGTGGATGTTTATAGAATAACGGATTTGGCCAAGGAAATGGCTGTTGTATGGCTTCTTTATCAGCGTCTTCAGTGCATCAAAATGCTTTCCTTCTGTTTAAATACCATAGGGGTCTCTGCTGAGAAGTATTATCTGAATAAGCCATTTTTGTGATAAGAACACACCCCAACAGCCTTTCCCCCAGTTCAGCTTATGTTCTTAAGCTCTGCAGAGAAGTTTCTCTTTTTTCTTTTTACAAACTAAGCAACGCTTTTCCCCTGAGAGATGGCTGAGGCTTCCCAGAACTCCATGCTTCTCCAGAAACTATCCCTCAGGCAAGTCTGAGGTCCACTTAAACCAAACTTTGGCAAGAGGGAGAAATCTCATGTTTCCGCAAAGATAAAATGAAGTGGCAAGGCATGGGGGTAAAGTCTCCAATAGTTGGAGCTAGAAATTGTTCATAATTATGATGAGAGATTTGGTGTCAGGATAAATCTTAAGCCTGCTTTCCCAATATTCAAGGATGGCAGGATGTATCACAGGGTCTTGTAAGATTTTACCAGGAGAAAATAAATGTGTTGCTTTCACTTAGAAAACAAGTATATTTTATGTGTCGCGTTAATAAACAAGAGAATAAAGCCATAAAAGCAATAGTGATCAGTTACAGAAACACGAGCTGCATATTGCTGGTTAGGTGTTTAATAAAAAGATCATGTAGACCAAGGCTCAAAGATCCCCCAGTCATTGTTTAAGATGGATTTCCATGCTGAGGGCTAAATAACCAGGAAACAGTAAATGTGATGCTCATTTTATGTTGAGATTGCATCCAGATGCCATCTTTGCTGTTCTTGGGCCTGACATACCCATTAAAGGGAGGTTGTTTAGACCACAAATGGTATGCTAAATAAATAAAGCTTATTGGTGGTAAGGATGCAGCTTTGATTACTCTGAAAATTAGGTATTTTCACCAAGAAAATGCTTTTTGTAATTCGATATACTCAAGAATTTTGATCTAAGAATCATTTCAGGATGGTTGCCTGCTGCTGAGTACATCAAATAGACTGACTTTGGTTTGGGTTTTGGTTTTCTAGGAAGCTGTTTTGGCATCAGGTAGACGTTGGCTAAAACTGTCAACTGGGCAATATTCAACAGTATGGTCATGTTTAAGAGCTTGGGCTTTGCAGGCTAATAGATTTGGGTTTAAAACCCCAGACTCTACTCATGAACTAGGGGTCTTCTGGAAAGTTACTATAAAAGCAACAACAATGACAACATCGTATTATCAACAATTTTAAACATAAACAAAATTAGAGAAAATAACTCAGTGATCTTCTGTGTACCCATCACTAGCTTCAAAAATTGTCAATATTTGGAGCAAGTTACTTAACCATGCTCTCATCAGTAAAATGGAATTCACAATAATTCTCACATTCAAGAGTTCGTGTAGGGATTATAAAAGCAATAGTTTATATATATTACCTTTAAGCACAGAGGCTGAATATAATAAGTGCTCTCAAAAGTTTATTCCATTTCGAACTAGGAATACCTTTGGTTTAAAGACACAGCAACCTATGCTGAATGAAAAGTAGGATCTTTGTGGTTTTACTGGCCTTTAGAATTTCACAAAGAATATAGCCCCTTAGCATAAAATGATTAGATCTTATATTTAAAAAATAACCCCCCAGATGGTACAGGGATCTGATGCTGAGCTAGCCAAGGCTGTGTCTCAGCAAAAATTCGAAATGACCCATGAAAGGCAAAAACTTCCTTAAAGAAGATGATACTGTCCTTGAAAAAAAAATTGTCACAAAAAAACAAAAAGTCTGTGGCTAGAAAATCTTACCCCAATGAAGGAATATCCTTTCTGCTCAGGTCTACAGGCCACCAGTGCTATAGATGACCTCAGAGTAAATAGCAGTCCTGCCATTTCCTTTTGGCTATTCTCAGAGGCCTTTATGGCAGTGAGGGAGAGCATTCTTTTGGTGCGAGAAATAGTTACTGCTCTTGGGTTAGACTAAGAAAGTTTTGCTGAGCTTCAGGATCCAGAGTGATTAATTTACAGAAAGCGCTCAAGGGTCTATCAGATGGGGCTTCCCTGCCAGGAGAGGTGTTGGGGAAGGCTAGTTTTCTAGGATGAAAACTGAGCTGCTTTGCTGAGTAGATCAGAAAAGGGGGTACGCTGGGGGGAGAAATGTAGTTTTAACCCTGATTTGTAGCGATTATTATGACCATCAAAGAGTCCTTTGGTAGAGCAAATAAGGATATAGAATTTTAAAAATCTACAAATTGGGATATTTATTTTGGAGCCAAAAGCAATTTAATTTTAAAATGGGAGCAACACCATAGAAAAAATACTTTTAGGTCTTATCCTTCCACTTATACTGGTGTGACCTTGAACAAATTCCTTAACCTATCCTATCTTCAGTTTCCTTGTCTACAAAATGGAGATTATAATAGTCTTCCTACCCTGAGGTTTTTGCCAGGGAGAAAGAGATAACACAGGTAAATACATGTGCATTGCTTTTAAATACTAGGTAAAGACTCATAACATCACCATCACAATCATCATCGTGGTCATCATTAGTATTATTACTATTTTGGTGAGTTGATCAATGATGCTACTGGATGGAGAACTTTTTCTGAATGGCATTTCTCTTGCCGTTGGCTTGGACATAGGCAGGTAAACTCAATGTGGAAATTTTGATGCAGTAATTATTTGTTTTTCTTGTAGCAAATTGCAGAGAATCCATACATGTAAGGACCGTGCACTAACTGATTGTGCCAGTGGAGCTCCATGGAACCCATACATAAAGCACACCTCTTCTCTTCTCCTTGGCATCCAACCTGCTGGCTCTACAACTACTTTCAACAATGAGTCAAGGCTGTACCTGGCAAGATGGAAATTCAAAATCAACAACGAAAGCTATTTATTTTGGTTTTGATCCTAGCCCTGGGCCTTTTACTAAGTATTCAGAACTGATTTAATGAATGAAAAAATGAATGAATGGTATACATTTCCATTGTCTATTCTGCTTCTTTTCCCTAGGGAACTGTGTTAGGCCATGATTTCCTTGCTGTTTTTTTCATATGGTTGTTTTATTTGCACAACGCTAAATTAAATCAACTAGTTCCATTCATGTATTTCTCTCTTGTTTTATAACCACCTGATTTCTTATTTTTATTTAAACAGAAATTAAATAGTAAAAACTTTGGAGTATTTAATTTTACTTAATTAAAAATTGTTTTAAAAAATAAACGTTTACCTGAAATGAGTATTGAATTTTGAAAAGCACCTTCAACAAACCCCTTTTTGGATGAGTTCAATAATGGTTGAAGAGGGCACAATTCATGGTGAATGAATTTGAAAGTGTAATAGATTTAAAAGTGTTTTAAAGGGGCTAATATAGAAAAGCCCAAACAAATTATTCAGGATTTAAGGATATTATTTAGAAAACATGCTTTCTTGTATGACTGTTTCTTATTCTCCTTTGTGGTTGCTTGAGCACCACTAGAGTGACTCTGTTATAATGGAATTGTTTAACACAAAGTATGCTGAGCAGTTAATACTTTACAACTATATTTTAAGGTATGTATTGTTATGCTTTTTAAATCATAAATTAAAAAATAAGCCTCAGAGATATTGAGTATCTTGTCCAAGTTTGCACCAGTGGAAATTTACAAATCCAAGGTTTGTGTCCTGATTTAACCGGCTCTGAATTCCAGATTCTAAATTTGCTGTCGAGCAGAGAGTGATTTGCACTAGAAAAGTAAATTGTTTTCCCACTTAGGCAGACTTCTCACATAAGTAAAGGACTTGTGAGATCTTTAACTTTACATTGCCTTTACATTACTCTGGTCTAGTCAGTAAATAGTCCCATGATTGCCCATTCTGCAAAGTTAATTGGCCAGTGAGAGAAATAAGATCAGGACCTACAGCCTCATATTCTTGAGATCTCCTTTAGTGACAAATCAGAGATGATATGTTTCTTGTTAAGAGCAGGTAAATTTTTGCAACTCTTCTGTGTGTTGAAACAAATAAAAAATAGATAAATTGTAATATTTAGTAAAAATATTCGTAGGCCATAATTCAAATTAGAGTTGCAGGAAGAGTAAGTGGGAGGTAAAAAAAAAAAAGGAGAGTGAACTTCTGATTCATTTGGCAGTGAATAGGGAGGGAAAATAACGTGTTTGGGCTATAACTGGGAGGGAAGGATATTGAAAATAATACTAAGTGAAGGTTGGAGATTAAACACTCTCTTCCCCCAATGTCAGTGGTGGCCTAGTCCCAACTTCTCCTCTGCTTCTTCACCAAATTACCTCTCACCATGGTTACCTCCACATTGCTAAACTCCCAACTTCTCCTCTCCTTCTTCACCAAATTACCTCTCACCATGGTTACCTCCACATTCCTAAACAGACATTCTTTAGTCTTCATCTTAGTTGTCATCTGAGCATCACTGGTACTATTGCCTACTGTTTCTTCCCTTTCCCTGATTTCTGGGCACAATTCTCTCTGTTTATTTTCCTAGTGTTCCTTGTCCTCCTTTGTAGGTTCTTTTTCTTTTACCCAGCCATTAGCTGTTGGAGGTCCTAGGCCCTCTCTTCTTACTCTAATTTCTCTACCCAGTGATCTCATCCACCCCTGTGGTTTCAAGTTGCATATATACTCAGATGACTCATGGTTTTATCTCCAGTCTTGATCTTGCCCTTAACTCCAGACCCATATATCAACTGTCTACTTACCATCTTTTGAATGCCTTGAAGGTACCTTGCGTTCAGCATGTCCAGGACTGAGCTCATGATCTTCTCTCCCAGGCCTGGTCCTCTTCCAGGGTCTCTCTCGCTGAACAACACCACTGTTCTGTCTACTTGCTCACGCAGAAGCCAAACAGCTAATCTCTCCCTTAACCCCCTTATTCATCACCAAGTTCTACTGATTTCACCGACTAAATCTCTCTTGAATCCACCTACCTCTGTCTACCTCCTTGGCCATCACCTTAGGCCATGCCACAGTGGTGTCTTTTCTGAGCACTGCAGCTTACCCTTGGGCTGATCTACCTGCATCCACCCTGGCCTCTCTACCATCTTGTCTCTACCCTGCATTTTTCAAAATGTAAATTGCATCATGTCACTCCCGAGCTTAGAATCCTCCCATTATTTTTCATTCTTCTTAGGACACAGTCAGAAATCGGCCCCATAGCTCACCAGGTGCTACCTAGTCTAGGGCAGTGGTTCTCAAAGTGTAGTCTTGGAATCCATCAGCATCACCCAGTAGTGTGTTTTGAAATTCAACATCTTACGTCTCACTTTAGATCTGCTGAGTCAGAAACTCTGGGGAAGGGGTCCAACAGATTGTGTTTTCACAAGCCTTCCAAGTGATTCTGATGTATATACTCAAGTCTGAAAACCACTGCTCTAGGGCCCACCTACCTTTCTGGCTATATACAGTCTCTTGCTCTCACGTTCCAGACTCTCATAGCTTGCTTTTATTCCCTCATCAAGCATACATTTCCTCCTACCACAGGGCCTTTGCACAGCTCTTCCTTTTTCCTTGAACACTTCTCCTTCTTCTCCTTCTCTGGTTAACATCTACTCCTCCCTCAGGTCTCAGCTCAATAAAGCTGCCTAGGACCAATTTCTCCTAATGATATATATTGCTCCTTTATAACACTTAAAACAGCTGTGTATTTGTCATTTTTGTGTGGTTATTGATTAACATCTATCTCCCCTACTATACTATAAACACCAAAAGAATTGAGATGGTATGTGTTTTTGTTTATTATCTGCACTATTTTGTTCTAGGATAGTAATAGTACATACTCAGATATTTGTTGAATGAATGAATGAATGAACCTTCCTGTATAGTCTCTGCATACTGTTTGAGAGCACAGGCATATTGGAATCCTCATGGGCAGCTCCCAGTCCCCTCATTTTGTAAAGTGGAGATACCTACCTCATAGACTGGTTGAGGCAATTATATGAGGTAATACATAAGCAAAACCTAGCACAGGGCCAGACACACAAGTCCTTCATAAATCTTAGCTCTGAGCATTATTATTATTATACTCTATTGTTATTATTTCAGTTTCCATACTCTCCCTCAATCATAATGGTTGAGTGTGGTTGAAACCAAACAGTATAATTCTTGGTAAATATGTACATTTTAAAATTATAAGATGAAAATAAATGGTTGTACATTTTCTCCATTTTTTAAAAAAATTATGTATCACCCAATGTATTTGCCCCAGAGAGCTCTTGTTAGCCCAGTCACTGGTTTCTAATGCCATTCGTTTATTAATTCAGTTATGACTATTAATAATTCAGTTATGATTTATTCAGTTATTAATGCAGTTATGACCAAGATGGGCAGGGATCCACATGAAGTTCACAGTCAAGTGCAGAATAAGATATTAATAGTCCAATGGGGAAATACTTCACCACAGTGCCAGTGAAAACGATACAGACAAATACAAGGTCCTATGTGTTTGTGAAACTGGAGGACCAATAGGCAAAGAGGGGATTTTCCACCTTGAGACCACCTTTGGCTTTCAGATAGAAGTCACCTGACATAAACCAAACTAACCAATTGGTGTTCATGGCAGCATGTGATGCAAACAATTAGGTGAAGTCGATGCGTTTCTCCCAATCTGAATCAAACTGGTCTCTGTATGTGTTAATTTGGTGTGTTCCTATGAACGAGGTTTCCATGAAAACTAGCTAAAAGGGGAACAGTGCTGAGAGCAGTGGCTCACACCTTTTATTAGACCATTTTCATGCTGCTGATAAAGACATATCCGAGACTGGGTAATTTATAAAGAAAAAGAGGTTTAATGGACTCACAGTTACACGTGGCTGGGGAAGCCTCACAATCATGGGAGAAGGTGAAAGGCATATCTTACATGGTGGCAGGCAAGAGAGAAGTGAGGCAAAAGGGGATTCCCCTTATAAAATCGTTGGATCTCATGAGACTTATTCACTACCACATGAATTCACTACCACACTTATTCACTACCACATGAACACTATGGGGGAAACTGCCCCCATGAATCAAGTATCTCCCACCAGGTCCCTCCTACAACACATGGGAATTATGGGAGCTACAATTCAAGATGAGATTTGGGTGGGGACACAGCCAAACCATATGACGCCTGTAATCCCAGCACTTTAAGAAGCCAAAGCAAGTGGATTACTTGAGCTCAGGAGTTTAGGCTTGGGAAAGGAGAAACCTCGTCTCCACAAAAAAAAATTACAAAAATTAGCTGGGCATGGTGGCACACACCTGTAGTCCCAGCTATTTGGGAGGCTGAGGTGGGAGGATTGTTTGAGCCCAAGAGGTTGAAACTGCAGTGAGCTATGGTTGTGCCACCGCACTCCAGCCTGGGTGACCAAACGAGACCCTGTCTCAAAAAAAAAAAAAAAAAAAAAAGGAAGTGGGGAGGAATACAAGGGAAAAACCAGGTGGGAAGCCTGCATTGTCAAGATGCCTCCCAGTTGCTCTCTATGCACACTTAGCATTTGAAAACTATTCCTTTCTAGGCCCTCTGCCTGATTTCCCTTTGGCTGGCTCTGATTTCTTTACCACTCTGAACACCTGGGGCCAAGGCTCTTTTTCATAGTAGTTTGAAAGCAATCCTTTCTCTTTCTTTTTACTCAGTTTGATCCAGGCCTTAATCTTTGAACAGCATCAAATATTCTTTGCCATTTGATAAAGCTGGGGTTGGAGGAATCCAGAGTTTTCAAAAGCAGGTTTTGGGTTACCATTGGAGATCCAGTGAGTCTTTCAGCAAGACTAACTCTAAATCATCCAGGCTCAATTAGTTCATTTCAAAGAAATACCCAGGTGTTGTTTGACCTTCAAACATATGGACTGCTGAAGTAAATGAAAGTCTTGCTTGTTCCCATAATGCCGAGGGAACTAGAAGGGGCAATTCTTTTTCATATTCTCTGAGTTTTGAGGAGGGATTATTAGGTTTGGGCTAAATGAATTATTTGCTTTAGTAATATTCTCAGCAGTGAGCTGCAGTTGCCTTTGCTGAGGGAAAAACCAGATGCGAGCTGTCACTAAGCACCACTAAAATAGGGAAAGGTATGGGCCACTATAGGTGGAGCCGGGGTTTTGAGATGCGGGGCCAGCAGACTAGTCTACGGTGAGAAGCAGTAAGGTAGGTGTAGGGCTGAGTGTAGTGTGAAGGTCTCAGTTACCTGACATCAGGAAAACGTTGGTCGTATGGAAACACAGTGGCTTTTTTTTTTTTTTTTTTTGGCTGTTTTCCTGTATTGGGAGTGGGTGCTGTCTTTTAAGACTGAGACTCCTGACTTGGTATGCGGAGGTGTTTTTTTGGTTTTTGTTCGGACTGTTCTATCCAGAATTGTTAGGGTTGTAGTGTAACAACCTATAGCTTTGTACGTTACATATCTTCTAAGAATTGGAGTTCTGTTAAAATAATTGTCCAGTGGCCAAGTGTATGTTTTTGGAGCGAGAAAGACCTGGTTTCAAATCATAATCCCTCCCGCTTATTAGCTGTTTGACAATAGGAAAGTTGCTTAACTTCTCTGAGGCCCAGTTTTCTCAGGTATAAAATAGTGCTGATAATATTTTAGCATTTTACAAAGTACATCTCAATGAAATTTTAATTTACATCCAATCAAAATGAGATTTAATTGTCAAATACATCTGGAAAACCCTTTAGACTGTTTTCCTCTATCTTAGATTTGATAATGCATATTTTCAGATTAAAGTCCCTGGGAACTTGTGCAGGAAATGAAACTGTTTAACTCCAAATGTGAAAATGTAGTTAAGATCAAGAGGCTTTTTCTTTTGTAGAAATACAAATGATCTCATAGCATGGTTGTAAGGGTTAAATAAAAGTTTAATATAAATGCTTTCCACGGTATCTGGGTCATAGTAATCAAAAGTAGCGAGAATTGTCAGTGTATAATTATTGAAGATTTTTGTCTTCAAAAACCGAAAACTAAATTTGATACACCTGGGTTTTTACTGCAGCCATTAACCATATCAGCATTTGCCAGTTGGAAGTTTACAGAATTCAGCTCTCACTGGTGGCTAATGGGATGGTTGTGATTTATTGAGTGCCTACTGTGTGTCAAGGAATCCATTAGGTACCTCGGTAGAGAGTCATCAATATATTTAATGGTCCCAACTACTCGACAAGCTAGATATTATTCTTTCATTCATAGATGTGGAAATTGAGACTCAAAAATAAGCGCACTGCCCAAGGCGGTGTAGACACTCAACGGTGGAGTTGGGAAATTAGCTTGATTTGTTTGGACCAAAGCCCTTGACTATTCTCAGCTGGGATTCTACAAATCCTGGAGGATCTGTGAGGGAGGCAGTGATCTGGAAGATACTCGCGAAAAGCGTAATTGAAATCAACCACTTGACCAACGTGAGGCAGCGCAGGACTAAATGTGTTGGGAAGGTCACACTTCAGCCATACCAAAAATGTTTCCTTTATGGAATTCAGCTTGTTCACTCATCCCAAAGACTTGCACACATCGTTCCCTTTGCCCAAAGCTTTCTCCCTGTGTTGTCTTTCTTGGCTCTCTCTCACTTATCCTTCAAGTCCTGGGACTGAGGTACTTCCTCCAGAAAGTCATTCCTAACTCTCCAAGTCACAGGCAATGCCTCTTCCATAGACTCCCTTAACACTCTGCACTTGCCTTGTCACGGCTCTTTCTCACTGTCATGGCTTTCACTTGTCCATCTTCCCAACAAACTGCGAGCAGGAATCAGGTCTCTGTCAGCATTGTGTCCCCAGCATATCACACATAGTACTGCATAGACATTTACTGATGAATGAATGGTGTTCATTCAAAACCTCTATGGGAAAATTTTTTATACCTTAGATTAATAAGAAGTGAAACAATAATTTGTTGAATAAATATCACCTATTTTGTATGCAAGAGCTTCAAAAACATGATTTAATGGAATTTTTGGCAATAGAATGTTGAAAATCCCTGCATTAAACAATGCCTGCTACTAAACTGTAAGGAAACCTTTGTACTACTGTGGAGATTGTTGAGACACGTGGCCTGTTTTGGCTGAGTCTGTAGAACAGTGCACAGTTTTCCAGGTTCAGAAGCTCATTTTCTAACAGGCCTCTGAGTTGGAGGTTGTAGAGGCATGCAGTGGCGTGATCTCGTCTCACTGCAACATCTACCTCCCAGGTTCAAGTGATTCTCATGTCTCAACCTCCCAAGTAGCTGGGATTACAGGTGCATGCCACCACACCTGGCTAATTTTTGTATTTTTAATAAAGACGGGGTTTCACCATGTTGGCCAGGCTGGTCTTAACTCCTGGCCTCAAGTGATCCATCCGCCTCGGCTTCCCAAAGCGCTGGGATTACAGGCATGAAGCACTGTGCCCGGCCTCTCATTCTTATAATACATTTTTAAATTCCTGGTTGTTATTCCCATTACAGCTGAGGAAGCATAGGCTTTGGGAAGTTTTGCAACTTGACAAAGACACACAGCTAGAGAGTGGTGGAGCGAGCATTCAAATCCAGGTCTGCCTGCCTCCGAAGTCCATTTTGCCCCACTTATGCTGCCCTGTCCTCTAAGATATGAGCTTTCTTCTCCATGGGAGTTACACTGACAAAGTAATTAGTACTGGATCTTGGTGAATAAGTTCCCTCTGGAAAATTGATCTTTGCAGCAGAAGGGTCCAGTGAATTTAAAGTAAAAATCAAGGCAAATGCTGCTTAAAAGCTCAGTATTCTCATCCTGTTTAGGCTCTTGTGTCATCTCCTCAATGTCAAAAATATTCTGACGGTGACAACAAGAAATATTTCTTAATGTCAGAACACCTATTTCCTTGGTTAATTCTGAATCTGCACTTCGCCTTTGAAATCTTATTCTCCTTAGGTTCCATTTTTTTTTTCTTGTTGATCGAGAGTACCGGATGTTAGGCTTATTCTAATTTGCCATTAGTTATGGTTTTGTATGCAGGGAATCACCCTGGTTTTAAAGGCCTGCCTATCTCAAAGGTTGATGGATTATTTCCTGCAAAGATTTCCATAGATGAATTCTTAGAAGCATTCGATTTTGATATTACCTACTTCATGGCATAGCTGGAAGGCAAAGGGAATGTGGGAGATTCCCTTGAGCACGTTCTCAAAAAGTGGCATATTTTCAATCATATATTATGGTAATATCTTGACATGTTAGTTGTTTCGGTTAAAATGAAAAGATGTTAGGGAAGCAACATGAAAGCAAAGGGCAAACCTGTTCTATATGTGGCGGAAACATCAATGAACAAATGATGGGATGTTAGAAAAGCTAACCAAAGCCTGTCATCATTTGTGATGCATGCGCCTCACCACAAAGGCCAAAGGCGTCCTTGCTCCCTGGTTGTGCCCCCTAGCTTCAGAACCTGACCATGCAGCCCATCTGCCCATGCAGCAGGCTGTGACTAACAGGCAGTAATGAGGATCAAGTGCTTGGCACGGGGCAGGGCACAGCACTACAGCACTAAGGGGAGATTTTTATTCTGTCCATTTCAATTCCTTGAGATGATCTATTCTTATTTGGCTTCTACGTTCTAAGGGTTTAATTGCGGGATTGAGTCTCCTTTTGATGATTCACAGGCCAATGCCTGAAGGAGTGGGCCCTTCCCAGGCTTCATTCCTGTTTCAATGAAGAGACTCATTTTTCTCATAGTTTCTCAAAGCTTTGTCTGAGGAATCCCTCCCTGCCTGAGATTCACCTGGAGTACCTTTTTTTTTTTTTTTTTTTTTTTTTAATGTCAGCATTTACAATACCTGCGTTTTGGAGAGTGAGTTTAACAAGCTCCTCAAGGGTGACTCTTAGCAAATCTTCAGCCTTATGACCACTGGCCAGGATTCAGAGAAGGGAGGAGCTGGGAGAGGCCTGGGAGGTCATATAGTCAGTTAATCCCTGTTATTTGACAGATGAGGAAGCCGAGGCACAGAGCAGAACCAAAGTTGTTGACAGAGCTCAGGCAAGACCTGAGTGTGGGCTCTTCAGATCTCTCCCAGGCTCCAAGGCCAAAATCACCTTTCTACACTGTAGTTGACATTTCCTTTACAGCTCTGGAACCAGAGTGTGAATTTGTTTTATAAGCCTATATTTTATAAGGAAGAAATGGTAACTTATTTAAGTGTCCATTGCAGTACCATCCCCTTTTAATCTCAAGCAATAACATCTCAACCTATTCAAAATTGCTTTGTGATCTCTCATTGTCTTCAGAGTAGAGTTCAAGTAGGTAACAGCCCCTCTCTGTGACTGGCACTCACTCCTTCAAAGCATCTGTCATTCCTCTCCTCTCCTCCACCTACTTCACACTCTACTCTCCAGATAATAACTTTTTTCAGTTTGAGAGAGCCATACTCATTCCTCTCAAGGGTTAACACATGTATTCTCTCTGTGCTATTTTTCTAGCAAAGCTCTTTTGGATGTCAGGTGATATCTTTTCTCCTCTGGGAAGCTTTCTCTGATCTCCCAAGTGTGGGTTACAGACATTCCCAGGAACCTACCTTGCACCCTGTACAGCTCCTTTCAAATGGATTGATACCGTGTTGCAATTGTTTTTATGCTTTTCTCCCCAAATATATTTTATGCTCTATAGGACAGGAAGCATGTTTGATTGAAGTGTACCTAGGACACAGTACCTTGTACTGAGAGGCAGCTAATAAACTATACACCAAATAAATGGCGGGATTGGTAAATGGTAGAAGGTGAGGTGGGTTAGGGAAAGCTGGGGTCCATCATGAAAGGTTTTGGTTCTGAGTGGAAGATGCTTGTCTGGACCTAGTCCATGACAATGATCCATGCGAGGCTTCTTGATGAGGGTGTGGGAGGAATATTACCCTGGCAGCAGTGAGGAGCTTGGCTGGGAGTGAGAAGAAGCTAGAACCACATAAGAATTACGATGTGGCTGCCACAGTCCAGACTTAAGGCCGTGACAGTCAGGAGCAGGCCTATGGCTGTAGGAATGATAAAGAAATGAATGCATCCCAGAAATGCTGCTTGTGAAAGAATCAAGAGCACTTGATAGAAGAGAGTCAAAGATCATTTCTAGAGGGCTCATCCTTTCTTTCACAGATTCATTAATTTATTAATTCAGCAAACATTGATTGAGGTATAAGGCACTGGTATATAGCAGAGAATAAAACAGACATGCTCCTTGCCCTCCTGTAAGTAAGTAAGACAGATAGTAGATAAGTAAACAAACCAAAAGAAAGAGTGCTTAATATAATCAGCAAGGAATCAACTTCATGAATGAAATCCAATAATTCATGTAAAGCACTTGGTACAGTGCTTGCTTGGCATGTAGTAAAAGCTCAGTAAACATTATCAGGTTCCTCTCCTCCACCAATCATCTCATGAAAATAGAGGGATCTCCTGTTGTGTCTCATAGCCATTAAATGAATCACAATAATGGCTGCCATATATCAAGTGCCTATTACATACCAAGTTCTATATCATGGGCTTTGCATGTACTAGCTTCTTACAACAACCTTGTAAGATAGCTACAATTATTCTTTTTCAGATAAAGGAATGAGAAGCTAAAATAAGTTAATTTTCAAAAATTTCCAGGGCTAGTAAACAGAAAACCTTAGGCATGTTTATCTCACAAATTCTCTTCCCTTTCCATTGTCACAATATGTTTACTGTCAACTAGTGTTTACACCATCTGCTTTATGATGGATCTGATGGGCTCTTTAGACTTAGCTATCCACTCAGGTAACTGAAAGAATGTACAAGTAATAAGCAGCAAATTGAAGCAATTACATATGGCTCAGCTACCCACATCCAGGCATGGACAACTGTGTGGTCCTTCCTGACTTCCAATGTACATCTTTGAACTGAGAAGACATTTGAATAGAGTCATTCTGTGATTCTTTGAAGAAAGTGTTTATTTCTGTATGTTTGGAACTCTTAGACCATAGAGCATCTACAGTATTGTTTAAGTCAAATTGTGTGTGCCTACAGTGTTAGGACAAAGAGTGTAGGCTCTGTTGAAGTCCTGTCTTTAGTAGACTGTGAAATCAAACAGGTCACTTAATGCATTCTAAGCCACATTTAGTTATTTATAAAGTTGGAACAAATAGGATCATAACAGAAACAGTATTTCATAGGATGCATTTGGGATTTAATGAGTAAAAATGAAGTATATTCTTAGCTCCTGGCAATTTTGCATTTAGCAATATCTGGAGACATTTTTGGTTGTCACAACTTGGGGAGTGCTACTGGTGTCTCATGAGTAGAAACTAAAAATGCTGCTAAATATCCCACCTTGCAGGAGACAACTCCCTCAACAAAGAATTATCCAGTCCAAAGCATTACTAGTGCTACTAGTGCCAGGGTTGAGACACCCTGATGTATATCCTAGGAACACTTGGAAAATCCCCTTGGAAACACTCAGATGCATGATACCCAGATGAAAATACATCTAGGGTATTGACTAAATATTTCACTTTTCATCTAAATATTTTGAAGTCATGAAAAGAATATTTCCATTAGTCCATTTGGGATGTGGTGTGGGGTGGTAAATTTCTTTGTCAGTTGTTTAAGAGTTTCACAAAGCTGAATTTGCATCAGACTTTAAGCTCTGTTTCTTTCATTTCACGAGTGGCTCACATATAACATCACTTTGGGAATGGAGGTTTATTTGTTTTTTTGTAGTTTTGTGTAACTTAAAAGCATCTTGAATTATTAAACCAGTTATTTTCCAGGCCTGCAAATGTTTTCAGCATGTCGCCTTGTTTCCCTGAGTCAGCACATACTATTGTGTCTTGGAAGATCTCATTCAAAACCATTTCCTTAAGATGTTGCTATTTTTCTTTTGGATTATTATATTTGGGGTGCTCATTCTGACCAAAGAAGGCATGTTTCTCCCAGATCTCCTCATTCAAGGGCCTGTTGGGAATTCTGCTCAGGGTGAAAAGGGTACGGACCATAATTTCAGGCTAAAGAGAATCTTAAGGGGTCATTTAATATTTTCCCCTGATGCACTGGACTCTTGCTTACTTCTTACTTCCAGCCAGCAGCCAAACCATAAGGTAAATCTTCCAGCTCACATTTTATGAGACAATAAGAGTACTTTGAATTACAACTAAAAAACTCTTTTTCTGCTTCAGAGCCAAATGCTTTTACAAGAGGCAGAAAAAAAAAGAAAAAGAAAAAAAAACCCACTCAAGTCAAACTGATGAAAACCAGTCAAAATATATCCTTGTTGTGGCTGATACAGCGCTCCTGGCTGATCCCAAAACACAGAAGGCGTCTTCAGGCACCACTCTCCACACTGACTGAACTAGATTTCTGTGTCAACTGCTTGAAAGCTGCAGTCCTACACCACACATTTCCTGAGATTATTATTGAAAATTATCAGACCTGTTTTGTTCATTACCAGGAAGCTGAAAAATGACTTGCAAAAAGAGGCTGAAAGCTTTCTACAAGCCAGTACAGGCTGACTTTTAAGTAAAGCTCTTGAATCCATCATGCAGGGGCTAAAGCCTCAGGGAAGTTATCCTTCATAATAACTCCATGGAAATTTCTATTGAAATCTGTGGGCCCCCTAGGGATGGTTAGTCCCCCCTCCCATCTAAGTTTGTTCACTTAATATGCACTCATCTCATATGATTTGCTTTTAAGGAGCAAATGTGTTCATTCTTAATTTTTATTTTAAACAATATTTACTCATGCAGAAGCAAGAGAAAGAGATTTTCCCTCTTGATGTCAAGAAATCTGAATTCTGCTTAAGGAAATCATGCAATTATACCCTGTGAGAACCGAGAAGGACCTAGCTCATCATCCAACTGAGTTTCGTAGACCCAGAGAGGCTCCTAAGAGACCCAAACTAATTATGCCTGAATGGGGAATAACGGAGCCCAGCCAAAGATCTTTGTGCTGTAATACACATGGCACCCGAGGTCTTACTGATGTTAATTGTTCTCTTTGTTGTTTTCATCTGAGACTAGACTGTCCTGCTCTTATTTCTCCCGATATTCCTAACAGTTCATTAATAATCCCTGTCCCCTTCTCACCCATCTGACTTTGAAGAACCTGAATTCATCTAGGCTTTGATTAGTGGTAATTATTTACCTGTCAGACTCCAGCTGGAGTACATCACCAAAGCTGAGTCACATAGCTTTGCTTCCAGTGACTGCTTTCAAACAATTAAATCAGAGAACCACCTGTGTAAATATGTAATATTTGGCGATAAGAAAATGATTAGGCGATGGAGCCTGAGCTGAACTCGTGAAAAATACTGAATATTTCTCCCTCGGGCTTTTAACACATGCTTTTAAGCATTTCTGATCTCAAGAACAAGGTTAGGTTATTTTCCCACCCTTCCTACCCCTTGTTTGTTTGGAAAATGTAGCTAATATCTCTAGATTTCGTTCGTTTGAAAGCATTAAAATTTTAAGGGAATCATCTCATGTGGAAGCTGAAAGAGAGGTTGAAATAGGGTGAAACACTAACCAGTAATTTTCTTTTTCAAAGCCAAAATGTCGATCTCAACAGATAAACCGACAATGGAAACTCATTTTGGACAATGATATCTGTCCTTATTTGTATTTAGGATTTCTATGGTGGGATTGCAATGGTAGGATCATGGAAGGAGCAAGAGCTGTTGTAGTCAGATAAACCAGGGATTTGAATCATCACTTTAGCACCTAGCAGCTATGTGACCTTTAGCACATTTTGAGCCTAGGTTCCAAATCTTAAAAAACAAACAAAAAAAGGACATAATTCCTAACCTTATCTACCATGCCATGCCACATGTAAAGTACTGAGCTCTCTGCCTGCTAAGCAAACATCCACTCTGCCCCCACTCCAGAATAATAGACCAGAAAAATCTGTCCTCTTTAGCAAGCCACAGTCTTCAATCATTGCTGATTTTTAAAAGTTGCTTTTTGGTGGAGAACAATAAGCAATAAGTGATACCACCAGAAAGCAATTCTAAAATTTCCTTCTTTACTGTCAAACAGTACCCTGCCCTACGTTTGGCATTTGTTCCTTCTTTAACAGAAATTCGTGTAGACTAACCATAGAAAAGATCTTTTCAGTTCTATAGTTGGACATCGAAAAATACCATACCTGACTATCAGTTGCTTAGGTGTTTTTGCTGTTTCAATCCGAAATTTTTTGGCAGAAGGGCATTCTCTGGGTGGGACTTTAGGGACCCACTCCTGTTGTATTCCATTTGCATTTATGGGTCATCACTTGATGCAAAGCTCAAAGCCCTGCTTCCTTACTTCCTAAACTCTGTGATCTTGGACAAGTTATTCTTTGTGCTTCGGTTTCTTCAACTGCAAAATAGAAATGGAAATAACTAATGAGTAGGATTATTCAGAGAAGTCAGTGGGTTATACGGAAAGGACTTAGAATAGTGATTTGAACAGAGACAACAGTCAATTTTATTCTTTTGTTTGTTTTTTTTTTTTACATTTTGGATGCAGGCGGTACATGTGCTTGTTTGTTACATGAGTATATTGCATATTGGTGGGGATTGGGCTTCTAGTGTATCCATTACCCAAATAGCGAATATTGTACCAGGTAGGTATTTTTTCAACCCTCACCCCTAACCTTCCTCACTTTTTGAGTCCCCAGTGTTTATTATTTCCATCTTTATGTCCATAGGTACTCATTGTTTAGCTCCTATTTATAAGTGAGAACATGCGGTATTTGGTTTTCTGTTTCTGAGTTAGTTCAGTTAGGATAATGGCCTCCAGCACCATCTATGTTGCTACAAAGAGCAGGATTTCATTCTTTTTTATGGTTGCATAGTATTCTATTTTATATATATTTATATCATATAAAATAGGGTATGTGTGTATGTATGTACATATATATATATACACGCACACATACATACACACATACCCTATTTTCTTTATCTAGTCAACCATTGATGAACACATAGGTTGTTTGCTATTATAAGTAATGCTGTGATGAACATACAAGTTCAGGTGTCTTTTTGATATAATAATTTCTTTACCTTTGGGTAGATACCCAGTAGTGGGATTGCTGCATCAAATAGTAGTTCTATTTTTAGTTCTTTGAGAAATCTCCATACTGTTTTCCATAGAGGTTGAACTAATTTACATTCCCACCAGCAATGTATATGTGTAACCTTTTCTCCATATCCATGCCAACATTGACAACAACAAATAAACGTTAGTTGTAGTTGTGGTTGCTATTATTACTGGGACAAATGTAGGCAGCTAACAAGAGTTGGTGTCATGGAAAGAGCTAGTGTACACAGCACAGTATTCAAACTCCCAGTCTTCCCAAGTCAAAAAAGTCACTGCTAAAAATGTTATCCTCTTTCATAAAAGTCATTTGCAGTTTCACTTAGTTTTAATGCAATGTTCTATTTGGGGTTTCTAAATATGACAGTGAAAAGTGAGAAAGACTTCTATGAAATATTACTGTTATTTCTACAGGCAGGTGCAATTGCATTTGGACCTTGACTCCAAAATTAATCACTGACTTCAAGTTGACACACTCGTGAGGGAGTAAACAGCAAAAAGTTATAAAAAGTTGGATTTATTTACCATCACTTTTTAAATGAATATTTTGAACAGCAGTATACGAGGTTTGAGGATATAAACCTGTCTCCTGCTGACTTGAGCATCTAAGTTGCCCACAATTACCTGATTGTTTTGTCACTTTGATGGTACCTTCTATTTTTGGTGAGCACTTTGCTTGTTTTTAGATAGGTTTTACTAGTGTAAAACAAACATCCTAAACACCCCCAAATTTTCTGAGGCCAAAAGATATACATTAAGTTGTGACAGGAGAGCTAATACAGATTCGTAGGAGGCTGTGAAAGGAGTTTTAAATGCAAAATATTAAGAAGGATCACTCTTTTTGGAGTGCATCATTTCACCTTCTAATCTTTTAAGGAAACTGATCAGTACTAAATGAAAAGATGTGGTGGGATGAGTTGCTTCGGAATAGAAAAAGCACTTTAAATGATTAGGCTTCCTACATACCTTAAAATAAATTTACTCTGAAATTCCCATTAGATCCCTTTGAATTCACAGGGCAATATGGTCTCCTTGTTTTGTTTAACAGCTATACATTCCCAAGGGTGTTAACGACTCATCGTGCTGGAGTTGAGCTCTAATATTCTTCTTCTCTGAGGCCTTATCACTTATACAGAGTCTGTTGATTAACTGTGTATAACAATATTCCAATTGTCCAATTGAATAGGCTGTATTATATGAATCTCAATAATAACACCATAAAATCTAAGCAGAGAAAGAGAGGGTGCACTGATAAATGTAAGTGCATGCACTGAATTTCTGAAATGTATTTTCTCATTTGGCACTTTCAATGCCACAGTTTAAACACCGAAATGTTCTTTCTGTACATTTATCAATGTATAATTCTTTACATTTGGGATGCTTTCATAAACATTGGTCCATTTTGTAGGAAATTGAAGAAATCATTCTAATTCCACATTTTGGACACTTTATAATTAACCTAAAATTTTTTCATCTGGTTTAAATATTCTGCCAACTCCTCTTGCACCTTACTTCCTGGTCAATTCCCACATAAATTTCTGCAGCTGCAAACTGCCAGGCTGCTATTGATTCTATGTCTCCTTGCTAAAGGTTACTAACTTCATCAACAGTAATGCTATAAATTACATCTGTTAAGATTCTCTTATTCCTTGCTGCTAGGTCACAAGGTACCTTTGGTTTCTGGCTGCTTAATGTTGTTGACATTCATTTTGTCCATCATTCTACAAAGACTATAGAACTGAATTATTGTTGGATACTATTACCAAGTTGACACACTTTCAGCTTCTGGACCATGAGCTGGAACCAAAAATCTGACGTTTTTGGCAACAAATCCCACAGTGTATTATCTTTGGTCCAAAAAGCTTTCAAATAATGAAAGCATGACTACAGCTGTTCAATCTTATTCCAAGTTTCTTTCTGCCTTCCTTCACCCATGCACCCATGACATTCGGATGCACAGACTTGGGATAACATTCTTAGTTTTTATTCAGAAGAAAAAAATAGAGTTGTTAGAGATCTGTGTAAGCAAAAATTAAATGAAGCATCATGGCATTAATGTGAGAAGATTATAGATAGATTCGTAGATCTCAATTCGTATGCTACAAACTTTTCACAGGTTTGCCACCTAGTTGGGAACAGTCTGTGCAGTTTTCTTTTTGTACCTCTGAGGTTATTCACTGTCATGACAACTGTCACTAATTTTGTTTGTCTGAGATGGTCATGAAGCATGGTGGTGGTAGTGGGGCTGAAACTAGGAGTAGGAAAGGAGAGACAGCATAACACAAATCTGAAAAGAAAAATTGAAAACATGCGTGACATGAAAGATGTGCGGGTGGAAGTCTGTAGTATCTTTTCCCTAGAAGGGTATAAATATGCACACCTTATTAACTTTATTGAAGTATAATTTACATGAGACAAAATCAATGTATCTATTTTAAGTGTCCAGTTTAAGTTTTGATATATGCATACATATGTATAATGATCACCAAAATCAAGACACATAAAATTCCCAATTCACTAAAATATTACCTTCTGTTTCTGCCCAGGCAACCTCCCACCCTAACCCCAGCTGCCATTATATTTTCTATCAATAAAGACTAGATTTACCTGTTTTAGATCTTCAAACAAATTGAGTCATATGATGTGTAGTTTTTGGGGATTGGGCACTTTTACTCAGCAAAATATTTTTGAGATTCATTCACATTATGTTCAACAAGTGTTGATACATAGGTAGACAAGCAGTCTGTGTAGCAGACATATGTTTTTTATTTTTCTTGGGCTGATACCTAGAAAAGGGGTTGGTGAGTTATATGATAAGCATGTCTTTAACTTTATAAGAAACTACCAAATTGTGTTCTAAGATGTTTATACTATTTTACACTCTCACTACCCATGTATGACATTTCCAGTACTCCTAAAACCTCTCCAAATCTTGGTAATATCTGCCTTTTTACATTTTAGCTATTTTAGTAGGTGTGTAGTGGTATCTCATTGTGGTTTAAAATTGCGTTTCTATGGTGACTATGATGTTGAGTATCTTTTAGTGTTTACTGACCCTTATATTCTTCTGTGAAGTGTATGTTCAAATCTTTTGCTCCTCTTAAAAATGTAGTTGTCTTTATATTATTGAGTCATAAAAGTTCTTCTTATAGTCCAGATACAACTCTATGATGTTCACTGTGAATATTTTCTTTCAATCTTTGACTTGACTTATTTTTTATTGGTGCTTTGTCAGTAGCAAAAGTTTTTGCTTTTGAGGAAATCTAACAATTTGGTCTTTTTTGGTTAGTACTTTTTATGGTCTAAGAAATCCATTATGGCCAGGCCATAAAATTTTATTGTTTTAGGTTTTACATTTAGTTCCGTGATCTGTGTCTAGTTTACTTTTTGCGTGTGGTAAGGGGTAGGAACCAAAGTTAGTCTTTTTCAATACAGTCTGATTGTTACAGCACTAATGGTTGAAAAGACTATACTTTCCTCTCTGTTCTATTCAAGCTCACTGACCTTTTTCTTCTGCAATATCAAACTGTTATTGCAACTATCTAGTGAATTTTTTCACTTCGGATATTATATTTTTCTGCTTCAGAAGTTTCACTAAGTTCTTTTTTACAGTTCCCATTTCTCTCATTGCATTTATGTTTTTATACACATACTTAAACTACTGATAGCTGTTTGAAAGTCCTTGTCCACTAATTTTTATCATCTCTCTCACTTCTGGGTCTCTTTCTGTTGATGCATTTTTCTCCTGGTCATGGAAAGGACGTTTTTTCTTAATTTCTTGTGTGTCTAGTAATTTTTTTATTGCATGTTGCTAAACATTGTGTTACAGTATTGATTGTCTGGATTTAGTTTTGCTCCCTTAAAGAGCATTGTGCTTTGTTCTAGCAAGCATTTAAATTTCATGTAGATTAGCTTAATCTTTTTGAGATTTCTAAAAAGTTTTATTAGAACAAGTATGGAGTACAGTAGCCCTCCCCGCCCCCCTCCATGGGGAATACTTTCCAAGACCCCCTGTGGATGCCTGAAACTGAGGAAGGTACCCCCTGAACCTGATTGCTATTGATTGGAATGCCTCTCTGTTCATGTCTTGCACCCACAAATGTAACTCCTTTTCCATCTTAACTAAGCACTTTGCATGAACCGTGGTGGTAACTTTTGCAGTTTGAGGTGCAACAGCAAAACTAGCAAATATCTTTTTCCTTCTTCACAATTCCAAGGATAGAAGATGTGTTCTTACTGTAGATCTCAGCTGCCTCAGCATGACTTTTTTTTCCTTGTTAAGTCAAGAACTTTCACATTTTTACTTGAAGTACTTTGTGGCTTCTCTTTGGCTTATCCAAATTGCCAGCATTGCTATTCTTGCATGTGGGGGCTGTTATTAAACGAAACAACGGTTACTTGTGTATAAGCACTGCGATACTGCCACAGTCATTCTGATAACCTAAGTGACCAATGGGAGGGTAGCATATACTGGACAAAGGGATGATTCATGTTCTGGGTGGGACAGAGTGGGCTGGCTTGAAATTTCGTTATGCTACTCAGAACAGTGTACAATTTAAAATTTATGAATTGCTTATTTCTGAGATTTTCCATTGAATATTTTTGGACTGAAGTTGACTGTGGGTAACTGAAGCTCCAGGAAGTAAGACTATGGATAAGGGGGAGCTACTGTAGTTTTTATTGTAGGGACAATTTTGCATTACTACTGAGGCATGAATATTTTGGGGTCTCTACTAAATGATGCATAAATTCAATTGTGTGTCTCGACTTTGGCTGGAACTTGAATATATTTCAGTTCAGGAGGAGATCTGGTAGTTGTTCAGTTTATAGTTCTTCAGTAATTGTCTTTCCAAGTACTGTTCTTTCACTTGTGGAGTCTTACCCTATATAGTTTCATAATCAGCCAAAAACTCAAGAACATCCTTTGCATATTCTTTTATTTTTATTTTTATTTTTGAGACAGTCTCTCACTTTGTCACTCAGGCTGGAAATGCAGTGGTGCGATCTTCACTCACTGTGACTTCTGCCACCTGGGTTCAAGTGATTCTTGTGCCTCAGCCTATGAGTAGCTGGGATTACAGGTGCCTGCCACCATGCCTGACTAATTTTTTTTTTTTTTTTTTTTTTTTGAGATGGAGTTTTGCTCTGTCTCTCAGGCTGGAGTGTAGTGGCACGGTCTTGGCTCACTGCAACCTCCGCCTTCTGGGTTCAAGCGATTCTCCTGCCTCAGCCTCCTGAGTAGCTAGAATTACAGGCATGCACCACCACACCCAGCTAATATTTGTATTTTTAGTAGAGAAAGGGTTTCACCATGTTGGTCAGGCTGGTCTCGAATTCCTGATCTTGTGATCCACCCGCTTCGGCCTCCCAAAGTGCTGGGATTACAGGCAGGAGCCACCGCATCCGGCCATGCCCGGTTAATTTTTGTATTTTTAGTAGAGACAGAGTTTCACCAGGTTGGTCAGGCTGGTCTTGAACTCCTAGCCTCAAGTAACCTGCCCACCTCGGCCTCCCAAAGTGCTGGGATTACAGGCGTGAGCCACCGCACCCGACCCCTTTGTGCGTATTTCTTGAGCTCTTTCCCTACATAGCTCCTTCCTTCCCCATATTCTGCCCTGCAAATTCCAGTCATTTCAGCTTTCCCAATATTGACCCTGTCTCCTCTACTTAGTGAGGCCCCATGTTTCACCTGAGTTTTCCTTTCCAGAGTAGCAGTTCAGACAGTATCTCCAGGCAAAAAATCAGGGCAATTATAGGCATCACCTCATTTCCTTCCTTTTTCTCAGGGATCATCGTTTTGTGCTGCCTATTGTCCAAAAACAGTGGCTTCATATATTCTATCCAGTTCTCTAATCGTTTATGATAGATGGTCTCTTTAATGGCAGTTAGCCCATTACGGTCAGAAGAAGAAAAAGTATATTTTTTAAAAGTACAACTAAGGCAATTATTTTACCATAAACAGGAATAAAGGGCCCTCAGCTAAATGGTATGGTCACTTGAATTGTGACTAAGTTCCTTTGAGAGCACTAGTGAAAGTCGGGTTTTAAGATACGTGCCATAAGTACTGACAAAGAGGCCTATTTCTCAAATAGCAATTGCTTGTGTCCTACCATTGTGGTTTGCGCTACATCTGTGTAGAACTTGCATTATAATTTACTTAAAATATTTTCTTTAAGTTGACTTCCTTGTACCTTAAATTTATGTGAAAAGTAAACTATAGTATGAGTATAAATGAAATTGAGAAACAAATTCTGTTTTTATAATGTACATTAAATTAAGCAAATAACTCTTTACAGAGTGGGGGAAGAAAGAGTCCCTGGACTACTGAAGTCATCTCATATCACTTAGTACTTTTGTACACCTGGTTATACTCAAACAGATCACATAGGCACTGAAGGAAGATGTGAGATGGGTGATGGAGATGAAAAAGGAATGGACATTTTTCATTTATCATTTCTTATAGAAATATACAATTTTAAAACTAGAATAAGCTTAGAAAACATCTAATCTAACTGACTCATCTCACAGATGAGAAAACAATCTTACAGATGGACTAGCTGCTTTCCAAAGTCTCATCACTGGTTAATTAATTCAACAGGTACTTACCAACAGATACTAAGTGCTGGACACTCTTTTAGGAGCTGGGAATACAGTAATAAATGAAGCAGACAAAATCCTTATCTTCTTAGAGTTTACATTCTAGCGATGAGTAGAACCCCTTTCCTTGGGTCTGTGTTCAGTTGTGTATTATTTTAATAGGCTACAGACTACAAAGGACAGCACCTGAACACTTCAATAACTGTCCCCATCTTGTCCTTCAACACCTTTAGGAATCAAGTTCTTCTCTATGTAAAATCAGCCCAGTTTTATAATTATCTCAGTCTAACCTACCTGTAATATACCAACTCACTTCATATTTCCTAATGGAGATACATCCCATGCTTTTAAGCTTTATCCCTATAAGAAAAAAATATCGATCATTTTTACAAGAAAGTGTCCACAACCTATTACATCATTTAGAATTTTCTTGAGTGTAGGTGGCCTCTGGTTGCAATACATATCAGCCTGTAGACAGGGTCTCTTGGCTTCGTATCTCACATAGCTTTAGGATCGTGTTCCTACCCTATTTTGATCTCTCTTGGTGTATCACTTACCCAAGGTGTTTGTGTTGTTTATCCGTACAAGCTCCTATATCCCAGTCCTGTCTCCATTTAGATCTGGAAACTCTTACCCAACCAAGCCCCTTCTGGTCTGAGGAAAAGAAGACTCTACTTTGACATTCCAATCTTGAAAGCCGACTCTGTTCCTGACAGCTTCAATGTTTTTCACAGGCATAACCACCCCCAGAGAGGCAGAAAAGTTAGGATGGAAGAAATCATCAGAAATGAGTTTGGGCACGCAGTTGACTCTCCTTTTTGTCTTTAGATCAGTGGAATTAGTGAACACTGCTATGAACTCATGGAATTTTCAGGCTTCAGAATTCCCAGATGTCTTCAAGTTGTCTTTGAAGAATTCTTATTTTACAATGTGTGTTTTTCCTTAGAAAAGGAGAAAAACACAGTGTTATCTTGTTAGTGGGATAGCTAAAATTTGAGGATAACTCCCTTTTATTATGGGATTGCTATGTCTCAGGCATGATGTTATGCACTTTATCATTTTCACCTTCACGACAATCCAGTGATATATAAATTAATTATATGTGACCTCATGCTACAAATAAGGAAGTAGAATCTTGGAGAGGCCCCTTAGTTTCACTAACATCAAATAACCAGTATATGATTGGGTCAAGATCCAGTTCCATTTGCTACCAGTGAAAGCCTTCTACGATACAGCCCATTAATATCAGTGTTGGGGTAAAAATTATAAATATAAAAATATGTGTAAAACATTAAACGTAGGGTTTTTCTTCATACAATAATCTGTAGCCGAACAAACTGAGTCAGAATCTGAAATTTGTCTCAAAATCACTAAGTAAAGTGGTGATCTGAATTAGAATCCTAGTCTTTCAAATTTTATTCCAAGCTTCTTTTCAACACAGCATTTTAATTCCAGGAAAAAAAAATGATTCATATTGAATTGGCTGGAATTATTTGGTTAAAACTCGGTGTTTTTACAGTTAAAACCTAGAAGATTTTTTTATGATGCCAGTATTATAACTCTGCTCTTAAATCCTCTAAATTCAACAAATATTTACTCAAATATTGAGTGACATTCAAATATTTGAATGTCTCTTATTGATTATATTATGTTTTTTATTGCTACCTGGATATCCCAAATAAACTCTTCTATTGACAGACCAAAATAAAAGATAAAATATATTTTTTCAAACTCAAAGAAGTTGTCTTTGGTCTATCTAGACTATCCATTATCCTGAAAGATGTGTAGATATTTAATAGCTGAGAATAAAGTAGAAAATGCCTTTTTCCTCAAAGTATTCTGTTGGGATGTGCCAAATGAAAGAAAAAAATCAGTTTAAGGAGCCACATAATCATTAAACAATCTTGTTTCAGTCACTATCACTGCAAATGCAATTAGGGCCAATTCTCCTGAGTCTATGCTAATGGGAGGAGGGTGTAACATGCATGGTTGACAGGCTCAGATAATCTGAATAACTGATTTTCAACAGTTCCCCCTACTAAACCTATTTACCAGAGTTGCTAGCAGGTAATGGAAACTGCCGATTCTCGTTTCCTTCCTCTCCTTCCCACACCCGGTGCCCCAACCCAGTTACCCTTTGATGGAGATGTTAGTGAGCAGTGAATTGGCCAAAAATCTGTGGGAGGAAAAAGAAAGAAGGAAAGTCGATCAATCTTCAAATTAATAAAAGCTATTTTTATGTGATGCTTCTGCAATGGAAGGTCCTGCCACACGTAGAATATTGTCTGGGTTAATGTTCTTATCATACATACTTGTACAATAAACCCACCTCAATAGTTTTATTAAATTCATATAGGTAAGCAAAATAGCAATTCACTTTGTTCAAAAATATTAAAAGTTGCAGATATGGTTGAAGTTTCTTTTGAATTTACCTTCAATCTCTCAGATCTGCCTCCTTACTCAAAAGGAGCTGCATCACTCTGATATCTACTTATTATTATACAAAATGTCCAGCTTTTTATCCAGGTTTTTTCTATGAATTTACATAGAAATTTAGTCAGAGAAAATAAGCACATTCTTTTGTTTTTACAGTAATAATAGCCTACCTACATAGTTTAGCTGTGTGGGGTGACACTGTTACGCGTTGCCCAAATCTCCCTTCAGTGAAGGACTCATTGCCTCATCAGGGAGCACTTCCAGCAGACTGTCTGCGTCTCTCAGCCCCTTCTTGGACCACCTCTGCCACAATAGCCCCCTCACCCTCAGGCTCACCCCTGCAGAGACAGGCAATGGTCAGTGGCTGATCCAGTTCCATTTGGTACCAATGTACTAGTTCTCATGCAAGCTCATTGTAAGACTATAAATGTCTTGCCATGTTGGCCAAAACTGGGTTAACTCAGAAAGATCTTCCTAGCCTCAGAGCTGCCTGTGGGGTGGCTGAGGTTGCTGTGGAGCCCACATCATAACTCAGCTTCTCCCTTTGCCCAATCCTGCTTCCTTAGATGCTGATGCCAAGAATTTTCCTAACGTACCTCCAGAACCGTAACTTCCATCTCATAGTCTGCTTCCCAGGAAACCATCCTATGACATGTCACCTGCTTAGTTTTTCACAGAATATGTCCTGGAAGGCCCATTTGCTAGTAAACATAGACCTATCTCATTATTTTAATCTTGTATTTGTGTCAGAACTGAGATGTTGTTCATCAAAGCCCTGGTTCCCTATGTCCCTGAACTTGCGTTTAGACTACATCATGATTAACTATGACTAAATTAGTGTGTTCTAGCCAATGGGCTGTGGACAGAAGTGATATATGGCACTCCCAGGCCCAATCTGTTGAAACTTCATGAAATTTTCCACATCCTTTCTCATCCTCCATGTGCTAACTAGATGAAAGGATCTAGCAGAAGTTTCCAAGTTCCTAGGAAGAGCAGAGCCACAGAAAGCTGGGTCACTGAATCACCACATTGAAGGCTACCCGTGAATCTCCACTTCAAATTGTTAACCTGTTGAAATACGTAAGGGCATTTCTTACAGGAATTAGCCTCTCCTACTTAAAAGCGAAAGAACTCTTTGGGTGTTTCCAGTCTCTCACTATTACAAAACACATTGTTCTGAGTATTTTGTATACGTCTTCTTGGGTGCAAATGTTTCTCTGGTGTAAATAGTAAAAACAGAAGTGGACTTGCTAGGTCTTGAAATACACAAGCTTTAAAATTCCATCAATATTTTTGTACCATTTCCCAAAGTGGTTATACCAATTTGTATTCCTACTAGGAGTGCATGGAAATATCTTTCTCATAGCTTTCAAATGTGGGACTATGCCAGGGACTCTACTAAGTATTTTACCTGCCTTTAAAATATTTGAGCCTCAAAGTAACTCTGAAGTGTACATTTCTATTACTTAGCTCTGCTTTTCAGATGAGAAAACTGAGGTCAATAATTTATAGCTGAAAGAGCTGAGATCTAAACCTAAGGTTGTCTGACTCCAGATTTAGAGCTAGATTTCTTTTCTCTTACGTTATATTGCTTATATACAATTCTCCTTCAAAGTTAGAAGCTGTCAGGCAAATTATTTAATTAAATGTTATACTTCATTGAGGAGAATTAAGGACTGTAGTAGTCTTTGTGTATGGGGATTAATTGGTCATGAGGAGGTATCATTCATAAATGTCAAGGGTTTATTTTCATGGGTCAGACAGTATGCAGGAGGGTTAAGCCTTCCATCTCAGCTTTGAAAAAAAAAAGTATAAATGTATATAGATGTATAAGTCATTTAAAAGGCTTTTCTAAAAAATAAGTAAAATAAAAGCTAATAAAATCTGCATTCCGGGTGGCTGCTTGCAAAGTAGCTATAATTATTTGGCCAAATCACATCTTGCTCAGTGTTCCTCCCTGAACTTCCTTTGTCTTCGAATTGAACATAATGCAGAGGAGGTCTGTGTGGGTCTGGGACAAGATGGAATTTGGACCAGCTGTTTTCAAAGGTTACATTAGAAACTCAAAGGCTAAAGGGGGTTACTGTGAAAACTGCCTTCTAAAGTGGGAATCTCCCCATCATATCACATGCCTGTACCAAGAACTATGGCAGGGGTGAAACTGGAAACACACAAATCTTCACAAGATGAACAAAATGTTAGACCCTATAGACAAGGCACAGGGACACATTTGACTTCCCAAATTCCTTCCATTTTTGTGGTTTTTGAGGTTACAATAGAATTCAAGTCTCTCTGGGTTCATGTTCATCTAGTTTTGACAAAATATGACTTCCTGTGTCAGTGAAAGAAGGTTTTGATTTACAAAAAAAAAAATGAGGCAATTAGATGAAATAGTTTAACTAACTGTAAATGAATCAAAGTTAGATTTTTCTTAAAATATGCAGGGGTCAAAAATCTGGGCATGAAACAAGCAGTGGACCAATTTGGGGTTTCCTTGGGTCTTACCATGTTGAAAATCCCTGAGTTCCTATAAATACCAAATTTGTTAAGGGGCAAGAAGGCAGAGCAGACAAAGATAAAGAGGGCTAATTGAGTATATATAATTGCTGGGCAGAAAGCTTAAATTTGGTCTCTTAGGCAAATTTGTCCCTTTAATGCTGTTATCCTCTTTCTTTAATGATATACATTCACTTATTTAGCCAACATCTATTGTGCTTACTACACGTCAGGCACAGTTAGACATTTGTTCTACATTGGGGGGTGAAATAAACATAGACTTATAGTCTTTGAGTGGACAGAAGATGAAATATATAAGTCAGCACAATTATTCCTAATTAAGTATTTGCAAACTGAGACAGTTGCTATGAAAAAAGTAATTGGAGTACATCAATGAAGAATGAAAGGAGAGACCTATGTAGATAAAGTCCTCAAGGGAGACGTGTCTGCAGAGGCACAATTTGAATGGAGACAGATGCAGAATGAGTCAGGGGTGACATTTCTCAGGCTGGGAGGCTGCTCACATGAAGACTCTAGGACAGGGAAGAGCTTGGGATAACTGGAGGCTAGAACATACTGGGACAGTGGTGGAGAGGAAAGCAGGGGCCAAGGAGTTCCAGAGAGTGGAATGATCCTGGAGAGTCTTAATCACAGAGATGACACAGTCAAATTCACATTTTAAAAATATCACTCCAGCCGTAGTGCTCGCACTGTATTCGAAGGAAAAGATGGTTGAAAAAATACGATGCAGGTAGGGAACTGACATAATGGGTGACTGCAACAGCTGAAGTACTGCAAGGCAGAGGAGCAAAAGTGAGATGTATTTATGTATCTGTTCCTTTGTCATTGGATGTACTCATTTGGACCTCTGTCAAAGCTGTCATGAAAGTGAAATACTGTATGAATCTGACTGTATAGCATGAATCCCATTAAGCTTTCTCAGGAAAGTATACTCAGGTAAGCTGGAAGGCCGTTACTTTGGCTTCAATCTCTGACGATTGTCAGAGACAGAGTATCCAAAGTGCCTAGATCTGCAATTATAGCAACGTGCAGAACTTCTGAGATTTTGCAAGTGTTCCCATGTGACATGTGGTGCATGAGGTTGCCATGGCAGTGAGCTCCTCCAGCAAGGATATTAGGAGGTATACCTGCCTGAGTCTCTTTTCTGTTTCCATGACATGAGATTGAATGGAGAAGGCAGAGAGTAACAAGTGTAATGAGATTCTGATTTTTCTGTTTATGCTCATGGAATATCTGAAAAGAAAGGAAAGCATGACATCTATTTTTTCAAATGGCAGCATGTGGGGGCTTAGGAGCTGTTCATTTTAAAGCTCCGGTGGAGATTTTTGACTGGCTTTTACATATTCCACTGTTTGTGGATATGCTCCATCACAAGCAGACATTTTAAAAGCTGTAGTGGGCCAAACTTTGTTTTATTTTAGTATTTGTCCACCAAAGATGTCCATGAAATTTCTAATGTTTATTTGTGAACTGTTTTGGAGAAAGTAGGGAATTGGAAGCCCTGAACAGTAGAATTGCCAGGCACTGGTTGAACATGTATTTGAGATCTGTAGCCATGAATTTAAAGTGATGCCAATCAGCACTTTTGCTTTTAAATAGCTACAATGTCTTCTAAGGCAAATACTATCTTCAACAGGAAATTGATTTATTGCCCATGGTATCTGTGGTTTGAGGTTTTCTTTTATTGAGTGATAAATATTTTTTGAGCATCTATTTTGAGCCAAACACTGTATGGACAAAATAAGCTAAGGGGAGCAGAATGAGGAAATAAAAAGGACAGAAGACAGAACTTAGGGATAAAAAATAACTCAGGAAAAGGAACTTTAAAATCCCCTTGCGTTCACTTCTCAGTCTTTCATTTTCCATCTGCATCACCTTAGATGAGTCACTTAATCTGTACTTTTGTTGATCACTTTAAATTTGAAGCCTTAACTAAACTACAGAATCTTTAGTGGCCTTTAAGGGAAAGATGTAATCAAAATGCTAGGCATGACACATATATTTCACATATCTCTGAAACAGATAATCTTCAAAGATCTTGGTATCATTTAATAGGTAGCCACAGCAAATAACTTTGATAAAGTTCTCCCTAGAGGTTGAGAAATTGGTGGGGTTTTTTGTTTCCAAAAGAAAAAAAAAGAAATTGCTGTTTGGTGGGCTTATTTGCTCTGAATTTTTGCTGTCTCACCTAGAAAATGAGCATAGAAACTTGGGAACTTGACAGAGAGAGAAAGGGAGAGAAAGAGAGAGAGAGACAGTGTATCTCTGTGTGTGTGTGCTCGTGTGTGTGTGTGATATTGAGTTAAATGTGGGCAATGTTAGCCATTTGTCTTTTTTTTACACCAAAATTAAAAAGCACTTAGAACACAGGAATCAAAGCCCCACCTCACTGGCTTTTACTTTCTGAGTTCCCATGCTGACATAATCCCAAATGCTAATTTAGTCAAGTATGGCTAATCCTCTAGAAGCCTCAGCAGTCAGCCATGTAATTCAGTGCCACTTTACAGAACTCTCAATTTAATTTTTCAGATTTGTCAAGGAGAAGGATAAAAGTGTGTTCACCCTATAAAGTAGAAACCACACTGAAGGACCTGCAATAATGTAGAACTTCCTATCAACCCTGATGATGCACCAACCTTTCCAACTCCATTATCTAGAGCTGTGGTTCTCGATCAGAGGCAACTTTGTCTCTCAGGGGACATACACAATGTCTAGACACATTTTGATTTCCACGATTGGGAGGTAGAGGTAGGTAGAAGCCAGGGATGCTGCTAAACCTCCAGAAATGCACAGGATAGTCTCTCACAACAAAATTCTCTGAACCGAAATGTCAATGGTGATAGTGCTGAAGTTGAGAAACTCATGTCTGAATTGCCTCTTAACCCCATGATCAAATATGTCTGTTTCTTGGGATTGTAAGCATGCTAAAAGAAAAAGCTGGCTGGGTGCAGTGGCTCATGCCTGTAATCCCAGCACTTTGGGAGGCTGAAGCAGGTGGATCGCTTAATCCCAGGAGTTCAAGACCAGCCTGGGCTTGTCTCTATTAAAAATACAAAAAATTAGGCCTGGTGGCGTGCGCCTGTGGTCCTAGCTACTTGGGAGGCTGAGGCAGGAGGATTTCTTGAGTCTGGGAGGCAGAGGTTGTGGTGAGCCAAGATCACGCCACTACACTCCAGCCTGGGCAATAGAGAGAGACTCTGTCCCCCACCACCCCCCTGACAAAAAAAACTAAAAAATTAATTTAGATTTTAACAGGTATACCAATAGCTTTCTAAAGCAAAGTGCTTTCTAGTTTGTAAAATCAAATGTAAAACATGGTCCATTTACAATGCAAATGATATCTTTTATACATATAAGATATTTTATAGTATGCAAAAACAGAGTCACATATCAGTCAGTTCAAACTGTAAATTTGTTGTGACTCCATCACATTGAAATTTCTACTGCTTTTTTTTTTTATCTTTTATTTTGAGATGGGGTCTTGCTTTGTCGCCCAGGCTGGAGTGCAATCGTGTGATCTTGGCTCACTGCAACCTCTACCTCTTGAGTTTAAGCAATTCTCCTGTCTCAGCCTCCTGAGTAGCTGGGATTACAGGCATGCATCACCATGCCTGGTGAATTTTGTGTTTTTAGTAGAGATAGGGTTTCACCATGTTGGCCAGGCTGGTCTCAAATTCCTGACCTCAAGCAATTCATCCACCTCAGCCTCCCAAAGTGCTGGGATTACAAGTGTGAGCCACCACTCCTGCTTCTACTGCATTTTTGATTTACGTTATCAGTAATAATTGGAAAGGTTTTAGGATATTTTAAGGTAGCCATATATTATTTTGTATACCTTGAGAAATTACATCTATTTTCTCCACAAAAATCTTTCCTTGGGAAGTGACTTCTTTTGCTACTAGCAATTTTTAAACATTGCTGTAGTCATGGTAATGTCTAATTATTATTACAAGTAAATTCTCCAGATCTAAATTTGGGAACATGCAAGACATTCTCCAAGAAAGAAAAATCAGTGGTAAAATGTCTTAGCCCTTCTTCCTTTTGTTGCATGTTTGCATTCAGGTCATTTAATTCTGCCCATGACATAAAGAATGCCTATTTTTATGAAAAGTTGGTTTTACAGCAGGAAAATTGGCCCACCTCTCAGTTATGATGCCTGATGATTCATGGTTGTTAGATAACTCTTTCAGAACACAACAGATTTGATTCACTGATGGAGTTTGCATTCCACAGCATCTCTTAGGATCTTTATGGGGGTCATGGATTTAGAGCTTTTGTTGTGTTTGAACTCCAAGATGTTCAGTCCTACTTTCTGCAGTCGCTGAGGGCAACTGTAGAACTGGCAAATAAGCAACAGTGTGAATTGAGGCAAGGTGGTGCTACCCATGAAAAGAACCAGGGGCCACAGAGGGTCTCAGCTCTTAGTAATAGAGGCAGAGATTGCCCCTGAGAAGGGAAAGAAGCACATGCCATAGAAAAAGGAGGCTATAATAGGGGTCACCAAAATGTAAATAGAACGGCTTAAACTTTTTTTTTTTAATTTTGCTTTAAGTTCTAGGGTACATGCGCATAATGTGCAGGTTTGTTACATATGTATACATGCGTCATGTTGGTGTGCTGCACCCGTTAACTCATCATTTACATTAGGTGTATCTCCTAATGCTATCTCTCTCCCCTCCCCCCACCCCATGACAGGCCCCATTGTGTGATGTTCCCCACCCTGTCTCCAAGTGTTCTCATTGTTCAATTCCCACCTATGAGTGAGAACATGCAGTGTTTCGTTTGCTGTCCTTGTGATAGTTTGCTCAGAGTGATGGTTTCCAGCTTCATCCACGTCCCTACAAAGAACATGAACTCATCCTTTTTTATGGCTGCATAGTACTCCATGGTGTATATGTGCCACATTTTCTTAATCCAGTCTATCACTGATGGACATTTGGGTTGGTTCCAAGTCTTTGCTATTGTGAATAGTGCCGCAGTAAACATATGTGTGCATGTGTCTTTATAGCAGCATGATTTATAATCCCTTGCGTATATACCCAGTAATGGGATGGCTGGGTCAAATGGTATTTCTAGTTCTAGATCCTTGAGGAATCGCCACACTGTCTTCCACAATGGTTGAACTAGTTTACAGTCCCACCAACAGTGTAAAAGTGTTCCTATTTCTCCACATCCTGTCCAGCATCTGTTGTTTCCTGACTTTTTAATGATTGCCAGAATGGCTTAAACTTTCTAAAATCACATAGGCATATTCTCCAAGTCTGTTCTTGGATAGCCAAGGTTTCCAGACCTCAGGGGTGTCTCAGTGAGGGCTGCTAGAAAATTCTTTCCTGCACACAACTCACCCGAGTTCCTGATTCTTTTATTTAGATCTGTACCTAAGGGCTAGTTTTTGGTCATCGTAAGGCAGATCACATTCTAACAAACTGATCCTGTTCATCTGCTGCATTCTTTACTTCCTGAGTTCTGCAGATACCATTCATCAAACTAAAGTGCAGAGAAAACACTGAACTAGGAATACATTGTTAGATGGATCCCCAGTTCAGAAACTTAAAAATGTGGGGGGAAAAATTTGTCTTATGATAAGGTACTTATGTGCTACTGGAGACAGTTACATTAAGGATATAGCTTTAAATTCGACTGCCTTGGGTTTAAATCCTGGCTCTGCCATGGATGGATGAACTTGAATAAGTTATTTAACCTCCCTGTGCTTCATAGTTCTCGTCTTTAAATCAGGATCATAGGAACTCCTTCCCAATTTTTTAAGAGACTCAAAATAATGTTCATCAAGCATCAATATTCTCATCATTGTTCTAAGATCTGGGCTAGAGATTCAAAATATGACAATTGTCAATACACAGAAACTAGGTACAGGAGTAAACATGGTGATTAAGAATTTGGAACTTGATACCTGGGTTTCAATTTCAGCTCTGCTACTTCCTGGCTGTGTGACCTTGGGCTTATTTAACCTCTAAAGGCCTCAGTTTCCTTACTGGTAATGACAATATCACTGACTTCCAAGAGTTTTAAAAATCTTTAAATTAATTAATGTAAGCATTAACTTATATAAATGAGTTTAATATTTGGTATATGATATTCAATAAAATTATGTTTAAGCATAATTTTAAACAATTTTTTTTTAGAAAATGAAAAATAGTTACTGTGGAACAATATACATAAAATTTACTATTTAACCATTTTTAAGTGTACAGTTCAGTGGCATAGTACATTTGCATAGTTATACAACCATCACCACTATCTATCTCCAGAATTCTTACATTATCCCAAACTGAAACTCTGTACCCGTTAGTAATAACTCTCCCTTTCCCCTTCCTCCCATCCCAGCTCCTGGTAACCACTTTCCGTCTCTATGAATTTGCCTATTCTAAGTACCACCTTTAAGTGGAATCCTGCAATATTAGTTTTTTTGTGGCTGGCTTGTTTCCCTTGGCATAATATTTCCAAGGTTCTTCCATTCTGTAGCATGTGTACAATTTCATTTAAGGCTGAACAATATGCCATTGGATGAATATACCACATTTTGTATATCCATTCACTTGTTGATGGACATTTGGGTTGTCTCCACCTTTTGGCTGTTGTGAATGGACTGCTATGAACACTGATGTATACTATCTTTGCTGAAGTACAGCAACAGGGAGTGTGAGAGAGAGGGAGCCCCAACATTGAATGGGGCAGGCAAAGGAAGATGCTTTTTTAGAAAAGTGAGAGTCTTTGAAGGCTTGTAAGTACAGGTAGGGTTTGATCACATTCACAGGAGGTTTGTAAAACTTGTCAAGGGTCCGATTGAGGACAGTGGCATTGGTCTCAGGGAAGAGTGAATATATATGTTCACTGAAGAAGTATCACAAAAAGAGATCATACCAGCAAGAAAGACCATAAATCAGAACTTCACAACCCCTTTGAGAAGGATTTCAAATTCCATGCTAAGCCTATTACATCACAACTTTAGTCTTCATTGCTGCCCCAAGAAGTATCATCTCTACTTAGCAGATGGGGGAGCAGCATCATTCTGTAACTTCAACAATTTCCGATAACTAGCAAGAGGTCAAACTGACATTTTATCCCAAGCCTGCCTCCTCCTAAAGCCAGGGTTCAAAAAGTAATGTGTTCAATGCCAGTCCTGAATGAGACAAGAACTCATTTCACATTCAGCAAAGACTCTTCTGAAGGCTTGTCTCTGGCCTGATTCTCTCTCAGTGATTTCTGCCCTTAAGGCATTACCAGAATCAAAGGGAGCCCTTTGAGTGTCTAATGAACTTGACACATTTATATTCATATATTTTTAGTTTGCCAAGGGGACCTGAACAACAGCTCAGCATCTGATTTCCCTGATCTTTTCTTTACTAAATTTTCAAGTTATGCTCTATGGATCACAGCACAGTAAAAGCCATACAAAGAATAGATCAGAGGCTGGGAATTTTCATGACCATCACCCCCTCAGTATGAGTTTCTATAAAACAAGGTAATTCAGGAAAGAAAATCACTTCTAATTAATTATTTGCTCTTCAAAAATATGGATGTTTATAAATCAGGCATGTGGCACAATTGTGACACATACCATATAATTTACTACTTGCAAGTCAGTCCCTAAAATTCCATTTCCTCCTGGGAAATTTCACTCATTCACTCATGACCAGTGAGAGACACATGAGTAGCCTACACCCTGCCTTTATTTCCTTCTAGAATACTTGACACATGACAGATTTGTGGGTGACTCCTCAATAATTAAGGTGTTACAAGTTGAAAAGCCATTTCAAGGGATGCAATAGGTAAAAATAATTTTCTTTCTATAAAATGGTTATGATGCCAGGTATAATTCTTTAATGTGATATGTGACTGTTTTTGCATGCTATAAAATACCTTATATGTATAAAAGATATCATTTGTATTGTAAATGGACCATGTTTTACATTTGATTTTACAAAGTAGATAGCACTTTGCTTTAGAAAGCTATTGGTGTACCCTGTTAAAATCTAAATTAATTTTTTAGCTCCTTTTTTTTTTTTTTTTTTTTTTTGAGACAGAGTCTCTATTGCCCAGGCTGGAGTGTAGTGGCGTGATCTCAGCTCACCACAACCTCTGCCTCCCAGACTCAAGAAATCCTCCTGCCTCAGCCTCCCAAGTAGCTGGGACCACAGGTGCATGCCACCAGGCCTAATTTTTTGTATTTTTAATAGAGACGTGATTTTGCCATGTTTCCAAGGCTGGTCTTGAACTCCTGGGATCAAGCGATCCACCTATTTTGGCCTCCCAAAGTGCTGGGATTACAGGCGTGAGCCAACACACCCAGCCAGCTTTTTCTTTTAGCATGCTTACAATCCCAAGAAACAGACATATTTGATCATGGGGTTAAGAGGCAATTCAGACATGAGTTTCTCAACTTCAGCACTATCACCATTGACATTTCGGTTCAGCGAATTTTGTTGTGAGAGACTATCCTGTGCATTTTTGGAGGTTTAGCAGCATCCCTGGCTTCTACCTACCTCTACCTCCCAATCGTGGAAATCAAACATTGTGTATGTCCCCTGAGAGACAAAGTTGCCTCTGATCGAGAACCACAGCTCTAGATAATGGAGTCGGAAAGGCTGGTGCATCATCAGGGATGATAGGAAGTTCTACATTATTGCAAGTCCTTCAGTATGGTTTCTACTTGGAAAGAAGAGGTATGAGCTTCTGTTTACAGAGGGCCTTGAATTACTCTAATCATCAAATATTCATGTTACAAAAACCTTGCAAAATGCAAGTTTCTAAATAAATGTCAAGAGTTCAGATGGCATTCAGTGAATGATTCCAAGAGGAGCACAGTGTTTCTTTAATTAAAAGCAAGCAAAAATGATAACTAATTAAATGTCATGATGCAACAGGGAAATGTGGGAAAGAAAGAGCTCTGTAGGAAACTGTACCAGAGAATTCGAATCTGAATTTGAGGACAGAGGCCTATATGGAAAGTTAAGGGCAACTTGCACTACTGCAGAGCCAGGTTCAAACAATACCAAATAGTAGAACACTAGCAAAAATGCATCCATAGAAGGGGACCTTTAACGTCCTTTTAAAGGGAAGGAAACCACAGTAAATTTAATTGCCAACATATGTTGCTATTATTAAAAATAATAATAACTAGCAATGCATGAGTGCCTCCTCTGTGCCAGGGAGTTTGCTAAGCACTTTACTGAACACTATCTCACTGAATTAATCTTGTGTGGAGGGCACTAGCCAAGCACACAAAATCCTTTTTTTTTTCTTCAAGAAATTGATAGTTTGCATTTCTAAAAAAGCATTGAATGAGTCTCAGAGGAAAACTTGGAATGTTGCTGAATTGGTATTGTTTTTATCTTATATTATGTAACGGGAAAGAGTAGGCAGCACCACAATTTTTTCGTTATTCAAAAGCTATGAAGCTTTGGCCCTAGCCAGTAGGTCTCCACTGCCATTTCTTTTTCAAATAGCGGCCATGAGATAATTCCACGAGGAGGCACAAATGAAGGCATATAAGTTTAAGTGAGATTGGACACAGCTCTCCCTCCTACCCTGAACTTGCTCTGAACCACTTGACTGGAACATCTCCTGTCCATCCTGGATGCACTGCCCGTTGCAAATCTCCATTGTTGTTTTGATGTGAACTTTGTGTCCGATTCCATATCATCACTCCCCGGGATATTTCTACCCAGGTTGAAAACACACATCCCACTTCCAGGCAGCTGCTTCATGTTTCCTGGATGGCCCAGTAATGTGTTTGTTTAGCTCACTTCTAGTTAGGCTATAGATTTTGCCAGTGGCCTTTTAAACACCGGCCTCAGAATGTTTGTTTTTTTAAGTTTTTGTCTTATCTCACTTCCTCTCAAAAGGCCTCACTTTTCACAGCTTGGCTGAAGCCTGAATAAGCAGCTCTTCTGTGAGCTCTGCCTAGATATCTTGCCAAAATGTGGGGCTAAACTATTTGCAGTTTGAAAATCATAACCATTCTGCATTGTAGTATTTCATCAAATGGCCAAGAGAACAATCCAAGATCGTGGACAAGAGTACAGTAAACTGCCTTAGCAGTGGTCTGTCTCTCCACACCCCGGTCTTACAAGTGCATAGCTGTGTGCAGTGTGCTGATTCTCAAATGCATGGGAAGCCCCTGGGGAACTTGTTGAACTGCAAATTCTCCGTCCACATCCTCAGAGATTCAGACTCAAAACAGCTGCAGGGGGTGGGGGGTGGGGTGTTGCACGGAGCGGGGCTGGAACTCTGTCTTTTTAACAAACACTCCCCTCATCGTTTTGATGAAGTGGTTTGTAGATGTGAACATTGAAGAAAACCCCAGTAAACTGGTAAAAATTGGACACTTCAATGTCTCAGATCTGGCTTTGATTCCTAGCTAGGCCACTGCCTAGTTGAGTAAAACTTCTGAACTCCAGTTTCTTTCAAAAGTTGATGAAATGAAAACATTTGTGAGAATTCAATGGGCTTGACACAATGTGAACATTTAATAAATGGTAGCTTTTATTTTTAAATCATTGTTTTCTAAAGAAACACAAAAGAAAGGACCATAGCTACAAACTTATTAATAGTCTTCTATGAGGAGAAATTGGTCTTTAGTTTGTAAATATAAAGGGAAAACTTGAACAAAAGCATGAAGGATAGAAAGCAAATGTCTAGCTCTGTTATTCTGATGATATACAGCACATATCTGGAGAGGGTGGTACCCTCTCCAGCCTCATCTCCAGTCGGTATCCTTCTGGAGGTGTCTTGATTTCCTTTCCTCAGGGAAGTGGCCTTCCTGACCCCTACGTTAAATACACAGCGCCAGTTCCTTCTTCCTGATGCCTTCATTATGTGTTATTGTTAATTACTAGTTGATGTCTGTCTTCCTGCTAGTCTGAGCTCCACCAAAGGATGGGGTCTTGTTGCCTATACATAGCCTTATTTCCAAGGTACATAGTATGAGACTGATACGTATATTTTGTGAGAACAAATAATCGTAAGAATTTTTTTTTTTAATTCAATTATGGAATGGAAAGTCTTGGGGGATACTGCCTTACTTGTCACAGCTGATCCATTCAAAAGGACCACTTGGATATCTTGCCAAGGAAATCAGTGAACGCAGTGACTCTTAAGTTTTTTTTCCCAACTGGCCAAATCGTTTTCTGGAGCACCTAAAGGAAATCTTGGGCAGTTTCTTGAAGAAGGACAAAGTCCTAATCAAGAGCTCTGTTTTGCAATTTGCATGGAGCTAGACAAATTGCACAAGGAAACACCAGATGACAACATCAATTTTAATTAGGTCTCAGTGAAACACCTGAAGGTACTATTTAAATGATGTACTGCTTCAGCCCACAGGACCTCCAAACGGTGAAAGGGAGAATTAATGGGGTAGGGACAGAATGATTTTATTTATCAATCTAGTCACAGCTCTGCTGTATTCAAATGTTTTTTTCCTTATTCGTATGGAGAAATTTTAACTGGGCATTAATATCCCCATAGAGGAAAGGTGATTCGCCAGCTGAAAGAATTAAGCATTCTACCAGACCTAGTCTCAAAAGTTGGAGAAACTGCAAAAATCACACATTATTTCAAGTCCGGAAAAGCTGAGCTAATATTTTTTTTCTCCATTGTCTTTCCTTTTCTGGTTCTGGCCCCAAACAGAAAGCCCCTTTTATACCCTTTTAAATGTGTTTCTAGGGGGAAAAAGATACTTTCCAAGTGGAAGTAGAAAACAGAAAATAAATGCAAAATTCTATTTCTTTGGCATGTAGACTTCATATGAATTCTGCTCAGATGGCTGGAGTTTCCATTACTGCAAAATAAAGGGCTACCTGGAAGCTTAGAAAAAGTGAGATTAAGAGGCTACATGATTCTTAGCCCTATGTTCTTAATCAATTTAGTTGTTATTACAACTTAACTAGACTTCATCAACAGAACAATCCCTGTTACTGAATATTTATATTCCATTTTCAAAGAAAATCAGCAAAGTAACAAGAAATCACAGTTAGATGTAAAGCGAGTATACATGTCTAAAATATATCTTCATTTATTTGGCAAAGTCATGAAGCTGCCATTTTAAAGAGAATTCTGCATGTTCCTCTATTCATTTACTTGAGACTATTTGTTTTCTTTCTTCTGAGAAAAGAAAAATACACTGAAAACGAAGACAAACTATTTTCTGGCGAAGTGCTAACTGCTCCAGCTGCAGACTGCCTCTGAGTTCCGGGAAGTCATTTTGCAAAGGCTTTGGACTCAGGTGGATGAAAGCCCCTGAATAGCCCATTAGTAGTTTCAGCTTTATCAGGCCGATCGCTTGCCATAAGTAAAAGAAAAAAGCCAGTGTGGGGACAACCATATCATCAGGTGGGAGAGGATCAGAACCCATTCTACACCACACATTCAGTGAAGCGTGGGTGCAGCAGTGAGAGAGAGATTACTGTAGCAATTTGCAAAGCGTATTCCTCAGGTGATATTCTATGGTCGAAAAGCTTTGGCGCAATAATTCTATGCTATTTCTGCTTGTGGAAAGTCGCAATATATTTTTATCAGTTACAGGCCCTAGGAATTCCTGAAATGACATATACCTTTTAAAAAACTTGGTTTTCCCCAAATTCATCTGACTCCTCTTTATTTTATAGCACACGTATTAACAGTAACGGGCCTTCCACAGAAAAATAGTACCTTGAGCTATAAGCCCCTCTCCAACTCCCACCCCCTGGCCCTTGTTTTTTTTTTTTGTTGTTTTTTTTTTTTTTTTTTTGGACTTTATTTAATGAGAGGATGACCTATGGTAGTTCTAATGCTTCCTAGTTCTTTATATGTCTTTTTACATGGAAAAGGATAATAAAAATCATAGTAGTTGCATGCTAATGGCTATTAACTTCTTTTTCCCACTTAATGTTTTCTTACTTTCTTTACCTGCTATAAAAATATTCTGTCAATTCCTCTATTTTACTAATTTATGAAGTGCCTGCTGTCAGAAGTGCTGGCCCAGAGTGCTGTCAGAAGTGCTGGCCCATTACCTCTAGGGCTGAGGGGATCAATAGCATAGGGAAAACCAGCATACCATGGCTCAGCAGTTGGGAAATTCCACCCTGAGGAGCTAACAGGTATGCAGCGGTTGAACCCACCTGGCTATTGGGAATGTGTGTGTGCTGACTCTGGAGTCCTCTCCACTCACCATCGTTTGTTGTCTTCACGTACCTACTTTTTCCGAGTGTGAGATCAGATGTGAGCACTATGATTGGTGCCTTTTGTTTCACTGCCCACCCCACCCAAAACACTTTACAGGGTTCTGGTACTGTATCATTCAAATGACTACCCTCATTTCCTGTTTTAGGTACATTTCATTTTTCCTGTCTTGGTTTCTATAAGAGGCAGCAGAACAGATGCAGGAGAACTGGGGGATGATCTACCAGCAATCCCTGCAACATGTGGAGGATTTTCACTTCCTTTCAGTTTGGAGCAGGCTGTTCTCAGAGGATCCCTTCACCTTCCCCCACCCCACTGCCCTACTTACTTCCAAAGCAGACAGCCAGAATTTGATTTCACTATCGGAGCTACGCCTGCTGGGAAAGGGGAACCAAGTGGGTGGCCACTGTTAGGGAAAAGTTATATTCAAATGGGCTCATCGGAGCTGGTAGGATTCCAGGTGTTTTCCAGATAGACATATTAACGAATACCACATTTCTTATTTCCATTTTGAGATCTCTAGGCTCTTTTTTCCTTATTGTTTCCCAGTAGAATATATTGTCTCCTTTTATTTCCTTCAAAAGTAATCCATATTCATTGCTCAGAATTAAAACTATACAAACGAGCAAAACAAAACAAAAATTGCTCATAAAGTCACCACCCAAATAGAATCATAGTTAACATTATAATGTGTTTCTCCCAATCTTTTTTCATGCATTAGCATTCAAAGTTTGTTTTAAAACATTGAAATATTTGTGCATAATGTATGATAAACATCATCTCCCACCTAAATATATATCTCAATTATCTTTAGAAGCCATGAAATATTCTTCTATAATTTCTAGAGGCTGTATAACCTCTCTTCTGTGTGCCACGTGATGTATTTGATCCCTTCTTTTACATAATCCAAAGTAGTGATTCAAAGTATGGGGTTTCCCCCTATAATAAACATAGTTATAGTTAATACTTTATAACAAAATATTTGTGTACACATCTTTGATTTTGTACTATTTTTGCTTCATTTATTATGAAATATAACACACACACAGGAAAGTACATATACATACATTTGTATAGTTAGTTGAAATAATTATAAAAATAAATACCAATATAATTACCAATCCCAGCTCGTAAAAGATCATGGCCAGCAGTCCATGAGCCTGTCTCCTTCAAAACTCCCTCCTGTTCTTCTGGAGGGACTACCATTGTGATTTCCTTTTTCATTTTACCTCTTATAAATGAATCCCCCAAAATGTTCATTTTTGAACTTCTATGGATATGGATTCATATTTTTGTGTCTGGCTTCTTTGGTTCCGTATATGTTGGTTAAACTTATCTATGTAACTTGTTCATTTTCATTATTGCATAGCATACCATTGTATGAATATGCCATAATTTTTCCATTCTATGTGGGATGGGTTCCCAGATTTGCACAATTACAGGCTACAATAATCCTAGGGCATGTGTGTACCCATTTTTCTAAAGTACACACCCAAGATTGAAACAATTGAGGATAAGTTGTCTTCAGCTTGAGTAGACAACAAAAAAAGTACCATTTACACCAGCTGTGTATGAGGGTTCCCAATGTTTTACATTCTCTCAACATTTGGTATTTTCAATTTAAAGTGATTTGTCAATATTAGATAAGCAAAAGTATTTCATTTTTGTTTTTATATACATATTCCAGGTTCATAATAAGGTTGAGCACCTTTTCATGCACAGAATTTATTGGTCATTTGAGTTTCCTCTTTTATAAAGGAAGAGACTGGAGTCTTTTGCAGATATTTTTCTATTGTATCGTCCCTCCTGTGATTTAGAAGAGTTCTTCATATCTTCTCAAAAGGAGCCCTTTGTTGGTTATACAGGTTTCAGATATCTTCTCCCAATCGATGGCTCATCTTTACAATCTTTTAATAGTTATCTTTCTGATGAACAGTTTTTTAAAAATGTAGTAAACTCTATAATCTTTTCCTTAGAGTCAACATTTTTGTGTTTTAAGACATTCTTTACTACTTTTCACTCATGAAAATGTTCCTCTATATTATTTTCTAAGTTCTATAGTTTATCCTCTCCTATTATCCTCTTCTATTCTAAACTAGTTGGATTATTTTGTGTATTGTGTGAAACAGGTGTAACTTTTTTCTCATCTTTTGAAAAATAAAAATGTGTGAAAATCATTTTTTATATTGTGTAAAATAGATGTGTGATTTTTTTCTCTTTTAAAAAATACATGAATACTCAATTTTCCTGGCAATATTTATTAAAGTCTGTACTTTCCCTACCAAACTGCCATGTAACCGCTGCCATTCAGCAAATGGCTGTAACACAGGCTGTAACACTGAACTTGCAGTGTCCCACTGGTATTTTGGCCTATCTCTGACTGCAGTTACTTCTAACTTAATAGTCACTCTTGATACGTGGTAGGGGATGTCCCCTCATAGTGTTCTTGTCTCTTATTTATCCTTTGAAACTCCATATACATTTTAGAATCAGCTTGTTGTGGGCAAAAAAATTGGGGAATTTCATTGTGATTTCATCAGAGGACAATTTTATATTTACAGTATCGAGGCTCCCAATCTAAGATCATTTATCTAGGTATTCTTTAATACCTATTAATAACATTTTATAATTTTACTCAAGTCCTGCAACTCTTTTGTTAGACTTATTCTCACATATTTTTGATGCCATTATGAATGCTGTCTTTTTAATTGTTTATCTTCTGGTTTCTAGTATATAGTACTATAATTGATTCTTGTGTATTGATTTTCTATCCAGATTTTATCTCTTAATCAAAATAATATATCTGAAGTTTCTTTGGGATTTCATACATATAAAATAGTATCATTTTAATAAGACAATTCTGGTTTTTCCTTTCTAATCTTTATGCTTTTTCTTTTCTTTGCCTCACTGCAGCGACTGGAACCTGCAGTATAATTCTGATAAAAAGTGGTAATAGTGGGCATTTTTGTCTTTATCTTGATCTCAAAATGGGGATTTGCTATCACTTATAATGGGGTGTTGTGGATTTTATCAGATGAAGGAAATTAACTCTCTGATCCCAAGTTTTGCTTCAGAATTTTTTAAAATCATGAATAAATGTAGATTTTTTTTTCCAAATGGGTTCTCTATAAGCTTAAAGATAACCTTATACATTTTTTTCTTTTAATATGTTATCGTTGTCCATTGTTTTACAACAAACTACGCAAGTAGTAAGTGGATTGAAATAACTACCATTTTTATTATGTTTCACAAATCTGTGGGTGAAAGGGGTCAGCAAGATGGTTCTTTTGCTTTTGTTTGGGTGCTCTCTTGCCATTGTAGTGAGACAATGTCTGGGGCTGCAAACATCTGGAAGTTTAATTTGGATGTGGGACTGTCCAAGATGGCCCATTACATGTCTGGTGCCTTGGTTGGGATGGCTAGAAGTCTCAATATAGCTGGTATAATGAAATGACTGAGGCTGTCCTTTCCATGTAGTCTCAGACCTCATTCTCTCTACGTGGTCTCTACAAGGTCTTCCCAGCTGGATAGGTGAACTTCTTACATGGTGGCTAAGGGATCCCAAAGTGCACAAGTAACACTGCCAAGCCTTCTTGAGGCATGCTTCTGGAATAGGCACAGCTTCTCTTCTGCCATGTTGAATGGGTTATAGAAGTCACAGGCCAGCCCATATTCAGTGAGTGAGGAATTTCATGGGGATGTGATGCCAAAGGTCACCTTTAGAGACTATTACAATATATTAATGTGGTGAATTATAGCAATTAGCTTTTCTAATGTCTATTAACCTTACATACTTGGGACAAACCCGACTTGGTCATCACAAAGAATTATCTTTAAGCCTAATATATTACTTGCTTAGCTTGGCTCATTTTGATTTTTTTATCATAATGCATTTCAAGAAAAATAGTAAATCATCTTTGCCCTAAAAAGAATCTGGTATGATACTTGATATGGTCTGGCTCTGTGTCCCCACCCAAATCCCATCTTGAATTGTGATCTGAATTGCAATCCCCACGTGTTGGGGGAAGGACTTTGTGGGAGTTGATTAGATCTTGGGGTGGTTCCCATCTGCTGTTCTTATGATAGTGAATTCTCAGGAGATCTGATAATTTTATAAAGGATTTTCCCCCACTTCACTCTGCACTTCTATCTTCTGCTGCCATGTGAAGGACATGTTTGCTTCCCCTTCTGCCGTTATTGCAAATTCCCTGAGACCTCCCCAGCCATGCAGAACTGTTAGTCAATTAAGCCTCATTCCATTATAAATTGCCCAGTTTCAGGCAGTTCTTCACAGCAGCATGAAAAGGGACTAATACAATACTCTTATATGATGAAAGTAGTTGAAACAGCAAGTTCTCTCCTTTCCGAATATATGTCCTGAGACTAAACTTCTTTGATTTCTCCATGGAGGGGATAGGACATTGGGCCGATCTCATTGCTCCCAGCCTAGCAGGCATCAGAACCTTAGAAGCCATGATTTCACTCAGTGAGTCACTGTCACATTGGCACATCCTATTCCCTGTTGATGGTGCCACCTTTTACACAAAGGCACTCAGCACATCCTGCACTGGCAATGAGATGAGTCTCCCTGGCTGCCCCTTCCTCTATGCGACCTCACAATGATTGCATTGGAAGGATTATGACAGCAACTTCCTGCAGTCCCATGGTGCCCAACAAATTGAGGGTGACTCAGTGCCTCAGACAAGGAGGTAAATGTTTCTTTTCAATGATTATAATCGTCACTCTTTCCTGTCCCCTCCTCCCCACAGTTGCTGATACTATATTCCATTATGTTTATAAAAATATTAAGGGACATTAGTATAAGGTGATTAGGATAATATTTAGTTACTATTATAATATATTCTGTTTGAAATACTATAACTTAAGATGTTCCAGACATTGCACCACAGACTTTATACATTGTGGTGGACAAAACATGGCCAGAAATTTATCAACATTTCTGCAATTCAGAGGTAAGTCTCTGACCTTTCCCTTTGGAGCCAGTTGAGCACTGTAACAGCAGTGAGCAGGAGGATATGGAGGAAGCGATGCTGTGGCTGTTTCCAGGGCTTAATAGACTAGCAGCTTCTACTTCCTCTCTCTTGGAACATTCACTCAGAGAAAAGCCAGCTGCCATATGAGAAGTCAGCAACCTTGAGCCCACCATGCTGTGAGGAAGCCCAGGGTAGCCACAAGAGAATAGAGAAACCTAGCTAGACACCATCAGCTATTCTAGCCATCCCAGCCCAGACACCAGACATATGAGTGAAGAAGTCATCAGATGATCCAGGCTTAAATGCCCACTGCCTGCAACCATGTAAAGGACTCTAAGGGAGAAGTACCTAGCCGAGCCTATCAACTCCCTGAACCATACAAGATCAATTGTTTTGAGCCACTAAATATTGGGGTAATTTTTTTTTTTGAGACATTGTCTCACTCTCTCGCCCATACAAGATCAATTGTTTTAAGCCAGTAAATATTGGGGTAATTTTTTTTTTTTTGAGACGTTGTCTCACTCTGTCGCCCAGGTTGGACTGCAGTGGCGTGATCTTGGCTTACTGCAAGCTCCGCCTCCCGGGTTCAAGCCATTTTCCCACCTCAGCCTCCCGAGTACCTGGGACTACAGGTACATGCCACCACGCCTGGCTAATTTTTTGAATTTTTAGTAGAGATGGGGTTTCACCGTGTTAGCCACGATGGTGTCGATCTCCTGACCTCGTGATCCACCCGCCTCCGCCTCCCAAAGTGCTGGGATTACAGGCGTGAGCCACCGTGCCCTGCCCAGAGTTTTATTATTACTCAAATCAGTTTCCCTGAGCATTTGAGCAGCAGAGGTTTTGTGTGTTCTGTTTTTTGTTTTTGTTTTTTTTTTTTTTGAGATGGAGTCTCGCTCTGTCGCCCAGGCTGGAGTGCAGTGGCGCAATCTCAGCTCACTGCAAGCTCTACCTCCGAGGTTCACACAATTCTCCTGCCTCAGCCTCCCCAGTAGCTGGGACTACAGGCGCCCGCCACCACACCCGGCTAATTTTTTTGTATTTTTAGTAGAGACGGGGTTTCATGGTGTTAGCCAAGATGGTCTCGATCTCCTGACCTCGTGATCCTCCCGCCTTGGCCTCCCAAAGTGCTGGGATTACAGGCGTGAACCACCCCACCTGGCTGGTAATTTTTATGCCTCAATAGAAAACAAGAATATTTGTTATTTCATTTTCACTAAATCTCTGTAAGATAGGGCTATCATTATGCTTATTTTACAGATGAGGAAACAGAGATTAAGTGATTTCCTCCAGTCCGATTAAATTATAATAGAGCTGATATTTGAACTCCAGCCTATGTGATTCCAAAGCCTGCAGGTGTTTAGCAGGCATGGTGCAGTAATTTTGATCCTTCTTTTAACAGATATAAAAGCAGTATTGGTTTGTGCTCATAGGATATTTGCAGCCTGCTAAGATAAAAATGACAATAATGACAGCAAAGGAGGGAATATTTGGTGAATTTGTTTGATTTTACAAAAATAAACTATGTTCCTATTCTAAGACTGAATGTAGTGAGGGAGGCTTCTGTGAAAATTTGGAAAGTGTGAGGGAGGCGGTAAGGGAGAGTTCATATACCATGCTAGTTTGTCTCCTAAGCCCCATGTGCCTTTTCTTATAAATCAAAGTGCTCCCATCAGTCAATGGGGATTTTGATACTTAAGGTAATATCAACAATCCGGATCTTTCTTTAGTCCAAGCATTTTAGGGCTGTCTTTAGTGACTAGCAATGTTTGGTAGCTCTAGATTTAGAGTGTCACTGAATTCAATTAAGAAAGAAGATGCAAGAGGCCCAGGAAAAGATCACTTCAGGTTTAGTAACAGCTAATAAGTGGGTCTCAATTGGGATGCACATGATAATCACCTGGAGAGCTCTGAAAACTCATGATGCCTTGGCCACACCCCAACAAATTACACGGGAATTTCTGGGAGTGGGATCCAGGCATCAATATTTATTGCAAGGTCCCTAGATGATTCGAATGTGCTGCTGAGGTTGAGGGCCAATGCCCAGTAGACTAGATTTGGGAGCACTGAAAATGCAGTCCTGTAAGACATATGCTCACCAGCCCTCCTCCTTCCTATCTTAGTCTCTTCTCTCTTGGGTCCAGAAGTTGATTCATTTGTTCATGTGACAGTTATTTAGTGAACATCCACTACGTGCTAATTTGGAGTCATAGTGATACCGACATAAAAGATTATAGGAGGAGAAATCAGCCATTTTATGGATAAAGATAAGTTGAATTTTGGTCTTGTTGTGTTTGAGGTGCTGTGGGACCTCCTGGTAGAGAGATTCAGAGAGTACAGATGTCTAAAGCTTAGAGTGAATGAACTGGACTGCAGTTCAGGGTGAATGAAAATCCTAAGCATGAATATGGTTGGTTTTGGATGCCACTGGATATATCCCACTCCTGTGAGGAGTAGTTGCTCAGTATGGGTAGGGGTCCCACCACTAGGGCAGTGTGAAAAAAAAATCACATCTATGGGGAAGATGGGTGATGCATGCCATAGAACTTGAAAGAACTCTTCCAGGCAGTTCTCGTGTGTGTCCCCAAGAACAGTACCAACTCTGCTCCTCCCCCTCCAAAAACTCAAGTAAAATGTAACTGAAAACCATTGCATTAGAATATAGGCCATGATTCATGTGACTGGTACGGTCTTTGAGTAGATATTTTCCCACTGTTAAAGTTATTTAAGATATTATCTCTTCCACTACCTTTTTTATGGTCTGCAAAGACCTATGCAAACTGGTTCTCAGCTACCACAGGATGTCATTTCCTTCTGTGCTTTACTCCTCACTCATTCCCTTTGCTACAGCCACCCTGACCTTTCTATGTGTCTTTTGAATTTACAAGGCTCATTCCTATTTGGGGACATTGGCACTTATTACTCTTACTGTTTAAGATTTTGCTCCCCCAGATCTTCCTGTAGCTCCTCCTGTCTTAGAATTAGGGTGTCACCCCCAAACCCAGATATCACCTTCTTAGAGAGGCTATGTCTACATACTATACTGACACCCTATTTTGCCTTCTTTATAGCTTCATATTTATACCTAAAACCTTTTTAAAAATTATCATTTTGTTTGTAGTATTGTTAGTTCTACAAGGACAAGACTTGTGAATTTCTAATTTCTAGTCCCAAATTAGTACATAGCAGATGACTATTGAGTAACTGTTGAGTGAGTGAATGTATGAGTGAGTGAATGAGTGAGTGAGTGAGTGAATGAATGTATGAGTGAGTGAATGAATAAATGGTCCCCTGACACAGGAGAGGGGACCAAGAAAGGAAGAAGGAGGACTGGTGAGCATGTGTCTTACAGGACTAAATTTCTAGTGCTTCCAAATCTAGTCTACTGGGCAATGGCTCTCAACCTCATTTACACATTAGAATCATCTAGGGACCTTGAAATAAAGTGCTGATACCTGGATCCTACTCCCAAGATTCCAGTGGGTCTCTTGCACTTTCTCACTTAAGTGAATTCTGAGGCTCTAAATCTAGACCACCAAGCAATACTAATCACTGAAGACATCCCCAAAACACTTGGTCTAAAAAGAAAGATCCAGACTACTGCTTTTTATGTTAAATATCAAAGTTCCAATGACCGGTGGGAACTTTTTGGTTTATAAGAAAAGATATACGGAACTTTTGTTAGAGGACAAACATAGGAATGGTAAATGAGACAAATTGAGAATTTTCCACATTAGCATCTGCCTTGGTCATTGAACATTAAAATAGAATAGGGAGAGTAACTTAACAGTCCTCCTGGGAACAGGAGTGGGTTTTGACATTTTGAAGGTCACATCTCTGTCCCCAAGGGAAGCACAGAGGAAAAGGGAATCAGGTTCATTCCCTAAGCCCATCTCTTGGCTTGTATGGGAAAGGTACCAATGGCATTGATGGAGCCTGTGGAGCACCATGCTGATTGAGAAAAATATTAAAGCAGCGAAACTCTCTTTTCAAAGGGAATCAAACTGTAATCCCAATTTCTAAAACTGATCAAAGAGGAGCAGTTCTGTTTGAAATAGAGTTTGTAGCCTGGAGGCCAGCTCAGTCCAGGCTGCGTCACACAATCCCTATCCCCAGGTGGCCCTGTAAGACTGAAGCCTAAGGCTCTGCCAAATGTAATTTGAAAAACACTGTTCCAGACCATGCTTTCAAGAGGAGCAGTTGTACATTTCTCCTGGTTCGGAAAGCCTCCCATCAGAAAAGCTAAACTAATGACTAATAGATAAGGGGTAGTGTGGTTTCTTTGGTATCAGTGTTGATCATGGTATTGAGATTAACCAGGTTGGACCCTTTCTAAGGACATTTCAGTGTACATAAGCATCGTTCCCATAGAGTGTCCCCAGCATCCCTGGGCACATACATTATCAACTTAGCATCCATACAGAAAGAAAGTAAAATGTAGATTCTGATTCAGTGGATCTGGGACAGGGCCCCAGCTCTCCATTTCTGATAAGGTCCCTTGTGCTGCCATTGCTTTGAATACTAGGGTTTCAAACCAGAATTGGTGCATCGGAATCTCTTGCGAGACTTATTAAAAATGCAGATTTTTGGCCCCATCCCAGAGCTTCTGGATCCAGCTCTCTGGTTATGGGTCTGGAGGTTTTTGTTTTTAACAGGCTCCCAGGTTTTTCTGATATTCACTATATTTGACAGCTATACTCTAGCATGTGTTTACTTACATAGCTTACTCTTGAAGAACCCAGGAAGAGAGTCTGAGACTCAACAACTGGCAGTGCTGGAGGGGGGTTTGGAGATCATCTAGCTTACCCTCGTTGATTAGAAAATGGAGGTCCCAAAGGGCAAACAATTCTGCCAAGTGTCTGTCACCAACTGGCTTTACAGCAAGCAGATACCAGAATGAAAGCATCTGACTTTCTAATCCTCAGTTTCCCCTAGAACACAATTGGCCTGCGTTTGTGATTGCTTCTCTATCTGTGCTGCTTATGAGGCCAGAGACCTTGTTTTCTGCTGTATTCCCAAAGTCCAGCACAGTCCCAGGCACAGGGAAGGCACTAAGTAAATATTACTGTTGTGTCCTCCTCCTATGCTTGGGCCTAATCAGTTACTTCCAAAATTTATTATTAAAAGTTCTCAAGTGATAAAAATAAAAATTCTACAGCTCAGGAAAAGCAGGGAAAATTTTTATTTATTTATTTTTTATCTTTTTATTTTTTAAATATCAAAATTTTTTTTATTTTTTAATTTTTTTAAATTTTATTATTATACTTTAAATTTTAGGGTACATGTGCACAATGTGCAGGTTAGTTACATATGTATACATGTGCCGTGCTGGTGTGCTGCACCCATTAACTTGTCATTTAGCATTAGGTATATCTCCTAATGCGATCCCTCCCCCCTCCCCCCACCCCACAACAGTCCCCATAGTGTGATGTTCCCCTTCCTGTGTCCATGTGATCTCATTGTTCAATTCCCACCTATGAGTGAGAACATGCGGTGTTTGGTTTTTTGTCCTTGCGATAGTTTACTGAGAATGATGATTTCCAATTTCATCCATGTCCCTACAAAGGACATGAACTCATCATTTTTTATGGCTGCATAGTATTCCATGGTGTATATGTGCCACATTTTCTTAATCCAGTCTATCATTGTTGGACATTTGGGTTGGTTCCAAGTCTTTGCTATTGTGAATAGTGCCACAGTAAACATACGTGTGCATGTGTCTTTATAGCAGCCTGATTTATAATCCTTTGGGTATATACCCAGTAATGGGATGGCTGGGTCAAATGGTATTTCCAGTTCTAGATCCCTGAGGAATCGCCACACTGACTTCCACAATGTTTGAACTAGTTTACAGTCCCACCAACAGTGTAAAAGTGTTCCTATTTCTCCACATCCTCTCCAGCACCTGTTGTTTCCTGACTTTTTAATGATCGCCATTCTAACTGGTGTGAGATGGTATCTCATTGTGGTTTTGATTTGCATTTCTCTGATGGCCAGTGATGGTGAGCATTTTTTCATGTGTTTTTTGGCTGCACAAATGTCTTCTTTTGAGAAGTGTCTGTTCATGTCCTTTGCCCACTTTTTGATGGGGTTGTTTGTTTTTTTCTTGTAAATTTGTTAGAGTTCATTGTAGATTCTGGATATTAGCGCTTTGTCAGATGAGTAGGTTGCAAAAATTTTCTCCCATTCTGTAGGTTGCCTGTTCACTCTGATGGTAGTTTCTTTTGCTGTGCAGAAGCTCTTTAGTTATTTAGATCCCATTTGTCTGTTTTGGCTTTTGTTGCCATTGCTTTTGGTGTTTTAGACATGAAGTCCTTGCCCATGCCTATGTCCTGAATGGTGTTGCCTAGGTTTTCTTCTAGGGTTTTGATGGTTTTAAGTCTAACATTTAAGTCTTTAATCCATCTTGAATTAATTTTTGTGTAAGATGTGAGGAAGGGATCCAGTTTCAGCTTTCTACATATGGCTAGCCAGTTTTCCCAGCACCATTTATTAAATAGGGAATCCTTTCCCCATTTCTTGTTTTTGTCAGGTTTGTCAAAGATCAGATAGTAGTAGATATGCAGCGTTATTTCTGAGGGCTCTGTTCTGTTCCATTGATCTATATCTCTGTTTTGGTACCAATACCATGCTGTTTTGGTTACTGTAGCCTTGTAGTATAGTTTGAAGTCAGGTAGTGTGATGCCTCCAGCTGTGTTCTTTTGGTTTAGGATTGACTTGGCATTGCTGGCTCTTTTTTGGTTCCATATGAACTTTAAAGTAGTTTTTTCCAATTCTGTGAAGAAAGTCATTGGTAGCTTGATGGGGATGGCATTGAATCTATAAATTACCTTGGGCAGTATGGCCATTTTCATGATATTGATTCTTCCTACCCATGAACATGGAACATTCTTCCATTTGTTTGTATCCTCTTTTATTTCGTTGAGCAGTGGTTTGTAGTTCTCCTTGAAGAGGTCCTTCACATCCCTTGTAAGTTGGATTCCTAGGTATTTTATTCTCTTTGAAGCAATTGTGAATGGGAGTTCACTCATGATTTGGCTCTCTGTTTGTCTGTTATTGGTGTATAAAAATGCTTGTGATTTTTGCACATTGATTTTGTATCCTGAGACTTTGCTGAAGTTGCTTATCAGCTTAAGGAGATTTTGGCCTGAGACGATGGGGTTTTCTAGATATACAATCATGTCATCTGCAAACAGGGACAATTTGACTTCCTCTTTTCCTAATTGAATACCCTTTATTTCCTTTTCCTGCCTAATTGCCCTGGCCAGAACTTCCAACACTATGTTGAATAGGAGTGGTGAGAGAGGGCATCCCTGTCTTGTACCAGTTTACAAAGGGAATGCTTCCAGTTTTTGCCCATTCAGTATGATATTGGCTGTGGGTTTGTCATATATAGCTCTTATTATTTTGAGATACGTCCCATCAATACCTAATTTATTGAGAGTTTTTAGCATGAAGGGCTGTTGAATTTTGTCAAAGGCCTTTTCTGCATCTATTGAGATAATCATGTGGTTTTTGTCTTTGGTTCTGTTTATATGCTGGATTACATTTATTGATTTGCATATATTGAACCAGCCTTGCATCCCAGGGATGAAGCCCACTTGATCATGGTGGATAAGCTTTTTGATGTGCTGCTGGATTCCGTTTGCCAGTATTTTATTGAGGATTTTTGCATCAATGTTCATCAAGGATATTGGTCTAAAATTCTCTTTTTTGGTTGTGTCTCTGCCAGGCTTTGGTATCAGGATGATGCTGGCCTCATAAAATGAGTTAGGGAGGATTCCCTCTTTTTCTATTAATTGGAATAGTTTCAGAAGGAATGGTACCAGTTCCTCCTTGTACCTCTGGTAGAATTCGGCTGTGAATCCATCTGGTCCTGGACTCTTTTTGGTTGGTAAGCTATTGATTATTGCCACAATTTCAGAGCCTGTTATTGGTCTATTCAGAGACTCAACTTCTTCCTGGTTTAGTCTTGGGAGAGTGTATGTGTCGAGGAATTTATCCATTTCTTCTAGATTTTCTAGTTTATTTGCGTAGAGGTGTTTGTAGTATTCTCTGATGGTACTTTGTATTTCTGTGGGATCTGTGGTGATATCCCCTTTATCATTTTTTTTGTGTCTATTTGATTCTTCTCTCTTTTCTTCTTTATTAGTCTTGCTAGCAGTCTATCAGTTTTGTTGATCCTTTCAAAAAACCAGCTCCTGGATTCGTTAATGTTTTGAAGGGTTTTTTGTGTCTCTATTTCCTTCAGCTCTGCTCTGATTTTAGTGATTTCTTGCCTTCTGCTAGCTTTTGAATGTGTTTGCTCTTGCTTTTCTAGTTCTTTTAATTGTGATGTCAGGGTGTCAATTTTGGATCTTTCCTGCTTTCTCTTGTGGGCTTTTAGTGCTATAAATTTCCCTCTACACACTGCTTTGAATGCGTCCCAGAGATTCTGGTATGTTGTGTCTTTGTTCTTGTTGGTTTCAAAGAACATCTTTATTTCTGCCTTCATTTCGTTATGTACCCGTAGTTATTCAGGAGCAGGTTGTTCAGTTTCCATGTAGTTGAGCGGTTTTGAGTGAGTTTCTTAATCCTGAGTTCTAGTTTGATTGCACTGTGGTCTGAGAGACAGTTTGTTATAATTTCTGTTCTTTTACATTTGCTGAGGAGTGCTTTACTTCCAACTGTGTTGTCAGTTTTGGAATAGGTGTGGTGTGGTGCTGAAAAAAATGTATATTCTGTTGATTTGGGGTGGAGAGTTCTGTAGATGTCTATTAGGTCCGCTTGGTGCAGAGCTGAGTTCAATTCCTGAGTATCCTTGTTAACTTTCTGTCTCGCTGATCTGTCTAATGTTGACAGTGGGGTGTTAAAGTCTCCCATTATTATTGTGTGGGAGTCTAAGTCTCTTTGTAGGTCCCTCAGGACTTGCTTTATGAATCTGGGTGCTCCTGTATTGGGTGCATATATATTTAGGATAGTTAGCTCTTCTTGTTGAGTTGATCCCTTTACCATTATGTAATGACCTTTTTTGTCTCTTTTGATCTTTGTTGGTTTAAAGTCTGTTTTATCAGAGACTAGGGTTGCAACCCCAAAGCAGGGAAAATTTTTAAAAATCGTATGGTCCAAAGTAAGAATAGCAAAGTTCTTTTAAGAGTCTGAATATATAATAGTAAGCATTAAGAACATGGTCTATGGGAGGAAGAGGGGATGACTCTAGAATATAACTCTGGCTCCAATATTTGCTAATGTGTAAATTTTGCTCAGCTACTCTGAGTCTTGGTTTTCTCATGTGTAAATTGGAGACATTAGTAGATCCTATGTCATGGGGTTTTATGAATATTTAACTGGTAAATGTAAAATGTTTAACATGGTGCCTCGTACACAGTAAGTGCTTAATCCAGCAATCGTCCTGTTGATCACAAAAGCAAGATAATGGCCAGGTATGGTGGCTTACGCCTGTAATCCCAGCACTTTGAGGGGCTGAGGCAGGCCGATCACCTGAGGTTAGGAGTTCAAGACCAGCCTGGCCAAATGGTGAAACCCTGTCTCTACTGAAAATACAAAAATTAGCCAGGTGTGGTAGTGGGCACCTGTAATCCCAGCTACTTGGTAGGCTGAGGCTGTAGAATCACTTGAACCTAGGAGGCAGAGGTTGCAGTGAGCCGAGATTGTGCCTCTACACTCCAGCCTGGGCAACTGAGCGAGACTCCATCTCCAAAATAATAATAATAATAATAATAATAATAATAATAATAGTAATAATAATAATGATTCCATCAGTTATACCAGAAGCTAAAGTATTATGCTCCCCTTGCCAATTGCCTACTCTTAAGAACTGAAGATAGATCATCTCTGAAGACAAATGTGGCTTGGCACTGCTTCCTACGAGTACCTTTCTAAGGCATAGCATGTCACCTCTACAGGGTCAAGTAGCTACTGAGATGCTGAGGAACCAAGTTACTGAGCTGAGTCACTCCTAAGTGGCCAAGATGGCAGGAGGGCTGAATTCTCCACCTGGGACTCTTTGCAGGGTCCAAACATTGACTAGCTCGCTTAGAGGTGGGGCAAGGGCTCCTTGAGCAATGTGTTTCATTCTTTAGCCAGACAGTATGAGCAAGATATTTTTAGCCCAATTACCAAATGCAGAAATGTGAGTTTGAAATGCATGCCTCAGGAGTTCACTCAGGTAACGAGACTGTGTGATTATGACTCTCAGGACGTGTGTTTCCTTCACATGTCCCGGATTTTCAGAATAGTTCTGATTTTCGAACATTCTGTTCTACCCTTCTATTAGTAAAATTCTGTTTGGGCAGATATCCTAATTCTATAGGGAAGTGGTTGGGAAAATATGGTCACTGTAGACCAAGATAGAGATCCTATTAAAGACTTGGTGGTTGAGGAAAAAGTGCCACATACTATAAATAGGTATGTCTTCCCCTTTACCTCACTGATGAGTCAGAAGTGACAGAAACTAACTCCAACTGGGTTTGGCAAAAAGGGAATTTACCAGCCTTGTGACGGAAAAGTCCAGGGGATGCATGGCTGGCTGGATACAGATTCCCGAACAATGATCCAACCGACCTGCCTCTCTTCACCTCTTCACTCCTTCCTCTGCATTGGTTTCATTCTCAAGCAGATTCCTTTTGGGATGTCCCCAGCAGCCCTGGGGGCATATCCTGCCAGCTTAAGCTTCCACAGAGAATGAAAGTGACTTTCTAAATTACTTCAGCAAAAGCTGAAAAAATTCCCTCTGGCTGGACCTGGGTCATTTGTCCCTCCCACCCCCACCAGTCCAGGGAACAGTTTCTGCAACACCTTAAACACATAACCTAGAAGATTCCTCAAAGGGCAGCAAGGTTTCTCTACCAAAACAGGGACAGCATGAACACTGGGTAGGGAAATGTAATAAATGTTCTTTCATCCTCTCCCTCTGAGTTGGGATTCTGCTTCCCACTATTTCTTTATGCTTAGTTGTCCTAGAATACAGTTCCTTCACATACCATTGTCATCTACCTGCAAGAGATCTGCCTCTTGCCCACAAATGGTATTCATTTGACCTCCCTTTAATTTCTCTGTCTTTGCCACAGGAACCTCAGTGAGGGTTGGTTCTGCCTGTTGACTCTTTCACCCCTTGTGTAAGATGTTCTTTTGCACCTGCTCCTTTTCGCCTTACCAGTATACATAAAAGTTTGTTACTAAACCCCCACAATCCTCTTCTAACAGTGGAAGGAAGGAAGATGTCTGTAGCTGCAGCCAGCTGGGAAGAGCTGCTTTTAGGATTTCACAGGGGAAGAAATAGACACAATTTTGCTACCATATGCAGTATCTGCGGCAAACTACAGAATGGGCCTACAGTTCCTCTTAGCTCACCAGAGCAAGTGCTCCCCAGTGATCTGCCTGGATGCAACTTGCAAATTGTATTGAGAGAGCTAATTAGATCTGAGCTTGCAAACGAGAGCTCTGCTACCCTTGTGTGGAACAATTTGCTTTATTAAATGAGAGGTGATGTGTGTATGTTGTATACTTAGCACGTTAAGATTCACAGTTACACAGATGGCGGAAGAACTCCAAGGTTGCCCAGGGCTTAACATGTAGCTGAATGTCAAAAGGTTTCAACAGGGTTTCAGAGAGCAAAACAGGGATATTTTTGTAAGATATACTTTTCTACCCAGCATAGCACATCAGAGCTTCCTGTGGGATGGATTAAAAAGAGCTAACCTTTATGGACTACTTGTTGTGTCAGATACTAGGCAGAACCCACTCACTTCTCTAAAGCCCTTATAGGGAAGGTACTATTATTATTCCTGTTTTTCAATTAAGGATACTGAGGCACTGTGAGGTTCACTGAAAGCTGGACTGTGAGGAAGATTCGGGCCGTCGGACTCCAGACCCCAAGCTCTAACATACTATGTAGGTCTGATACGATGATCATCTCTAGAGATGATCCATGGTTACCTACCAGTTTTTTTAATTTAATTTTTATTAAATATTTATTGTATGCCTTCTTTAAGATAGATATTAGATGTGTTCAATGGTCTGAAAATTTTTGAGAGGTAAGTCCCAGGTAGCACTTGAGATAAAAAGCAATAACTAAAGTCTATTGAATACTTACCAAGTATCATGCTTGTGGTAAGCACTTTACAGGTTTTCATTCTCTCATGCATTTAATCCTCCTACAATCTTTCTTAGATACGCTCCCCGTTTTAGAATAAGGAAACCAAGGCTCAGAGAGGAGAGAAAACTTGCTAAAGGCGCCCAGTAAGTAAGTGACAGAGCGGGGAGTTGAACCCAAGTATTTTGGCACCATAGCCTTTGCTTTTGACTTCTCTTTCACTCCACACCACACCACACCAACCACATCCTACTGGCCACTGGCAAGGACCAATGATGCCTTGTAGAAACCAATCAGTTTTCCACTCAGTATTCCTCAGTCATCATACAAGAGTATTTTTCCTTTTTTTTTTTTTTTTTTTTTAGTAAGCCGTCACCTAGCAAAGCTTGAAGTGGTAGGTGGTAGGTATTTCATTTTTAAATTCAGTTGCAAAAGGAAAATTTTTTGAAGAATGAGAATTTTATCGCTGAGGAAAGTGACAGAATGCTACACTATCAGTTCATTTAACAAATTTCCTAAGAGGTTGCCAGTGCCAGGCTCTGTGCCAGATGTTGGGATGCATGTTAAGACACAGGCAGTACCACAAGAATGAATACAGTTTGGTGTTGAGTTTTAAAGCAGAGGGAGGGCCAAGGTGCCTTAGGGTCCTGTTCTGAGCTACCCACAACAGCCAGCAAACTGGGTCACCTGCAGCAGGTAATGGAAGGCTTGTTATCTTGTCAAAGGGATCACATTTTTCAAAGTTGCATGCTTAGACTAAGAATAACCCTGGTTGCAAAATTTTAAAAATATAGCCTATCAGAGATTTAAACAAGTAATAGGTTAACTAGGCAGTCGACAGCATTCGTTCATTGCTCCACAATATCACCAGGTCCCTTCCATCCTGTCTACTCTAAATTCAGCTGTTGGTTTTTCCTAGTGATGTGTTTTACCTTATTATCTCAAGATGGGTGCCGTAGCTCCAAACAACATCAAGGTAGGAAATGGGCAACAGAGTGGTATTGAAAAAGATCTTTTCCTATAGAGGCATTCTCCTTTTTATTAACAAAGAAAAAAGCTTTTTGCATCCCAGAAGACTGCCTTCCCATCTCATTGGCCAGAACTAAGTCACACAGCGATGCTTACCTGCAAAGGAGGATGGGAAAGAAGCAAGTGTCCAGCTTTTTTCCAGTCTCTTTTGTGCAGATTGGACAAGGAAGATAGACATGGCTGAGTTATTTAACCAATAGTTTCTGCCACAGTGTGAAAGAATGTGATATATCTGAAACATCTTTAACCACATAATTACAAGTTCTGTGACCACAAAAACATTTAATTGGTCAGTTTATTGGAGTCAATAATGTAGAAGTGGGTCACACGTTGAAGGCTGGGAAATTCTTGCATTGTTGCTCGTGAGTTTTGAAGACTCTCACCAGGGACATTAATGGACGGAATATTGGGAGCTTAGCTCTTCCTGCTGGAGTTGTAAAAGGGCAGAACCGTTTTTCATAACCTAAGACCGAACAGCATCTTCCAAAATTAGCTTCGGACTGGGCAGCAATTTCAGCTAAACTCCATGCAGCTTTTAAAGCTTTGTATTAATTATAGCTTGGGTACTGTGGATAGCGCTGACTTTGTAATTTGTGAAGCTCAGTGCAAAATAAAAATATGGAATCTCTTGTTTAAAAATTATTAAGTATTTAAAGATAGCAAAAGCAAAGTACTAAACTAAACACGGGACCCTGTGCAACTGTAGAGATTGCACATCCACGAAGTTGGGCTGGCAGAGGGCAGCTGGTTCACAGGTGAAGTCTTGACTTGCAGGAATGATAAATTGAAGGGCCTGGTTACAAGTGTGGGGTCTGCTCCTCAAAAGTATGGCATGGTGATTAATAGTTGACGCTTTCCAACAAGCCCACTCTGTATTCTAATTTTGCTACTTAATTGTGCCATGATTTTAGAAACTTGTTTAGTCTTTCGAAAATTGTATTTCCTGGCTGGGTGCAATGGCTCATACCTATAGTTCCAGCACTGTGGAGGCCAAGGCAGGGGGGATCACTTGAGGCCAGGAGTTTCAGAGCAGCCGAGGCAACATAGTGAGATCACAGGTCTACAAAAAAATTTAAAAATTAGCCAGGTGTGGTGGCATACACCTGTAGTTCTTAGCTACTCAGGGGGCTTAGGTGGGAGGATCACTTGAACCCAGGAGTCTGAGCCTGCAGTGAGCTATGATTATGCCACTGCACTCCAGCCCGGGTGACAGACCAAGACCCTGTCTCTTAAAAAAGATTCCATTTCCTCTCTTAAAAAATGGAGTCTTAAAAGATTCCATTGCCTCTTAAAAAAGATTCCAATTCCTCATGGAATTCACCACGGAATGCTTTCTTTGTGTTACAACCCATGGTGCTAGTGTTCTTAGGAACACACTTTGGGAAAGTGTGGTGTTAACACACAAGCAGGGAGTTTATGTCTTAGGAGCTATTTTCTTCAGTCTAGAGTAGACTGGAAGAGTTGATCTAGTTCTTTGCTGTTTGGGTTTTCTTTTTCCTTCTAATCTGTGGTGTAATTTATAAGAAAAGTCTTAGAGAGGCATCAAAATGAAATCTCATTTGATTTTGCACATAAGGAGCTACTTTTTTTGAAAAGAGTAAACTTGAGGAAGTTTGGGGAAATCAAAGACGCAGTCACTCCACCAGTGCACTGATAATATATCTGTATGAAAAATGAAGTTCCTAGACATCAGCTGGGTGTTGCTATGCGTTTAAATGCTTCTTATAGAGTGACATTTAGATAACTGCCTAAAAATTTCACTTTCAAAGTATGATGCTATAAGACTCATCCTAAGATTGAAAGTCCTTTGTGGTTAAAAAAAAAAAAAAAATCACTGCTTTTCTGTGGCTAGCACACACTGAGTAATCAAATGGAGAACTTCATGGAATAAATACAGTGGTTGACTTCTGCTAAAAACATTTTGAAAAGAGGAAATGGAGCCTTTCTACTCTTTGACATACAAAGCACATTGCTGTCTAATGGATTCCACAGCAAAAGCAAAATCCAAACAAAGCAGCATCTTTTTTCTCTAACCTACATGCAATGTAAGTGAGATTCCAAGTATGCAAATGGTGGGAGGAAAGAAATGCATTTTCACTACCCCAGTTATTACATATGGTTGAGAATATGAATAGTAATTGCCCCTGAATTGGAGGATTAACGTGCACTACTTTTTTTCTTCTTTTTAAATATTCGAGTCAGTCTGATTTTTATTTACTATTTCTTTGATTCTTTTTCTGTAAAAAGTAGTATTGCCATTAGAGTAAAAAATATAAGCTCCCTCTATCCAGGCCAGTTGTCTCTTTCTAGATGTCAGTAAGACTGTCTCGTGTCTGTCATAAGCTCAGTTTTTAAAGTAAGCCATGACTTCATTTATTCTTTTAGTCCAAGTGTGAGTAAAATTGGTGACATTTTACAGCAATTTCTGCAAAGCGGGCACTCCAGAACCCCAGTTTTGAATTCTGAGTCTACAGACCTGGACACCCACCCTCCCCCAACACCATCCTTTTGACCGAGCCCTTACTATGAGTTAGTGTATAAGTCTAACTCCCCCACTTCACCGTTAGACAGGTACCTTGTCTTACTTGTCTTTGTGTCCCCCTCCACTCCTCCCCAGGACCTGAGCCAGTGCTCCATCCCAAGTAGACATGAGATGTTTGTTGACTACTTCACTGCTTCTGTAGGGACTGTTCAGGGCACTGTTGAAAGAGTAGGGAAAATGGCTTTAGTGCCACATGTGAGAAAGGAGGCTTGGTTCAATCAGCTGGAACGAAGTAAAGTGGGAGGATAAAGGATGTTTGAAGAACTAGGGGGGAGAGGACACTAGGGAAAAAAATGCAGAGGAGAATTCTGTGATCAGTCTTTGGAGTTCGATTTATCAAGACTGTCAACCTCAAGGCATTTACAGTGATACCATCTCAAAAATCTTAGATTGCACTATCTACTATAGTTGTCAGTAGCCACAATATGGCAATTTAAATAATTAAAACTAAACAAAACAAAAAATTCATTTTCTGAGTCATACTAGCTGCATCCCAAGTGCTCAGTAGCCATGTGTGTCTAGTGACTGCTGTATAGGACAGCACAGATGTAGAACATTTCCATCATCTCAGAAAGCTCTGCTGAACAGCACTGTTCTTAGGGATGATAACATCTCCATTTTGTTTTACCCTTTGTTTATTTATTCTACAAATATTAACTGAGTACCCACTTTGTTCCTGTCACTGCACTGAGAAGCAGCTGAAATGCTTACAAGCATAGACCCTGGAGCAACCTGGGTTAGCAGCTCGCTCACTGAGTGATGCTGGGCCGGGTCACCCATCCTCCCAGTGCTCTAGTTTAATCAGCTGTAAAATGAAGATAATAAAAGTATCTACCTCATAGGATTGTTGTGAAGATTAAATGAGTGTGTGCTTTTGCATGAATGTGCACATGAGTGTATATGTATATAAATGTATACACATGTGTATATGTGTATGCATATTTTTGTGTAAATATGTGTATGCATATACATATATATTCATATATATTTTAGAACATTTCTTGAAAATACTTACTGCTTGGTAAGTGGGAGCTCTTACTATTTGTAAGTGTTTATTTCAGGGTTCTTAACAAAACAACTATGAGGTTCTTGCTGTCCTGGAGTTTACCATCTAGTAGGAACAGCAGAGAATAAATCATTAAACAAATAATAATTACAAACCATGTCAAGAATTGTAAAGGAAATGAATGGGCTGAAACAACAGAGAACAACAAAGGAGAAGCCACCTAGAAAGCATCTTAGAGGGGGTGACATTTAAGCTAAAACAAGAAGAGAAGAGGAGGAATGCCAGCATGCAAAGGGAGAAGGAGGAGACTGTTCCACGCAAAGGAAAGCACGCTAGCAAAGAGGACCATGTGACTATAATACACAGGTCAAGGGAGGGCCTTCAGATGAGATTGGAAGGAGAGGTAAAGAGCAGCCAGTTCCTACAGGGCTGAAGCCAGGGTTAAAGCATATGTCTAGGGGAAATATACATACAGTGATCACTCGGAGGGTAGTGTGAGGCACAGATTGGAGGGGCAGTGAGAGTGAAAGCAGACAGCCCATTAAAAGGCTATTTTAATAGATCAAGTGAAGGGGAATGATTCAGAGTCAGTAGTCATGGAACTGGAGAGAAATGAGCAGTTTCTAGGCATATTTGAGAGACAGACCCAATGAAACTTTCTAATGGATTACATGTGGTTGACAAGAGGGAGGTATTAAGGCTGATGCTCAGGCTCTGAGTTGATGAACTGGGTAGATGGCGGTTTCATTTACTGAGATAAAGAAGGCCTGAAGAGAACATTTATGAGGAAAAAAAACCAAAACTACTTGATGACAAGTTGTCTGCTGGATATGGAAGTCTGGTGTCCAGGTGAAAGGCTAGGTTAGAGGCAGGCACATGCGCATCATGAGCTCATAGATGACATTTAAAAGATAGGACAGAAAACCAACTTCTGGCATGATGGAAGGGGGAGACCAGCAGACTTTCTCCCCCATAAAGCAACCATTTACTTAAAGAAAATTACGGTTTAAAAAATCATTTAAAGCTTCTGGAAATTGTCCTACAATAATTGGAGAAATATACACTCAAGTATATTTACTAAATCTCAATAAGAACAGTGATAGTCTGTGACATTTGAGACATGACACTTCTCTGCCAGGTCCATCTTATGGAATCATCTGGGAAGGAGTGGACTGCTAACGTTTTCTATCCTCCCCTACAAGCCCCATGTTGCAGAAGCTCTATTCAGAGAGGACTAGTGCTCCTTCCACCTAGCCCCCACTTTAAGGACAGCAGTTATAGTTCAGACGTGGCAGGCCAAGAATTTTGCACTCCAATCATTCTTGATCAGCTTGCTGGTAGGACAAGAGTCCCATATTAGAAGGGTCAATCTAGAAAAACCACGGGCCACTATCATTTCCTAATGTCTGCTCATAGAGTAGTTTCGTCACTCTAGCAGTAGGCTTCTCTTCCCACCCTGAGCTCTTCGGCAGTGGCATAGAGCTTTAGCCGAGGGGGAAAAGCAGGTTGCTGTAGCTCTGCCTGAGGAGACTGACTTCATTTGGAGCACAGCATGGAGAATTTCATTTCTAGAGTGTTGTCAAAAACAAGGGAAATCTTGGTAGAGAGAAATTAAGAGGGTGCTCATAGCTCCATAATACAAGCACAACAACAGAGCAATTAGAGGTTTACTAGACTGGATCATGGGAAGAAACAACCAAGAAGAGTCCTCCTGGGAGCACAGTCAGCCTTGGGGGTTGGAAAGGCTGTACATGAGTGATTGGTTGTACCTACTTGGGAGCATCAGAACAGGAAATGAAGCAAATCTGAAAACTTTCCCATGCTGCACACAGATCCATCACAAAAAAAATGCAAGCTGGCACTGGCACTATGGATTAAAGATAACCTCCAACTAAACACTGGCTGAACAGTAACCTACTCTAAACCTGAAGCAACTCCTAAGAGCTATGCTTAAAAATAAAACCACATGTATCCCTAACAATCTGGAAGATTGTGTGTATGCTCAAAGCTGCACCATCCTAGGAGTGAATTGGGGGGGTGGGCGGCGGGGGGGATAAAAAGCGACTAGTTCCTGGGTAGACAGGGAGCAAAAGTGTAAACTTCTTCACCTGTCAGAGCAGCCTCCAAGTTACTTATACGTCTAGTGGTAAAGGGAAAAAATTTAATTGCCAAGGGGGTAACTTTTGATCAATAAGTGGCTTACATGCCAATTCATGAATGATCCTAAATCACTCAGCAAAAAGTTTTAAAAAAAGTAAATAACATGAGGAAGGACATCAAAGGCTGCACACTAGAGGGAAAAATACTTCATAGGGTTAGTTAACTAAATCATTAAACAAATAAATCAATGACATGGAAAACAGCAGCAATATCAACCCCTTAGGTGCAGAGGGGTAGGGGATGGACAGGAACTAGAATCAATATCCAGAGTTGCTACAATATATTATCTAATATGTCCAATTGTCAACAAAAAATGTATAAGACATTTAATGAAGGAGAAAAATGTGACTCATGTTAAAAGAAAAAAAGCAGTCAAAAGTAATTGTTTAAATAAACTTAGATATTTAAAACTTCAAAGCAGCCACTATAAATATGTTCAAAGAACTATAGGAGAACATGTTTAAAGGATTAAAGGAAGGAATGAGGACAATGTCTTACCCAATAAAGAATATCAATAAAGAGACAGAACTTATATATATTTTTTAAAGAGCAAAATAAAAATTCTGGAGTTAAGTATAACAAAATTTAAAAAACACTAGATGGGCTCAGAAGTAGATTTTAGCTGGCAGAAGAAAGAATCTGCAAATTGAATATAATAAAGATTACCCAACATAAAAAAAAAACGGAAAAAAATAATAAAGAAAATGAACATGGCATCAGAGAAATGTGGGACACAATTAAATACATCAACATACAAGTAATAGAAGTACCAGAAGAAAAGCACAGAGAGAAGGTAGAAAAACTCAAAAAAATAATAACTGAAAACTTCCCACATTTGATGAAAAAAAATTGCTTATCCAAGAAACTCAACAAATTCCAAGTTGAATAAATACAAATAGACCACACTCAGACACATAATAGTAAAATATGTGAAAGTCAAAGAGAAAGAGAATGTCTTGAAAGTAGTGAAAGGTGAATCACTCATCACAAACAAACTCCAATGGGATAGATGGCTGACTTTTGATCACAAACAATAGAGGCCAGAAGGCAGTAAAATGATATGTTTAAAATGCTGAAGGGAAAAAAACTGTCTACCAAGAATTGGCCAAATTATCTTTTAAAATGAAAGGCAAAATACATACTTTGCTAGATAAATAAAATCTGAGGGAATTTGTTGCTAGAAGACCTGCCTCAAGAGAAATGCTACAAGAATTTTTGTAGTCTGAAAACCAAGTGACATCGGACAATAATTTGAATCCACACAAAAAACCAAGGAATAGCAGTAAAGGTGTAAAAGACATTGTAGAGGGATGTCACTGTGTAGGTGACAAAGTAGGAAGCTCCAAAAATCAGTCCCTCCGCTGGAAAAAAAAAAAAAAAACTATTGAGAAAGAGTTAATTGTCAGAATTAACTATTTTTAAAATCTAGAGCCTGGTCAAACACTTGCACTGTGCAGGGGAGTGCTTGAAGTAATATATTTTGGTGAAGTTTAGCATTTCATGGAGCAGCTACCATCTCTTGTTCCCTGGGGCAACTGGTATCTGTGTGGATGACAGTTCATGTTCCTGGTGTGGCTTGCTATTTCCAAGTTGGAGATAAGAACCGTGTGCTTCAAAGATCAGGGTTGCATTTTTTTTTAAGGGTCATGTGTTTTGATTTGCCTCGTGGATCACTGAGGCACTAGGGCAGGATTTAGCCATTGTTTCAACCCACTTGGACTGAAATGGCCTTCCAGGCAGCATCGGTCAGGGGGAATTTAAAAGAGCAAAACACCTTATTTACTCTTTCTTTATTGGGTTAAAATATCCAACAGAGTCTCTGCCAGGCCATTGGCTGACTGCTGAGATAACAGAATAGAGACATCGGTGCCACACCTGACAAGGGATATAGTCTTTGCAACACAGTTTAGGAAAGTCACTAAACAAACGGATGACTGCACTTCTCAATGAACAGCATCAGCAATTTCTGGAAAAGGAAGATAATTTGACTTCAAGAGTTACCCCATTACAATGTTCAAAATGTCCAGTTTTCAACCAAAAAGAACAAAGCATACAAGGAATCAGAAATGTGTGGCTCACAGGGAATAAAAAATGAGAGGAAACATCCATGAAGAAACCCAAACATTGAACATACCAGAAAAAGACTGTAAATTAGCTGCATTAATATTTTCAAAGAGCTGAAAGAATCCAGGGATAAAGAACTAACAGATATCAGGAGAACAAAATCTGAACAAGTCGTGGGGTACATACTTAACACAGAACAATCAGTTGTGTTTCTATATGCTGGAAATGAAGAATTTAAAAAGGAAAAAAAATCCTTTTGATGATAGTATGCAAAAGTATAAAATACTTAAGAATACATTTATCCAAGGAGGTGAAAGACTTATATACATAAAACTACAAAACATTGCTGAAAAAAAAATTAAAGAAGACCTGATTAAATGGAAAGATGTTCCATGTTAATAGTTTGGAAGATTCAATGTTGTTAAGATACCAGTATTCTCCAAAGTGACCTACAGATTCAGTGCATCCCTCTCAGAATTCCAATGGTCTTCTTGCAGGAATGGAAATGCCAATCCTCAATTTCATATGGAAACGTGACGAGCCCCAAGTAGACAAAACAGTATTTTAAAAGTTGAAGAACTCACATTTTCTGATTTCAAAACTTACTACAGAGCAACAGTAATCAAAACACTATGGTATCAGCAGGACAACAGACATATGGGCCAATGGAAAAAAAATAAGTGTTCAGAAATAAACCCAAACGTCTATGGTCAATTGATTTTCAACAAAGTTACCAAGACCATCCAATGGGGTAAGAATAGTCTCTTCAACAGATGGTGCTAGGACAACTGAATAAGTACATGTAAAAGAATGAAATTGGGCCCCATCTCACTATATATGAAAACTAACAATGGGTCAACAAACTAACTATAAGAACTAAGAATATAAAGCTACTAGAATTGTAAAGCTTAGGGACACATCTTCATGAACTCATTTGGCAGCAGGAGATTCTTAGATTTGACATCAAAAGCATGAGGGACAAAAGAAAATATAGAAAAATTTGACTTCAGAAAAATTAGACACTTTGGGGCATCAAAGAACATTACCAAGAGAGTGAAAAGACAATCTACGAAGTGGAAGAAAATATTTGCAAATCATACACCTGATAAGGGTCTATTTAGTAATTAGAATACATAAAGAACTCTTACAACTCAAAAAGACAAACAATCCAATTCAAAAATGAGCAAAGGGCTGGGTGCAGTGACTCACGCTGTAGTCTTAGCAATTTGGGAGGCTGAGGCAGGAGAATCACTTGAGCCTGAGAGTTAGAGACCAGTCTGGGCAACATAATGAGACCCCATCTCTACAAAATAAGAATAGAAAAATTAGCCAAGCATGGTGGTAGTTTGTGCTTGTAGTCCCAGCATCTCCAGAGGCTGAGGTGGGAGGCTTGCTTAAGCCCAAAAGGTTGAGGCTGCTGTAAGCCATGGTCATGCCAGAAACTCCAGCCTGGGTGACAGGGTGAGACTCAATGTCAAAAGAAAAAATAATGGGCAAAGGCTTGAATAAATATTTATCTAAAGAAGATATACCAATAACCAAACACACATAAGAAGATATTAAACCTCATTGGTCATTAAACAAATGTAAATAAAAACCACAGTGAGATACCACTTTACATCCCCTAGGTTGGCTATGGAAAAAAAAAATAATAATAATGTTGGCAGGATATGGAGAAATAGGAACCCTCGTATATTGCTGGTCAAAATGTAAAATGGTCCAGATGCTAGGGAAAAGAGTTTGGTGGTTTCTTAAAAAGCCAAACATAGAACTACCATATGACCCACAAATCCATTGCTAGGTATACATCCAAGAAAAGTGAAAATATTGATCTGCACAGAAACTTGTACGCAAACGTTTAAAACAGCAGTATTCATTATGCCCAAAAGGTATTATAGAAATGTAAACAATGCAAATCTCCTATAGGTAAATGGATAAACAAATTATGGTATATACATACAATGAGTATACATTAAACCATAAACAGGAAAGAAGTACTGACAGGTGCTAAAACACAAATGAACCATGCCAACATTATGCTAATGAAATAAACCAGACAAGGGTCGCATATTGTATATTCCTTTGACATGAAATATCCAGAATAGATAAACCTATAGAGACAGCAGATTAGTGATCACTAGGGGATGGGAGAAGATGAGTATGGGAAGTGATTGAGTACAAACCATGATGATGAAAAAAAATTTTTAAATGTATTATAATTTATTTGCACGGATGGGGTCTCACTGTTTCTCAGGCTACTCTCAAACTACTGAGCTCAGGCAATCCTCCCACCTCGGCTACCCAAAGTGCTAGAATTACAGGGGTATGCCACTGCACCCGCCAAAATAGTTTTGTTGTTTTTGTTGGTTGGTTTGTTTTTGAGACACAGTCTCGCTTTGTCGCCCAGGCTGGAGTGCAGTGGCACTATCTCGGCTCACTGCAACCTCCATCTCCCGGGTTCAAGAGATTTTCCTGCCTCAGCCTCCTGAGTAGCTGGGATTACAGACGCTCACCACCATGTCCGGCTAATATTTCTATTTTGTGATTTTTGTAGACACCGGGTTTCCACATGTTGACCCGAAAAAGTTTTCAAACTAAAGAAGATGGCGGATGCAATATTATGTGAATGCACTAAATGATATAGAATTCTGTACTTCGATATGTTTAATTTTATGTTATATGAACTTCACCTCACTAAAAAAAAAAAAAAAAAAAAGATTAAAAAGTCAACATAGGCTGGGCATGGTGTCTCGCACATGTAGTCCTAGCGCTTTGGGAGACCTAGGCAGGCAGATCACTTGAGGTCAGGAGTTGAAGAGCAGCCCGGCCAACACGGTGAAACCCCATCTCTACTAAAAGTACAAAAAAATTAGCCGGGTATGGTGACTGACGACTGTAATCCCAGCTACTCGGGAGGCTGAGGAAGGAGAATCACTTGAACCCGGGAGGTGGAGGTTGCAGTGAGCTGAGATCATGCCACTGCACTCCAGCCTGGGTGACAGAGACCCTGTCAAAAAAAAAAAAAAAAAAAAGAATGTGCATATAACTGTATTGTTGGACTTATAGTGTATGGAAATGTAGTACATCTGAAAACAACACCACAAAGGAGATGGGTGTGAGCAAAGCAGCTTTGGGAAATGATACCAGATGATGTCTCAAGTCCATAGGAAGAAATGAAGTGAATTACAAATAGTTAAGATCTACATAATAAACTATAAATATGTACTTGATCTCCTCCTTCTTCCAGGTTCTGTAAAATACATAAGATTATATAAAGCAATAATTATTTTAATGCACCATTGGGTTTATAGCATATAAATTGAATATATTGAACAATAATATTATAAACTGGGGAGAAAATAGAGTTGTATAATAGCAGTAAAGTCTCTATGTTTCACTGGAATTAAGTTAGTATAAATATGAAGTAGATTTTGATAAGTTAAGATGTATATTATAGGCCCAAGAGGAAACACTAAGAAAATAATTCCTTATGAAAAAATATTAAATAATTAAAATGTTATACTAGAAAATATCGATTAATCATAAAGGAAAACATTAAAGGAGGAACAGAGAAACAAAAAAGAATTGAGGCATAGAAAGCCAAAAGCAAAGTGGCAGAGGTAAATCTAGCCTTATCAATAACGCCATGAAACATAAATAATTACAAAATCCATTTGAAAGTTAGAGATAATTGGATTGAATTAAAAACCATAACAAGGTCCAACTATATGCTGTCTACAGAAAACACACTTGAGATTCAAAGATACAAATAGGATGCAAGCAAAAGGATGGAAAAAGATATCATGCAAACAGCAACCATAAGCAAGATGGAGTGGCTATATTAATATCATACAAGAGATGTTAAAACAAGAACAAAGAAAGGGTGAGATCACCCACAGAGAAGGTAGTGCTAGAGAAGAGCAGGTTTGGGGTGAAACTCTGGATTCTCAAATTTAAAGGTAGGATGGAGAAGTAGGATCTTGAAAAGGAGACCCCCAAACTACATTTTCCCAGGCTATGATGTAAGCACACAAGTTAGGATCCTTCAGTGTCAGCCCTAAGAACATAGCAGTTGAACCACTCTGCTCACACATTTACCCATTTGTTTTTTTTTTTTTGGAGATGGAGTCTTGCTCTGTCGCCAGGCTCAAGTGCAGTGGCATGATCTTGGCTCACTGCAAGCTCCACCTCCCAGGTTCACGCCATTCTCCTGACTCAGCCTCCCTGAGTAGCTGGGACTACAGGCCCCCACCACCACGCCTGGCTAATTTTTTGTATTTTTAGTAAAGACAGGGTTTCACCTTGTTAGCTAGGATGGTCTCAATCTCCTGACCTCCTGATCCAACCGCCTTAGCCTCCCAAAGTGCTGGGATTACAGGCGTGAGCCACCATACATTGCCTACCCACTCTTGCCTAAAGAGTCAATGAAAGACATGAACAGTGACTTCCCAAAAGCAGAGAAATATAGTAACAGCTGGAACTAGAAACTACGATCTCTTCTCCTACATCACACACGCTCATACATGGCAATGATACAGATGTACTGTTTAACGTTTCCTTCTTCTCTCATATTAGCTCAGCAAATCTGCATCACTGTTTTGGGAGCCCCCCAAAGGTCAGACATGTAGAGGTGCAGCCTGCCTGGGACTCTGATAGAAAGGTTCAAATCAATTGAATTAGCTTGGGTTGACCACACATTAGGTATGTCATTGTGGATAACTGGTTAACTTTCCTGAATCTTAGTTTCCTTATCTGTGACATGGAAAAGACCCACACGGTGAGGGAGGTATGATTATGAAGAATGAATGAAGAGCACAGGATCCCTTAGAGTTCAGCCTACATTCCAGGAGCCAAAAAGATTTGAAAACCAGTCACTCTGTCCAGCCGTTTAAGGGTAGCATGAAACTTTCAAGAGGTAATGCCTCGGCAGTGAGAACTTATTTCAATAAATAGAAAAATAATTTGGAAGATTCCAGTGAAAATACTGTGCTGTGTGTCAGATGCCAAAGAAGAGCCGCCACAAAATTCCCACTCTTTCTGACAGCTAACCATAATGCAGGATTTACTAATATCTACTGTAGAATGAATGCACAACAAATCTTGCCATGAAAATGCCAGAAAATTAAAGTGATTTTTGGCACGTAAGTGTGTTATAACCTAAATGGCTAAAGACATCGGGTAAATGCCCTTGTGTGTTTTTGTTTGGGTCTACCATCTATACAGTCAGGGTGTCTCACTGTGATAAGAATTCTACCCCAGTGCAATTGCAGATTCTACTGCAGCAGAATCAGATTGGTTTCTTAACAACAACAAAAACCAAAACAATAATTGCTTTTAGAATAACAAATCAATATCATCTTAAACACAAATTAAGCCAGCTCTCCTGAGAACATGAGCAATGATATGGGAAGAGATTAGACAGTTTGGGAAATCACAGGACCCCCCCATAGACTATACCATAGAGTCTGATGCAACTTGCACATGCAGAATAACTGCAACTTGGGCCAATTTTCAGCTTAAGGAATTTTTATTGGTAACATCCTATTGCCAGATACCATGGAAGACTGAGCTAAACATTGTGTTACTTGCAACCTACCATATGTTGTGCCATTAGCCTGGGCTCCAGAGTTAACCCATATATTTTAGTCTGTTCCAATTCTAGGAAATTGGGAGCAATCACAATCAGAAGGATTCTGATTTTCACTGGAAGACAGATTTGGGTGATGCCAAGTACTTTTTAAATATTATCACTGCCAGTGGAAGGAAGAAAATTGCAGATAGAGTAGAAGTTTCTGCTTTCATGCTGAAAAAACAGAACATTAAGATATGAACAAGACTAGAATAGTTAGGTGCTAAATAGTGATCTTGACTCATTATTTGACAGTGCTGTCTATAGGACTTTATAAGTGAAGTAAATTGGAGCTCTTAATGCACTTTCTTGGAAGAAATTGTGTCCTCTTGGTTTTAGATGGCTGATGGGGAGTAAGAAGCATCATTTATTTAGAAGAAACTGGGAGGGGGGAGAAAGAAAGCAAAGGTAATCATAATACATTTCATTGCTATTATTCATAAAATTGCTATTTTAGGGTGTTTTGTTTTTTGTTTTTTGTTTTTCCTTTTTTGAGGCAGAGTCTCACTCTCGCCCAGGCTGGAGTGTAGTCATGCAATCTCGGCTCACTGCAACCTCTGCCTCCCGGGTTCCAGCAATTCTTTGCCTCAGCCTCCCACGTAGCTGGGATCACAGGCACCTGCCACCATGCCCGACTAATTTTTGTATTTTTAGTAGAGACGGGGTTTCACCATCTTGGCCAGGCTGGTCTTGAACTCCTGACCTCGTGATCCACCAGCCTTGGCCTTCCAAAGTGCTGGGATTACAAGCATGAGCCACCACGCCTGGCCTTTAGGCGGGATTTTTAATGGTGCTAATCAACGCTTCAATTAAACAACGAGTACTATTTAAAAAGGGAAAAGGAATTTACTGACATTTATAGGAATTCTTTTTTCTCTTCCTAGCAAGAATAGATGCTCTATTCTTGCCTGTATATGGGTTTTTCTTTCTTGTAAGTTGACATTTGCAATTTATGGATATTATATTAAAATATATTAAAAATATAATGTCCTTTTTTTTCTGAATGATAGGAATCAGCTTAGCATGATGCATTTCTTTTTGGTATAAATAAAGGGTAATGGTTGAATTTATGAAAATCAATCTAAAAACACAATTTATTTTGATTAGAGCTGAATCTTTTCTTGAGTTTTCCTTATTACATTATAAGTCCTTTATCCTTTACATCTCTGTTCATTAATGCATGAAGCCAAAAATCATTAAGAGTGCTGCCTCACTATAAATTACTGGGACTAGCTTTCTGTGCTAGAGTTTTATACTGACAATAGCTTCTAGGGCTATAACATTTTCATTATAACTGCTCATGTTAACTGGCAAGCATTACATCATTGACAAGTCTCCAAATCAGAGTGACTGCTGAGTGTATCCATTCAACAAAAATATCATTGCATATTGTTTTGAAGAATAGCCTTAAGAGCAGAAGTGTATCTCATCTTACCAAATGCTTTCCCCATCTTTAACTAGTTATTCTTTCTGATAACCTTATGACAGAGTCCACTATGAACATGCCCACTTGAAAAAAGGAAGAAGAGAGAGGAAACATTCTACAGAAAGGGCTGTGTCAGAGGCTACCATGTTGCCAGTGTCATGTTCTGTTGGGAACAGCTGCCTTTCAATGATTTGCCTCTTTCAATGGTCAATTATGTTCCAGAATGGCTGATCAGATCAATAATAGTTCTTAAATTGCTGAGGAATCTGAGGCTGGGTTGACAGTTAAGAACATCCTCTCCTCCTCATTTCAGTCAAATCAATCAGCCACAGGCCTCCTACAAGGTAACAAAATTGGCAGGGCTGTGAGGTCTGATATTCCAATTGTCCTTCCAGGGAGGAAAATCATCCCTGGAGTCTCAGAGTCACAGACTCTTATAGTTTAAAAGAAATATCCAGTGGTTCTTAACCATATCTTGGATCATGGACTCCTGTGAATCCAACACAAGCCATGTATGGCATCTCTTTCCCCAAAAATACACATAAAATCTTCCTGTAATTAAAGCTCATTCATGAAACTCACCTTTGCTTTTTCAGATGATGAAATACAGACTCAAAAAGGTGAAGTTACATGCCCAGGTTCACATAACTTCCAACCAGGGCCCCCATCAAATTCTCTATTGATACCTCTTGAGAGGTCTGAGGTAATAAGGTCTTCTTTATCTGTTCTAGGAAACAGTACTCTGGTTCTATATAGTTCAGCTTCATTCATGCATTTAACAATATGTGTTGAGTCCTAGAGCCAGGCACTGTGCTAATTCATTCTTATCTTCCACAGCACTGGTCCCACAAACCAAAGAAGAATCAAAATGGCAGTCTTACATGTTGATTTTACTTGTTGGAAAAGTTACAGAGAATGCTGTTTTGCTGATTCTTTTTGTCAGATGAGGAAAATAGACCTCTAAAACAAGTCTAACTTGCCTTAGAATCCTTAATGTACCTCTGGTCCTTTTAGAATCAAACCCAATTCTCTGCCTGGTGTTAAAGACCCATTCATACATGTAAAATTTTATGTTCTGTCTCATCTTTCCAGATTCCTGTACTGAAAAACGCTTTGCTTAAGACACACATTCTACTCTGTACCAAATCATTTAAAAAAAAATCAGTACTATTCTTCATTCAAGTGATTCCCACCCAGAAATCACTATAGCTCTATCCCTCCTTCAAGGCCTGAGTCCTATTACCCTTTCTCTCTGAATCCTATCCTGATCACCTGACTCAAAATCTCCACCTCCCCTTTTCCTCATAATTCCTGTAGCTCATGTGACTATGTCCACTTGGAGGATAATGGTTGACAGTCCTGTTTTATTTCTTCATGCATATATGACTTAGCACCACTAAGAATGTCTATTGTTCATTATATACCCAACTTCCCTTGACAGATTGGTTCAAATGAAGTCTCATAAAAAATGGTCTCCCTTCAAAGGAGTCCCAGATTATTTCTATTTTTAGTAATTGATGATTAACAGAAAGCCCAGTCTATCCACATGTTGAAATCCTGGAGTCTGCCTTCAATGTGGATCCCTCGGCCAAGAATACGCTTCTCATTTTTATTTTCTTCCAGAGTCCAGAAAACCTTGGAAAGCTGCCTTAAGGGGTGATGGAATGAAAAACCAGACCAAACCAGGCAGACATGGGTTCTTCCCTAAATGAACATTCCATAAGCCCAACACAGAGCATCTTCCATTTCAGTGCTCAGCCCCCAAATGCCTCCTGGTTATAATTAAGTACTTCAAAGTTTTCCAAACACCCTTTTAGAAATCCGGTCCCAAATAAAAAATAATGTTCAATCAGATGTAAATCATCGCACAGCAGGGCAGGAGAGGCATGGGAAGTGGTCATCTGCACTTGGACTAATCAGCAAGTCTAGTCCCTTGATGAGGATTTTCATTTTCTCATTTGTCATTCTAGCCACTGAATTCTCAAGTGGCCAATTTGTTCCCTATTGGTAATCAGCTAGTTATTTTTCTTCTCATTTCTCTCTCTGGGATTGTTGGACTGTTTAGAGCAATTCATCACCCATTTGGGACTAATCCTTCTGTGGAGGGAAGTGGGGGAGGGAAGCTGTTATCCTAGAGAAGATAAAGTAGAAGACTATTTCCCCATTTATATTTGGTTGTTAAACAATGATTTCCCCAATGAGGTAAGTGAAATAATGACATAACTGCCTAAGAGTGAAACAATGAAAGCTTTAGGGGTAGGTGCCTTATGCAATGGAAAGTATCCCCAGCTGTGAAGTTTGTTACTCCGAAATGACTTGTTCTTAGATTGTCTTTACAACCCCCAAGGGAGCATCATCTTACATTCATTACCTAAGTTTGGAGGAAGCTGCATCTATGAAGATTATAAATGCAGAAAGAGAGTTTTAAATATGTATAATGCATTGGTGGAAGCAATTTTACCCCATCAAATAGGAAAAAGGTAGCCTTTGAAGGTTGTTTTGTCTGCAACAAGCAAGTTCAAACGTTCTTCCATTTGTTCTCGCCAAGTCTTCTCGATTACAGCATCTCACTTTGGTTTGCCTTTTGTCCTCTCTTTCTCCCTCCAGCAGTTGCTGTCTCTCTCTGTCTCCGATAAAATCATTTCCAAACGTTTTCAGGGATTCCATTTTTCTAAGTTCACGTCAGGTGCCATGGAAAGGTTGACCCCACCACTCATTGCAAACAAGTCTCTGGTGTCGGTGCATTTTCTAATTAGTGGGTGTCTAAGTTGATCTCTCAGATTTCCTTCCGTCCTTCTGAAGAACCTAATTTCAAACCCTCAAGGCTGACTGTGTTCACCAGAGCCAAAGGTTCACATTTCCGAAGTCCACGTTCAGCCTTAAGAAAGATGTTAGTGTGACACAAATTGGCATTTTCTTGGCAAGTTTTTTTGCTCACAGCAAATTCTTTATTCCTTGGAAGGAAGCTGAGAGTTGAAAACCCCTTCTAGCTATTTCCTTAGAGACACTCTGAATTCGGGCAGCAACGTGATCTGAATCTTGAAATGTTTATCTTCCTCCACCGTTTTTCATTTCTTGAATCCTTTCTTGTGTCCTTTATTCTTCATATAAACATCCACATATGTAACTTCACTTTTAGGTGGGTCTAGCTATAAGGAAAATCAAAGGAGACAGAGAAAGCACGTTTACACACCCCATATCGAGTGTTCTTGCTTTTCTTCTGCCAATTCCCTCCACGCATGGCTGTTTTCACAATGGGTGATATCACCCAACAGCTGTCTTGGACTGGAAACTAAAATGCTTGTAGAATTTCAGTTTTTTGTCTTACCTACTTAAATTTGTCCCTTTTCCAAAAACACTAAAAAAATAAAAAAAAAGAATAGTTGCCTTCAGTGGGAAATTATTCCTATAACTGAAAATAAGTTGTTTTATAACTTACTCTGCTAAGGTTTTGTTGTAATTGCCCCTAATTCTAAATTTGCTTTCGAGAATCATTAACTGTGATTATATGGACATGAGCTTTTATATTTGGTATTTGATAAAACAAGAAAATTGATTTTGTAAAAATCTGTTTTCCATCTGCAATTTGTGAGCAGGAAATGGGTGGAAAGAAGTAATGCGTTACCTGCCTGGTGTTCTCAGGCTGACCTAAACCAGAACTTCAATATCTCATGTACTGCCTATTGGTTGTTTAGCCTATGGATTTGCTGAACCCAGTGAGCAGAGATCTCTGTGCTTCATTCTAGGTAATTAATCTGGTTATTTACTGATGTCCCTCGACCTCCCTCCTCTGAAAACAGCAGGTTCCTTCATTATCATCAAAAATTGCTTCCTCACTAAAGTCTTGATTTCTGAGATTCTTATTAGGTTGGTGCAAAAGTAATCGTGGTTTTTGCCATTACTTTTAATACTTTTCTACCTGTTTTTCCATTGTCTTATCTTGGGTCCCATCCTCATTACAATATCTGTCCACTGACCCTTTCCCCTACTTTGAACATTATGTTATTCCCAAAAAAGTGTACTCATGACAGAGTGTGAAGATCTCCAATGAGTACCACTCCTGAAATCCACAGACTACCACTGTTTCACAGTGGGTACCTGCAGACATTGCTTACTGCTCCACAGATTTTCACAAGTTAAACAAATCTATTTAACCAGCACCTAGATCAAGGACAATTTCTGAATTTTTATAGCCGCTGGACAGAATAATGTCTGTTGAAACTAATAAAAAATGGGGCTTATATTTTGTCTCTTTATTCCATTTGTAATCATTCAATTTTCTTGAATTTAAAAAAATGTATTGGCCTGTGAATCGTTACAAATAAATAACCAAATAAAATGAAACAAAACTGGTCCTTCGCCTCTGATCATTTGAAAAGAACTGATCTAGATGACCTGAGAACCCCTATCAGATTTTGTGTCTGGTTATTTTCAGCTGCTAATTTGAGCTTTCCTCTGAGAACCAGCCCTTCACGTGAGGCCCAGCTTTCTGAACAGTCAGGATAACACCCCTGCTCATCAGAGGCTGCTTCACTCTCCCAAGAGTCCATGTCTGTGGGCTTAAATAGAGTTAACACAATGGGTCTGTTCAGGGCCTTGAGTTGATTTCCTTGGGGTCCCTGCCTTGCAAATATCAGTGGGGCTTGGATACAACAAGGAAAAGAGTCCCTGGCTGAAGGCCAACCTCGAGTGTAATGATTACATCATAGTATACACTATAGAAATTATCTTCCTGGTTCTTATACAGAAGCTGACAGTCAGTACTGGACTTTTCCTCCTCATGTGCCAAGATTATCTGCCAATGTCAACTTTTCCTGTTGTGAATGGGTACAAGTTGTGATATTGCCATTCAAGGACTTCCAGTAGCAGTAAGAGGAAAATTATGAACCAGCTCCCCTCAGAGAGGAAGTGCCTTTGCAAACAGGTCGTCAGTCATGAGCATAGTGGCTGCCTCCTTCCTCCCAGGAACAGCCCTGCCTCCTAAATTGCTGACTCTCCCCTCACAGGCTGTTTGGATTGGCATGACTGTAGGACGTGTGATAGAGGCAGCGTTTGGCATATTCCTACTTATCCTACAAGCACTTTGGGAAAGAATTAACTATGTGTATTTTCCTGGAAAGACATAATTTCCGTTGCTCATTGATTGTGTCTTTAATTTATAACAAATGCCTTGAAAATGGGACACATGTGATGTTATAAGCCTTCTACAAGCCTCATTCTCTAGGTTTTTTAATTCCTTCAGGAATGAATTATTAGAATGGAAGAGGTGAGACACAGAGGCATAAATTTGGAAGAGCCCTTTCTGATCAGCTAACAAATTTCTCTCCCATTTTTTGGATGGTAAAACTGAAGCCCAGAGAAGGCATGTGACTTGACAAAGATGAGTTTCCAAAATACAAATTGGATTTCAGGGCTTTATGTTTTTATTTTTATTTTCCTAAGCTTGTGATGCAAGTAGGATATACCTACAAAAAAGTTACATGTAGCAACTGTAAAACTCAACACAATTCATAAACACATCCAGGCAACCAGCATCCAGATCAAGAAGCAGAACAATCCTGAGCCTGACAAAGCCTTTATAATGCACCTAAGCTACTGCTTCCTCCTAAGGGTAACAACTATTCCACCTTCTAGTATCATGTGTTATTTTTGCCTTTTAATGAACTTTCAATAAATGGAATTAGAGTGTGTTACTCTTGAGTCAGGCTTCCTTCATTCACCACTGTCAATGAGATTCATCCATTATTACATTTCATTTTAATGCATTGCTTTTCATTGCTGTATGTCATTCTTTTGTGTGAATATAGCAGACTATTCATCTTTTCAACCACTGATGGACATTTAGGTAGTTTTCAGTTTAGGCCACTTAATGGCGCCACTAAGATTATTCCTGTACATATCTGTTGTGAAAATATGTATAATTGGATTGGGTTTTACTCCTACTTTGTGTCTAATGATGCTCCCCAAAAATGTTAATAGAAGCAACTGTCAAAATTGTGTGCAGGTGTTTGAGGTGTATGAGACTGTTCCTGCATGCATTTCTGTCTGTGCCAACCATCCAAAGGGGACCATTTGAGGAATTACAGTAGCCTCATGACAGCCACCAATATAACATTTGTGGTTGGGAATATTTGCAAGTACTCTTAAAATCCAAAATAATCAGTTGACATTTTGTTTATCTCAAATTGTGAGTGATTTCATTATTAGCTTTTATTTTTATTTATTTTTAATTACAACTAATATATAAATTCATTCTTGTTCCATACACATGCTTAACAATAATACTAACACTATAATATTGGCGTCATGATCCCAAGGATTTTGGTCTGTTCATCACAGGGGTAGCATCAGTGCCTGACAGAGAAGGTGCTAAATAATATTTTTTGAATGATGGGTGGTTCTCTTGGCTATTGCTCCCCATCCCTAGAACTTCCCCAGAAGTAGTCTCATCTTTGAGTCTTTTGTGTACCTCCACACTGTTTTTTCTATACAATCGTGTGTGTGTGTGTGTGTGTGTGTGTGTGTAATTGGATGATGCCATGCTGTATGGGTTTTCTAAATTAACAGTATGTCTTATGCATTTTATTTGTTGTCAGTCATAGAAATTTACCTTTTCGTGAGCTGTGTAATATTCCATGGTATGGACATATTACATTTCTGCGATTTCCAATTTTGGGCACCATAAATTATGCTGCAGTGAACACTCTTGTGAATATAAGTGTTTCCTGGTGGTAGACAGCAAGAACTAGAATTGCTGGCTCACAGGTGGTATACATTTTTAATTCTTTCAAATCACCTTCCAGAATAGGCATTCCAATTCATCCTTTCATTGGCAATCTATGGAAGTACCTGTTTCTCCTCACCTTCACTATGATCGATATTATCAAAACTCAGAAGTTTTTGCCGAAATGATATGTAAAAAACATCATTTAATTTTAATTCCCTTCCATACTACTGATGTTGGGCATCTTTTTGTATATTAGTGAATGAAGTGTAAGTTTGACTTAAGCTTGCTGCAAAGATCAAATGCATAGGAGTAAGTAAAGCCTGCCATTCCCCCATCAGGGTATCTCTTTATGGCCATGTTCTTTATCCTGATTGTCACGGCTGTTAAGAATCTTAGATAATCCCTAGATTTTTCTCCACCCAAATGGTATGAGTATACAAAAGTGATTTAAACATTTCTTCAAAATCCCAGGGGACAGACAGGAGGGCATCTTGACCTATCCAATTTATTGGTACAAAGCAAAACATTTGGAGAATGAATTTTCCAGTTAATTATTCTAGTGCTTTCTCTTTGTACCAGGAACTAGAAGAAGAAAAAATGTTGTACTATGAGGTTTAACTATCTGCCACCATAAGGAGTCTCAAACTGCAACAAAACCTGCAATGAGCATTTTGATTATATTCCTGAATGTTGGATTCATTACCTAACCAACATTAAGGGCAGATGTTCCAGAGGCTAACTGCCCAGCCTTTAATCCCGGTCTTTGCTGGTTTGCAAGCTTGGGCATATTGAATGAAGTTTGGGAACTTCTGTTTCTCTCTTTCATTTTCTATCAAATAGAGCAAATAATAAAACCCACTTGATGAAATCATTGAGAAGACTAATTGGTCAATATAAACGAAAGGTGCTTAGCACAAAGCCTGGTATATATTCAATATTCAATACACGTTGTTATTGGTAAGGTTCATTTTGATTGGATCTTTGATCAAGGTTTGAATTGGAACTCAGAAAATGTTCAGTTCTTTTCTGCTCTTATACTAGGGAAGAAGATCACTCTAGTGTGCCCTCCACAGTTCATCTATCAGTTTATCCTTACTTGGGATAGAAGAGGCCACTTTGGCCTTTCTTGTTAATCTTATACACAGCTCCTTGCAGGTTTTTAGTTTAGGACATGCAAATGAGTATATAATAAATGAACCTGCTAGGCTGCTAAATCTCATATGAATTTTTACCCAGAGCATAAATTGATACAAGTTTCTCAGGCCTTGACTTCATAAGCCCTTGGCTGACATTTTTGATGGCAATCTAACACCTTGCCAGAAAGTGTCTTCAGTTTAAATAAAATGAGAAAAGATGGGCTTAATTCCAATAACAGACCCAGCAAGGCCAGAAGTTGATTCCAATTTTTATTGTCTCATAAGAACCTCACATTCTGGGCCCTGACTCAGAACCTCTCCATATCTGCCTTGCATTCAGGATAGAATAACCAGAGGCTCACAGGAAGGGAATCCTGAGAGAATGAAGTCAGGCCCCAGCTGCCCTTCTTCTCAGCTTCCCCAAAGTTCCTGTTCCTTGAGTTTCCAACCACTATTGGTTTTGGTGATGGGGCTGAGTTGATACCCAAGGGTCTGCACGGTACCATTTGAGAAACACTGAGAAAATGCTCTCATCCCATCTCATCACCACTCATTCCAGAACAGGCTGTTCATGTGGAACTCCTTCCCTGTGAAAATCCTAAAGAGGTTAAGATGCATCTTCAATGAGAATATTGGACAATGTGAGTGTTTCTGAGAAGAGAGACATGAGAAATTATTGTTATTCCATCAATACTTCATGTATTCATTCATGCAGTTATTCCCCCTCTCTTTGTGAGGGCTTAGGCAATGACTGACACAATGCTATAGACCAAGGGGACCAGCAGTTAACAGGGCACACATAGTTCTTTCCCTATATTGCTCCATCTAATGGAGAGACAGACACTGGACAAGCAAATACATCAAAGTGTGATGAATGTAAAGGAGGGACCAGGAAGGGCCCCAAAGGTCTGGGGGTTTGGCCTTGACTCTAAGCAACCTGGATCATCTCTCCCGGTGTGTGAGTCTACACCGTCATGGATGCTATCATACATGCTGCCCCTAGTGAGGATTTTATCTGCTGTAGGGCACTGGAGCATGCAGCCAACTCTGGACTCCAGAGCAATTTATTAAGGTCTCATTACAAGGTCACTCTTGGGGTCCCTGTCACAGGATCACATTGTAGGTAAAATAATCACATAATAAGGCTTTTCTGCACATTCACCTTGGAGTAAACTTAAATCCAAGGTGAGACAGAGAAAAAAGAAGTTGAGAGAGAGGAAAGAGAACAATAGAGACATAGGAACAGGAGAGAGACAGAGGTAGGGTAGGGTGTGATCATCCTATACCTATAAATGAATCTGGTATCAAGCATCCTTTCCTTGTCAGGGAAAAAACATGGGAGTTTGACTCTGGACACTTGGACATGAATCATGCTCTCATCCTTCTCTGGCTTTGACCTTGGACAAGTTACTGAGCTTCTGTGGTCTCTGTCTCCTCATTTGCAAAATAGAGGTTTAAATCACCACATCCCATTAACTAGGTTGTTTTGATGCTTGAATGAGATTAAATAAATTAATGGCCGTGAACAGTGCTTTCAAAACATGAAAATGTTTTAACAAATACAAGCTGTCCTCATGCTATATAAGTATTTAATATATGTATGTACAGTGGGTGCAAGGAACAGAATCTATGCATTTGGGCTTGGCTTGGGGTCATAGGGTGGACCGAGACTGTGAAACTCTGGGCTGCCCAGAGAGGATTCTACCATCCTTCTTCCCAGCTGCTGCGGCTTCATTATTTCCAAAGTATATTTCTGTGGTGCTCCTAACTTTCAAAGTACTCATGTCATTTCACATTCATGCCTAAATGTCTTGGTATGATTTTTATTGAATGACCAAATTCACTCAAGCAACCCACCTCTTTTCCTTGTAGACTTCTAAGTGGATGTCATTTACTTACAATATTTATATTGTATTATATTTTCATGAGTTTACCACTCATGAAGCTGGAGGGAGACATAACACAAGTGTAGGCTGAGTAGAACTGCATTCAGCAAGTCCCCTTAGATGATGAGCTCCTAATGTCCACAAGAAGGAGGAATTGCAGAATGAGGAAAGGAGGTCAGACTTGGGGAAGAACACTGATGAGAGCCACATTTGCCAAGTCAAGAATGAGACTCCAACAAGTTTATGAACAGTTCCTTCAAAAGTGTGCTAGAAAGATGCTTAGCCTCTAGCACCTGGGGTTCCACCATTCCTTGGTGAAAGAGCAACGCTCTTAGGGAGCTGAGGGCAATGAACTTCCAGAAACCTTGCATTTTTCTGACATTTGGAATGGTATAGCTCTTAGGAACTGCATCTTCACATCTGTCTGCTATCACCACTAAAGAAAGAAATGTCAAAGCCATGTAAAAGAAAATTTAGGATGTGTAAGACAGAATGCATCACAGGGAAAACTGAGCAGGTCAACCAGGCCGCCTACAGGTGTGAGCACCGAGACTCAGCATCCTTGTCTCAGGGAGTGATGCAGGGTGACTTCTTCAAGTCAGGGCTGGCTGGCTTTGTGCAAGGGTGAAAGGAACATAATCTATACCTTTGGGGTTGGCTTGGGGGCTGTGCATCTCCACTCAGCAGCCCTCAGCCTCCCCATACTCTTTGTCAGTCCAAGAAAGAATGGAAGCTTTGTGGTCATCAAAAGGGCAGGGGCTAAGGAGCTGGAGGAATGGAGTTTAAATCCTGGTCCCATCACTTACTAACTGATATTGAACAATCTCAGTTTTTTAAAAAATTATTTTTATAGACACACAGTCTCCCTCTGTCACCCAGTCTTGGGTGCAGTGGCACAGTCATAGCTCACCACAACCTCAAACTGCTAGGCTCAAGCAATTGCCCTGCCTTGGCCTCCAGGATAGCTGGGACTATAGGTGCGTGCCAGCATGTTTGGCCAATATTTTAATTTTTTGTAGAGATGGGGTCTTGCTATGTTACCCAGGCTGGTCTCAAACTCCTGGCTTCAAATTATACCCCTGCCTTAGCCTCCCAAAGTGCCTGGATTACAGGCATGAGCCACTGTGCCCAACTTGGACAATCTTTTTTATTCTTGCTGAGTCTCAATTTCCTTATCTGAAAAATGAAGATTACTTTATTCTTATAGGGTTCAATTAGAAATTATGGATAAAGTGCTTAGCACAGCCCCTGAGACATAGTAGGTGCTTAATCAATAGTAGTTTTATTCACTCACTCATCCATCCAATCATTTTAAGGAGGCAGCCCGAACGTGGCATGGCATAGCATAGCATAAAGACCTCTTACAAGTCTTCCCTTCTTTCTGCAAATGTGACTTTATCATCAAGGCCTGTTCAGACCACTTTGTTTGAATTGGAAACTTGCATCACAGATGCCATGTCCACAGTCTCCCACCCACTCCCCATCCTTTTTGCACTGCCCTTTTTTTTTCCCTATAGCACTATCTCTCTCTCTTTTTTTTTTTTCTTTTTTTTTTTGAGACAGAGTTTTGCTCTTGTTGCCCAGGCTGGAGTGCAATGGTGCCATCTCGGCTCACTGCAACCTCCACCTCTTGGGTTCAAGCAATTATCCTGCCTCAGCCTCCCAAGTAGCTGGGATTACAAGCATGTGCCACTACGCCTGGCTAATTTTGTATTTTTAGTAGAGACGGGGTTTCTCCATGTTGGTCAGGCTGGTCTCGAACTCCCAACCTCAGGTGATCCGCCCGCCTCGGCCTCCCAAAGTGCTGGGATTACAGGCGTGAGCCACTGTGCCTGACCTAGCACTATCACTTTCTAACAGATCACAGAACTTAGATTTGGCCTGTCTCCTGACAGAATCTAAGTCCCACAAGAACATGCGTCTTTGTAATATATTCCTTGCAATAAGGAAAAAAAACCAAAAAACAAAACATGGTACATACAAGGTGCCCAATAAATACCACTTGAATGTGCTAAGGAAGGCTCTGAAATCTTTGATTAAACCTGGTTCCAATGCGGTCTTGCCTCATACAGATGTTTGTAACATTTGGCATATTACTCTTCACCTCACTTTTCTCCCCTGATGATACTGATCACCATGATTTCAATCCCTTGGAGCCCAGAGAACTAAATGAGATAATGTCTGTAAAGCACTAGAAATAGCATCTGGGGCCTAATAACTGCTAACTAAATGAAAGCTATTAAAATGAAAACTTTCATATTTCTTGATTTTCATGCTAGTGTAGACACACAAGCACTCATCCAGTCATTCCCAGAAACATTCACCCCTAGTCTTATTCTGAACTCCCTTCCCCAATGTGTGTTAAGCAGCCAATAATGTGAATTCCACCTCCCTTCTGCGCCCCTCCAGTCACCCATTTCCTGAGAATCACAGACAGCATGATGGCCAATGAGGAAATCCAGAGATTATCACAGATATTTGGCCCCATCATGATTGACTAGTGCTGGGATCCAGACAGTGTTACTGCTCAGAAGTTTATCATCAGCAAATCATAGGACTCCTATGGCTCTATCTTGCAGTGGAAGCCAACACCATGGTGACTGCCTTCAAGGAGTTTATCAACCAAAATTTTCTCAAGAGTAGAACAAGGCCAACAACCATCTTAGTCTGCAAATGTATGTGTGTGTGTGTGTGTGCATGGACTACATCAGTGGAGACTGAGGGTGTGCAAGAGCCAGACAGGTCTCAAGTTCATTCTAGCTGACAGAGACAGAGAGAGCCTGCAATTTCTTCCTAGATCCTGCCCCCTAATATAAAAACTTTAAGGCAGAAAAACACAATGAATTACAAACAAGTGCTGTAGACTAAGTTCAAATTTCAGCTCTGTTGTGTGTCTTTGGGTAAAACACCCGGCCTCTCTGAAGATTAATTAATAAATTAGAGACAGGGTCTCACTGTGTTACCCAGGCTAGAGTGCACTGGCATGATCATAGTTCACTGCATCCTCAAACTCCTGGGCTTAAGCGATCCTCCCACCTCAGCCTCCTGAGTAGTTGGGGCTACAGGCATGCACCACCAAAGCCTGGCTAGTTTTATTATTTTTTATTTTCTAGAGATGGAGTCTTTCTCTGTTGGCAAGGCTGGTATTGAACTTCTGGCCTCAAGTGATCCTCCCACCTTAGCCTCCAGAGTGGCTGGGATTACAGGCATCAGCCACAGCACCTGGCCTGAAAATAATTATAACAGGCAACATGTGTTGCATACTTACTACATGCCAGGTGCTTTACATATATTGGTCATTTGTTCAGCCATTTGTTCAACCAATATTTATGGAGTGCCGGCTTCACACCAGGTGCTGTGGATACTGCAATGAACAGGACAGCCCAACTTCCTATCTTATTGAGCTTTAGTAGTGGAGACAGAAAGCAAGTAATCCGTTGCACAACTCTTTAATCATAATTAGATATGTATTCATTAAAGAACCTGTATTAAGCCTCATACTACTTAATCAATGAATTGTGATCACTGTCACAAAGCAGGAGTATATGAGGTGTTCTCTGAAAATGTATCCTGGGAGGGTGGGTGGCTCGACTGGTCTGAAAGCTCAGTCAAGCCTTTTTAGAAGAAATAACATTTTAATTATAAAATTGAAGGGTGAAGAGGGTTAGCTGTGTAGTCCCATTTTGCAGATAAAGAAACTGAAGGTTAGAGAAGTCATATTACTTGTTCATAAAACCACAGTTAGCATTTGATGGATTTCAAATTTGGAGGCTGGTTTTTCTAATTCAAATCTGTGGTTCTTTCTATCAGGTTAGTATGTGTCAAATTTAACACCAACGATTTCTGCAAAATCTGCATGCTAGGGTTCCTTCAAGAGATTCTGATTCAGGTCGAGGGTAGTGGCTCTTGCCTATAATCCCAGTACTTTGAGAGGCTGAAGGGGGAGGATCACTTGAGGCTAGGGGTTTGAGACCAGCCTGGGCAACATAGCAAGACCCTATCTCTACAATTTTTTTTTTTTTTTAAATAGCAGGCCTTGGTGGCACACACCTGTAATCCCAGCTACTCAGGAAGAGGGGACAGGAAGATTACTTGAGCTCAGGAGTTGGAGGCTGCAGTGAGCTATGGGCATGCCACTGCACTCCAGCCTGGGCAACACAGTGAGATCTTGTCTGTATTTAAAAAGAGAGATTCTGACTCAGTAGGTCCAGGGAAATAAGGAAAGTGAAGGCATATTTAAAAGAGCTTCCCAAGTGATTGGGATGCAAAACTCTAATAATACCACTGTCTAGGTCTTTCTGCGTCTCTACCCCAGGACTTAGTGGCAGCATAATATTTTGCAAGAAAACACCACTGGGAATGAAGGCTCCACCCTATCACTAACGGTCTGTGTGATCTAAAGGAAGTTTCACATTCTCTGGTCCTCAGTCTCTCCACAAGAATATGAGTCCGTCAGTACTTCCCAGTCCTTACTGTACGTTAGAATCAACTGGAAAGCTTAAAAAAAAAAATTCCTGTGCCCCACTTCCAAATAACTGCAAATAACTGCTCCAGAATCTCTGGGGAAAGGACCCAGGCAGAGATATTTACTAGAAGTTTCCATTTGATTTAGCACTAGATGATCTCAGAGGTCCCCTCTGACTTGGAAATCCTCTGCGTCTACAAAATCCTTCATCCCCTCCTGCCTGGAGAATCGAGAATGAGGGAGACATGACGGAAGCTCAGCTTAGGGGGTGGGGAATGGGGGAGCAATGCATTGCCAAGACCTGCTGCTCCACGCTGGCAGTGTCTTTGTGAAAGTAGTAACCTTTTTTTTCTGACTGATTTATGTGACAGTTGGAAAGCAGTCCCCAGAACAGCCTGTTCCTCCCCTCAGTGCTATTAACATAAATATGTGCATGGGGCCTTCAGCTCCTGCTTCTCTCTGTGTACAGGAGGCTTAAGGGGCCTTGAAAGCCGGAGGCCAAAGAGAAATCAGAGGAGAGGAAGTGTTGTTAGAGGCACAAGAATGAAAAGGGGAAAAGGACAGGACGTTGCTAAGAGACAATGTCAAGCTGGGCCATGGGATTAACAGCCAGTATCAAAGCAAGTACTTAATGGTATGTTCTTCTAGTAGGGCCTTTTCCAAGCACGAGCGAAGGGTGAGATTATCAAAGTAATTCCATTCCAAATTGGGCGTAAAAGGCCCCTTTCCTTCTTGGGTAGGACCAAAATGTTAAGCGAAAATAAAGAGATTTGTTTAAAAAATTATATCTTCCAGCTTGGGGTAAACTGGATTCTTCACTGTGGAATTTCTCTGGGTCTTTAATATGCTAATAAGCATTGAGAGTCACTGAGAGTAAGTCGGAATTTGCACACATGCTGAAATAATTTGCAACCTTTTTATTTAGAGGGCTCAAGTGTTTTCCAAGACATATTTGGGAAGCCCAGGTATAAAAAACAACTAATATAATATTTAATATTACTGTGCTAATTGTCTGACATGAATTATTTCATTTAATCTAAATGACGATCCTATGAGTGAGGTTCTTTTGTTTCCTTCTTTGCACAGATGGAGAAATTAAGGCATTGAAAAGTCACTTGCCCCAGATGACACAGCTAGTGGACAGTCGAGGAAATGTGGGCTCTGGAGTTGAATCACGATCTAGATTCAAATCTTGGTCCTGCCATTTGCTGGAGGGACATGTTTAGGCAAGTTAACTAACCGCTCTGAGCCTCGGTTTCCTAACTGCAAAGTGGAGAGAATAAAATGTACCTTGGAGAGTTGCTGCAATTAGCAATAATGTATATAAAGCATATAGTAAATATCCCATAAATAGTTATAGATATCATCATTGTCATCTTTTCTTTAATGTTCAAAAAGGGAGTTTATAGTGGTATCCAGAAAAGAACATACGTTTTGATTAAATAATGAAAAAAAATCAGCAGTAGAATTAGACATGTATCACTCTTGCTGTTTTGGGTGCCAAACCTGCTTCTTCTCAATCACCAGCTGGCATTGAAGCATTCTCCTTTGGGTCATATAAATGGGGATGTGGCAGGCTTGGGGGCCTCATGGGGTGGAGTTGTGATTGGGACCAGGGGTTTGCGGAGGAATTGTTGGCTTCTATCTGGCTGACCATCAGAGTCCTTGAGGAGCTTGTTAAAACATATTCCTAAGCCCTGGCCATTGTGCTTCTGAGTCCACGGGTCTGTGACGGCTCCTGGGAATATGTAGCTTGTGAGAACTTCCAGCTGATTCTGAATATTGGCCTGCTTTTAAAACCACTGGACCTGATGAAGACTTGGAAAACCTTCCTGCTCAGTTACCCTGTGAGGACTCAGAGGAGCCTGCTATGGTTATTTTCAGAGTCCAGAGAGTCTGCGGCCTTTCTTTGAGCAAGAATCCAATATCATGGCAATTGAGAAACACATTTTGTCTATGCTTTGTGGTTAGTACAGTGGCCTGGGTAGGTGAAATAAAGGACCGTGTGAGAAGTGGTTCGTTAATGATAATAGCATAGTCTTGGGCACCAAACAGGCCTGGGTTCAAATCCCAGCTCTGGGTAAGGGAGGGAGATATGCTACTGTTCAGTTAGGACAGTGGCAATAGCATAAGGAGCATAGCGGGTGCGTGCCCACCCTGGAAAGCCATGATGTTATGAATTGTTACTGTCTGTGCTGTCACCTTCATGATACAAATGAGAAGCCCAGCAGTATCTTGAATTACATTTTAGTAACTGTTTTCAAGACAACAGGAAATAAAAACATTTCTGTATTCTTATAGATGGACATATTTTCTTTTCTTGAATAAAATGCAAGTGAGTAGTATATTAGTCGTTGGCTTTAAATTAATCTTGATTTCACTATCGACTAGACCAAAAATTCACTAAGATATTTCATTTTTTTTCTTTAAGTCATGATTTCAAGCCTCCTAAATATTTATACCAGCCTTTTCTTCTTGGGGAGAAAGAGAGAGGGCTAACCTTGGCCACTGTTGTCAGCTTATAGTTTTAACATACTCCTTGAAATATTTCATACTTGGAAATTAAATTCTTCTTTAAAATATCACTATAATAAAGTATGTTCTGAGAAAAAAATCAATCTCAGCACTTCCTTTTGCTAGCTGTGCCATCAGAGGCAATATTCTTAAACTCTCTAAACCTTAGTTTCTTCATTTCTAATTCAAGAATAACTCTGTTCCCAATTTTAATAGGTTTCTAGAAGGATTAAGTAAGATAACCCAAATCAAGTACTGGTAAAAGGCCTGGCACATAATAAAGGCTTAATAAACCATTGCAGTCATTATCATTTTGTCCAAATTCAGTTTACTTACAATATGTATGTCTGTGGACAAATCACTGTGCCCTCCTGTGTGTCATTTTCCTCATTTGGGAAATAGGAATAAGGATACCTAACCATAGTGTTGTTGTAAACATTAGATGAGAAATTACTACATGTAAAACACCTAGCACCACGCTTGACGTACCAAAAGTATTTAACAAATGCTAGCTGATGTTGTTTTTAAGACTGACAGGTGTTCTTTGTACTTGGGTCTCGTAAGTCATTCATTCATTTGAAAACACATGTCAGGAACCTCCAATATGAAAGAAAGCACTTGATATAAATTCTTCATGCATTTGGCCACCCTAAAAACACAGTGCCTTAAACGTATGATGTTACCTCTCTGCTTTTAGGAGGGCATCCCAGGAGAAGGCAGAGTCCAGGAGGCGGATGTTGGGAAGCAAATCCTGAACTCATCAAGTCCCATAGCCCCTTTGTCTATGGACCTTCTGCCAGCATCTTCTGTAAGGTACGTTCTTTTACCCATGGTTGAGTACCACTGTGCACCATGCTAGGTACTAAGAACAGATTGATAAACTAATAGGCATGATCTCTGCCCTCATGGAGGTTCTAGGTAAGAGAAAGGACTCCCCTTTTCTTGGAGTGCAGAGGCTGGAAGTTAAGAGGTATATTCGGCAGAGGCCAGACAGGTGAGTGAAAATGACATGTTTAAAGAACTGAAAGAAAGTAACTATGGCTGAAACATGACAGGAGAGAGGGGATGCGGAGAGAAGAGATTGGAGAGGTAAATGTAGGTCCCATATGCAGGGTCTTCAAAGCAAAGGACACTGAGAACCCATTGCAAGGTTTTGAGCAGAAGGTGGCATAATCAGATTTGGGTTTTAGAAAGACTACTCTGGCTGCCTTGTGGGGAAGAAAAAAATGTATGTATGGAATGGGATAGAGGAGGGGTACTTAAGTTTTATTATGTCTGATGGCACAATAATTGATCCATCATCTTGGGTTTAACCCAAGGGTAGTTGGGGAGGTAGGAGAGCAGGAGAATGTAATGTCAAATATGGCCATCACTTACTGGCATTGAGAAATATGAGGCATAGTGCTCAATAGATATTACATGTGTTTCTTGTGGTGGGCCAACAGTCCCCACCTCCTGCTATTCACACTCTTATATACTCCACTCTTTTTGAGGGTGGACTGGATCTAGTGACTTCTTTCTAGTGAACAGAATACATCAAAAATAATGAGATGTCGCTTCCACACTTGCGTTTAAAAAGACGGTGGCTTCCACCTTCTGGCATTCTCTCTGTTGCTGTCACTTACTTGGTCTGATGAAGCTCTCTATGGAGAGGCCCACATAGCAAGGAATTGAGGGCAGCCTCCAGTGATCAGCCAGAGACTACTGAAGGTTTCAGTCCAACAACCTATGAGGAACTGAATCCTGCCAGCAATCAATGACTGAGCCAGGAAATGGATCCAGCCCCAGTTGAGAGGACTATGGCTCTAGCTGGCACCTTCCCTGTAGCCTGGGCAAGACCCTGAAACAGGATTCAGGTAAGCTGTACCTGGCTTCCTGACCCACAGAAACTGAGAGATCGGAAATACGTGTTGTTTTAGGATGCTAAGTTTTAGGGTAATTTGTTACACAGCAACATAGAACTAAGGCACTACTATATGATGTCACAGAAGGCAAGAGAGGTACAGTATTGAGAAGAGAAAGTGACTAGCATTGTCACATGTGACAGGGAGATCAAAGATAACCCAGGATGGTAAGGAACGAGAAAGCATTGAGTCTGGCAAGTAGGCAGGTAGCATGATTTGCAAGGAAGCAGTGAGAGTACGCTAGGTGGGCTGGAGTAGAAAAGGTAGGAGGCAAGTCATCCATGGATTCATGTTTAGATCCTATGTGATGCAACCCAATGTAAAAAACCATTACTGCTGCAGGTGGAAGTATGGTCTTGTCAGGTTGAATAATGTGATCTGTTTTTGCTTTCTATTTCTTGTTCAAATTCTTGCTTCAATCTTATGATCCTGAGCTTCTAAAAACTCTCCTAAAGGCATCTATTAATGAATTTAGCATCCGGCTTTGCAGTGCCGATCCAACTTCTTCATTCTCTTTCTCTGGATTCTGTTCCCCGGGATACACTTCCTGTGCCCCCGAAGTGCGTCTTTTCTACGCATGATCTGGTGTCTTTGGAGCCAACTTGGAAACAATGTGGAAAATCTATCCACGGTGACCTGGGAGTGTGAAGTCTTGACAGAGAATCAAGTTCAAGTTGCTTGAATTTGTTACCTCGGAAAAACTTCATGGACTGTCATATGACACCCCAGGTATCTCCCCTCTCTCTAGCCTTAACTGTTTCCATTCAGCTCAGAGCAGGGGATTTGGAGATACCACTTAATTGATGTGTGGCTTTGAGGAAATGACTACCTTTCTGAGCATCAGTTTCCTCTACTGCAAGATGTTGGTAGGAATATATCTTTCTCTTGGGGTTGTTTTGAGGAGAATGAAAGGAGCTGACATGTATAAGTAGCTGAGCAAGAGCTTAGCACAAACCCTTTTCTGAACCCCTTGCTGCCGTGATACGGCAGCTAACTTCGAGTTTGCTTACCTGCATGGCAAACTCAAAAGCGTTCTAGAGACTGCCAGGCCAGCTGCCTGAAACATGTCATAAACAGCCAGGGGAGGCAATTTGCTTTCAAAGAGAAACAGACAGAAGGAGTCAAAACAAGACCGTGAGCAGTGGGTCCAGCCCCGAGCCAGGGCAAATTTGGCTCTTGGCAGTAGCAACAGCAAAATGTGCACCGCCCAGAGAGTATGCCTCTGCAGGACCTCACAAGTTCAGGACTGTCCTGAAACCTGTATTCTTCACATGCTTGTGGAAAAGATCTGTCAGTGTTACCCATGGTACCTGGACTGACCTATTTTTAAAACTAGAGTTGCTTGGAATTACCTTGCTCTAATTTGCTTTTTTTTGAATGCCATAAAGGCCTACACCTCCTTCTGTCAACAGAGTTTGTTTTCTCTCTTTAATTCTCTCTTAAGGGGTGTGGAACAGATGCAAGGGCTGCCTGAGAAAAGTATGCAGGACACTAAACAGCTGTCGCCAGCACTTCACGGCACAAAAACTTAGAAAATGACTTGATGCTGGCTGCTGGCATATGAGTTGCCATTCAGGAGTCTTCCCTGGGATACTTATTTTTGTGTTTTCTTTCTTAGAGATAGTTATTGAGTTCCTGGAACATAGATCCTGGCCTCGTACCCTGGATTGTGATGTGGCTGGCTCCATTTCATTGTTGAATTTGCGGGTATCTAACTGATTGCCTCTTCAGAGAGGCCCTCCCTGTTAGCCCTATCTAAGCTCTTACCCCAGTCCCCTTCATAGTTACTTGCTATCTCAATAACCTGTTATATTGTTGTCTTAGCACTATCTGACATTTGTTTATACTTACTGCAGTAAGTTATCCATTGCTCCCCGTAGAATATAGCTCAGTGTGGGCAGCAACTTCATCCAGCCCACTCATCTCTATATCCTCACCTACCCTATGGTGAAGGAATGATTATTATTATCTCCACTTTACAGATGAGGAAACTCAGGCTCAAATAAATCAGATAGGTTTCCCAAGTTCATAGAACTAGTGAGTGGTAGAACCAGGATTAAGATCAGGAAATATGGCTGCACTTTCCAATATGGTAGCCACTAGCCACATATGACTATTGAGAACTTGAACTGTAGCTAGTCCAAATTGAGATGTGATATATACTGGATTCAGTACGGAATATATACTGGATTCAGTATGGAATACATACTGGGTTTTGAAGACTCAGGACAAGAAATTTTTTAAAATATCTCATTATTAATTTTTATATTAAATGATGAAATGATTTTTTTTTATATACTGGGTTAAACAGAATGTTAAAATTAATCTCAATTATTTCTTTTTACTTTCTAAAATGTGGTTACTAGAGGTCTTAAAATTACATATGTGGCTCAAGTTGTATTTCCACTGGACAGCATTGGTCTATACCTTTAATCACTTCACAGAGTATGACCTGAAATGTTGGTAGACCTGTAATAGTGTCTCCATTAGTGCTAATGGTGACAGTAAAATTCAGACAGCCATCCAATTTACAATTCCCTCTTCTGCTTTCTAAAGTTCACCTGTTAAGAAATAAAAGCAGTTGTTCTTTAACCCACATACATTAGGTATCTACTCTAGGCAGACTACTGTGCAAGGTGCTTCTTAATGCAGTTAGAACCTGAATTAATCAGGAAGAGACAGAAACCCAACCTGAACTACCTTAAGCAAAAGAATAAAATGGGATGATTAGTTGAAAGAGTCTTGGGGTAGCTCATGTATTTCAAGGATGAGCTTAATGAACAATGCCAGAGATGGGACTCAAAATCCATTCTCTCCGTCTCTCAGTTCTACCTCTTTCTGAGTGTTGGCTCCATTTCCTGATATCACCTTTTCCCCATGGCCAGAGGCAGGATTGATGGCAGCTTCCAGGCTCACTTCTTCCCATATTCATCATCAGAGTCAAAGGGGTACCTCTGGTGTCAACTTCAGACAGGACTCGCATTGGCCTATGTTGATCCCGTCTGGGTCTCTTGGGCCAATCCTACGTGGGGCATGATGACTGGCCTAGTTGGGCCACATCCTCACCCATGTAAACAGGTGGGTGTGTTAAACTGATAGGCAACTCCCATTAAAACCAAAGGATTGAAGTCAAGGAAACAATATTTCCCAACTCAAAGGGGATTCTTTCTTGATGAAAGGAGATAGGCTGAACATACAGAATGATGGATTCTCAAAGTCTTTCTTGACGTCATTGTCTTCTTTGTGGGAATGAATTTGAGAAATTATACAAATCTTGGTTAAAAGTAAAAATAAAGACATTAGTGCTGAGACTCCTAAGGTATTAGAGAAATTCATTAGAAAAATACAAAGAGCATAGAAGTCCTTTTGTGGATGGCATACAAAAATAAATAAGCATCTCAAGCATGAAGATCCCTGTAAAGGTGCCTGCCTTGGTTGAGAGCGGTAGGTCAAGCCTGTAATCCCAGCACTTTGGAAGGCCAAGGTGGAAGGATTGCTTGAGGCCAGGAGTTAAAGACCAGCCTGGGTAACATAGTGAGACTTCCTCTCTACAAAAAAATAAAAACATTAGCCGGGCATGGTGGCAGGCACCTGTAGTTCCTGCTAATCAGGCTGAGGTGGAAAGGTGGCTTGAACTCAGAAGGTTGAGGCTGAAGTCAGCCATGATCACCCCATTTCACTATGGGAAGAGAAGGGAAGAAAACACACACCAGCCTAAGTGACAGAGCGAGGCCCTGTCTCTAAAAAACGAAGTGCCTGGTTGCCTTTGTCCATTATGACTATGTTCAAGGCGGCAACTACTGAATGCAGGGACCGGAACAATGAATGTACTTGACTTCTTATCATTGTTGGAATATTGCTTCTAAAAATTTATTGAGCATTAACAGTGCAGAACATAGTATTAAAAACAGTTCTGGTCTAGTAGATGAACAATCTCATCTAGGTAATATTTTCTGTTGAACAACGTGCCCCTGAAATGTCCCTTTAGAGGAACTAAAAACTCCCACTCACAGTCAAAATGTCTCCCTTTTTCTCAGAAAAGAGACTTGTTGGTTCTTACAGAAGAAAAAGTTGTTCTTCCTCATTCAGGATTCAAATCTCCAATTTTCAGCCTCATGATATAAAGCTGTCAGCCTTATTGTCAACTAATCACCAACTCCAACGTCCAGGAGCTTATCTTTCCTTTTTCACTTAGTCCTGGGAATGACTTTTGGACACATTTCATTAAAGCTGAGAAAAAGAGAGATTCAGGACTTGAAACATAATTCAGGTTGAATATGCAGACACTAAAGAGATCTTGGAATAATTTATAAGCCAATCCATCCATGCCTGGGGAACCCAATGGGTATCTTGAAATACATTTATATCTACATCTATGTTAGCTTCATAGAGATATTTTTAAAAGCGTGTGCTCATATTCATTATTTACTTTTTTCTTTATTTCTGGAAAGATATAGTATGAGTTTACCCTCTTATTTTTTTTCTGGTTGGCTCCTCAGTTGCACAAAAAGACAAAGATGTGAAACTCAAACTTTTCAACCCAGATGATGAGGTCTTGCCTAAACTGGAGTGGTAGAAAGAGCTGCTCTTTTGCTATGCATGCCTGAAGCATTATGAAAATAACAGTCAGCTTTCTTGGCTGGAAAGCTCTCATTTGGGGGGAAAAGGGCAGGGAGGGGAGTTGTCTTAGGAGGTAACTTGGGGCTGCTGTTCATTGTACCTAATCATCATCTTTGTAGGAGTCTCTGAGCCCATATTTCCACTATCTCACCTTCTCTGTGCTTCCTGGAAGCCAAGGACGGGTGGGCACAAGAGACAGCCTCTATAGAAATAGGGTGAAATGGGTTTCCTTTAGAAGTGTGCTGTGGTCAGAGAAAACTTGGGAGTTTTGTTTGTATCAGTCCTCATTACAGTTTTTCTGATTTGTGGCAAATGGATGCTTTATACAAATCACTAAAAATTAGTTATCTAATGTATGTAACATCTTTGGAATGAAGATCAATAGATATATTTTAAAAAGTGGGGGATGGTGGTTAGGAGATGTGTTTTCCTCCCTGGAAACTTTCATGTTTAATTAAGTCTGTAAATTAAACTTTTTTACCCTCTCCTTTTAAATCCTGGCTAACTGGTACCTAGGCTTTCTGGCACAAGATGCAAATCTACATGTCTAGCTTTGCAGGTAGTGGTGACTCATTGTTATAACCGAATGGGAGGGAAGAAAAAACACACGCAAAAGTTCTCCATCTTACTGCAGAACACAGAATGTCATTTTTGGAACAGTCAGTAATTTCTAGTTAAACACTGCCAGGTTTATCTTAAAGGGACCATTGTATGATCTTGCTTGTGTTCATTTATGATTTTTGTGTCTGAGGTTATTTCAAATCATAATAAAGGAAAGGAATTGACTGTTCATACAAATAGCTGACTATCCCTTGTAATTATTTATTTGCCTGCATAAGATGACATCTGTGATGCTAATGGTCATAAGAGAGGAATACCCACTTCACAATATTCCTTGAACTGTTCACTTTAATTTTGGACGTTGAAAGAAACCAGAGCTGTTAGCAATAAAATTATCTGTTAAACTTTTTCTGTTCTATTTCAGATATTTTTCCTATTCTAGCAGATTTAAGAGAAGATTTCTTCTAAGATGTGCCCTGTAACTATGCCTTAATGTTCTGGGAATCTGGAAAACAAATAATGTACTTGTCTTTATCCAGAACTGAAAGAAGAAATAATTTGGTATCAAATGACTAAGACTTTTCTTCTAATAATAAGCACTGAGCCATGTGGATCTCAGTTGTCAGTAACTCCCAAAGTATAGGGCAGGCAGTTCAGGATTCGGAGTTTCCCATCATATTCCCACCTCATGGTCTTTGCACATGCTGTTCCCTCTTACCTACAACTCCCTCCCCACTCTCATTTCTTCAAATATCTCCTACTCATCACTTCTCAATTTAATATCACTTCCCTTACATTGACTAGTCCTCACGGCATACTATAATTTTTCTTAGGAAAATTTATAATTCATTAATAAGGTAAGTATTTATAGAAGAGAAAGCGCTTCCTTTTCATTCTGGATTCATATCCCCCATTTTCAGCCTCATGATATAAAGCTGTCAACCTTATTGTCATCTTATCACCACCTCCAATGTCCAAGAGCTTATCTTTCCTTTGTCACTTCATTGGGAGTTACTATTGGGACAGTAACTACTCACTGGGACAGTTGAATATTGGGATGGTTACTATTAAGCAGGGATAGCTACAGTGCCAAGTACTGTGCCTCACACATAGTAGGTCCTCTATAAAAATTTTATTGATCGAATTAATCAATTCACTGCTGTTCCATTTAGTTCTGAGGCAAAGGATCCCAAGCTTAGAAATAACCTGTAAGTAGATCCAAGCTAGATCCCAGACACCCCTTAGAGGTCAAATTGTCCATCCTTTGCCTCCAGACAAGGCTGTATCTGGTCTTGTGATTATTCAAAACTTCCAGCCCACAATCCAGGCTTTGATAGGTTCTACCAAGAGTACCATCTCTGCCCAACACTGCTTCCAATGCAAGCTCTGAAAACTGTCAGTATATATTGGTGCCTAAGAGAGCCACCCTTCAAGATGGCCTCCAATAATCTTCACCTCCTCTTAGTTACTCCTTTGTACATTTCCCTCCCGGTGAATTAAGTCTGGTCTATGCTGACTTCTGAAGCTATTACGTGACTTCAGGGCTAGGTAATAAAAGAAGGAATTGCAGCTCCTGCCTCAGTCTCTTAGATAACCAGCTTTGCCAAAATCCAGCCACTATGCTGAAAGACAGACGAGCAACCCTGTGGAAAGTCCCATGTAGAAAGGAACTGAGGCTTCCACCAGCACCATCTTGTAGCCATGTGAGCAAGCCACCTAGGAAGTGGATCCTCCAGCCCCAGAGTTTCCTAAGAACACTAAGCTCATAGTTTCATTGACCCAGGTAGAAATAGAAATACAATGGAGGTGGTTTCAGATGCTTCGTATCTTGTCAATATCCTCTTCAGAAGATAGAAAGGCAAGAAAGTTATTTTTGCTCATCATATGTTGGTTGAGAAATCATATGATGAATATTCATTATAACCAGAATAATGCAATAAATTCCCTATTCTCTCTCTATTCAATTAAAACCAGCTTCTTGGGTTAATTATAGGTTCAAAAGCTTTAATCCATTCAGCAAGCTTGTCTTTATATATTTCACCATTATTTTCTAATGCTCAGAACACTTCAGTCAAAGGTGGCCCTATAAATTCTTCTTCACTTGGCAAGTAGACTCTAAATTTTCTTTCAAGAGAAATTTCTGTTTTCCCAACCTTTAGTCACCTAAAGTATAGGCCAGACACAGCCATGGTCAGAGGAATAAACGTGATCTTTGTGAAAGCCAACACAAAGTACCTTATTCCATTAAAAATGGTGGAAGGGGCTGGGCACAGTGGCTCACGCCTATATTCCCAGCACTTTGGGAGGCCAAGGCAGGCGGATCACGAGGTCAAGAGATCGAGACCATCCTGGTGAACACAGTGAAACCCCGTGTCTACTAAAAATACAAAAAAATTAGCCAGGCATGGTGGCGGGCGCCTGTAATCCCAGCTACTTGGGAGACTGAGGCAGAAGAATGGCATGAACCCAGGAGGCAGAGCTTGCAGTGAGCGGAGATTGCGCCACTGCACTCCAGCCTGGGCGATAGAGCGAGACTCCATCTCAAAAAAAAAAAAAAAAAAATGGTGGAAGGTGGGTCTCATCTACTCCTGGCATGAAAAATATTGGGTGTTGTGTGGATGCCTCATACCCTGTACATTTTGTCCCATTTTGTATCACAAAACACTTCTGCCTCCTTTTTATTTTCATTTTTCATTCTTTCTAGCAAGAAGTCTTATTTTCCTTTCTGTCCTTTAGGCTTGCCTTGGCAGGGAGCACCTGTTTATTTGTCAAGGATGTCCTGGCCAGCCTGTCCTCCTAGAGACCCCACATTATGCCCCATGCTTCAGGGTCAGTAGTCATTTGATTTGTTCCTTTTACAGTTGTATCTTTATTTTCTTATTATAATAATACCTGCTTATTATAAAGATAAATACCACACAGTACAGAAAGATAAAAGGCAGAAAAAAATCACTTCTGTTCCCTATGGTTAATAGTTTGAGTTTAGGCTTCTATGGTGTTAGAAATAAATTTTCGGTGCCGCAAAAGAAATAGCACTCGAACGTAAATTTAATTTCTCAGCAAGGCAATTTTACTTCTATAGAAGGGTGGGTCTCGTGGATTGAGCAATGGTGAGAGCACAACTGAACAAGGGAGGGGAAGGGGTTCTTATCCTAACGCAGCTAATCTCTACTGCTGTGTCTTTCACCTATTGGCTAGGGTTGGACCACACAGTCTAAGCTAATTCTGATTGGCTATTTTAAACAGAGCAGGGGTATGAGCTGGAGTGGCAGGGTGAGTAGTTTCGTGGGAAGGAGTTACAGAACAGGTAACTAAAGGTGACTCAGGTCAGAGCAGGTGATTAGGAGTGACTCAGAATGGAGCAGGTGACCTGGGGTGACTCAGGATGGAGCTAGGTGATAGAGGCTAGGAGGGGGTTGTTTACTGAAACTAGGGGCAAGGAGACATAAAGAATGAGGAAGTTAAACTTTAAAATGAAGAACAAAGACCAGGGGAGCTGAACATACTGATACATTGGTTCTTTGGAGAGGATCCCAGAACTCGTTGTACTTAACAATTTATAGGCTAAAACCTTTGAAGAGGAATTTATTATATCCTACAACATTGTTTTTTCTTTTGTGAGTATGTATTTATGTATAAAGAAAATGTTTCCATAAATGGAATCATTTAATCATATTCTGTAACTTACAAAATTTTTAGCAATGTATTGGAGACATATAATAGCAACGTCATACTTTGTTGCCTTATTTAGGTGCTAGACAAGTTCTCAAAAGAGCACCATGAGAGAGTTACTATTAATTGTCCCATTTTATAAATAAAGCAATTGAGTGTTAGAGAATTTAAGTGACTTGCCTGATGCCACAAAACTCACAGGAGGGAGCTGGAATTCAGCCTCCAGATGTTAAGGGTCTAAATTCTTAGCTGCTACACATGTCAGTGTTTAGAAATGCAACTCTTGCTCTTCAGAGTAGTACATACCACTAATGCCCTTCACATGTGCCATGTACCTTCACTGGCCTTCTGCTCTAGACCCTTGACTTGTTTTCCTTTCCTCTCCTGTGTACCCCTCCAATTTACTGTTCCCTTTGTCTACTTTCCCAAGCTTGTTACATTTTTGCTTTATTTGTTCACTCTGAATAGCATTTCCCTTTTCTCGGGGTGTGTTTTGACCTTAATAAACTGGTGCTAGGCTGGTTTTGACAATGACAGGGAGAAGCTGAGGACTTTATACAATTTGGGGGTCCTATTCAAGAGGCCTACAAACCCTATTATCTTAGGAATCAGTAGATTTAATGAATAATGTTTCCTTTTTTCCCTCCTACTCTAATTTTGATTCTGCTCATTCCTAACCCAGGTCACTGTCTCCTCTTGAACTTTCACTAACAATGCCTTGGGTGTGTCCATGAAGCTCTTAAATTCTCTTCCCAAGAAAGGGAAAGAAGAAAAGCATCATTATGTGTGGACTAGAGTGTGTCGGGGGGATGGTTGGGGAACTGGGGGCACAAAGAGGTGAACCCACTGGGCTTGGTTTATGGCCTAGGAAGCCAGGGTAACGGCCCTCCTAAATCTGTACTGTGTCATGATCCAAGGGCACTCCCAGCCTTAACCCAGTCGTTTGGCCTATGAGAACACTGTCTGAGAATGAAACCTAAACCCTCAAAGAAAAGGCAGGACTTGAGGCCTCACTGCTGGCACAGAGTAGTGTGCAGTTTTCCTCCTGGGGGAAGCAACAGACCATCACAGCAACCACAAGATGTTGGAAATGGTGGCTTTGCAACTGGCTTGGTGGCAGAGAGCTCCAGGCTCCTCACAGTGCATCCTCTTTTTTTATAAGTGGCAGTTAGGTTGCAGCAGGCTGCAGCCTCTGAACCATCACATCTCAGATGGATTCCATTTCTGGGAGTTACCAAATGGTCCTTATAGAGTAGCATTAATCACACAGCATTCAGAGTTGACTATTTTTTCAATGTAGCTATAAAGATAAAGGTATTGAGCAGGAGGAGATTATCATAAGTGGCTACTAGGTATGACATTCAATGTTAGCTGCAGTCGACCGATAGTGGCTGCCCAAAGTAATGTGTGTATATAAGGATTCTGCAGTCACTTCCAGACTCAAAGGGAAACAGCTCCATAATCAACTAGTAATGTCTGCAACAGCCATGGGTGAAGAGCATGGTTGCATGTGTGTGTCATGTATTTGTCATAAGAATATGTTATGGAATGGTAAAGATCTTCCCAAGGTGTCTAGAACATTAAAACTTTTCAGTAAATGGAAGTTATACAGACATATCACTGAGGATTATAGCACCATAAAATATTACCAGGGCCAAGGAATAAACAAGTATGTTGACAATCCTATTGCTAAATGTAATAGTGATTTTGAAGATGCCTTTTCCGTCTTTTGATACTGACTGGTTTTACTGTTCTAGGTGACTGTGCTTTAAGTTTTAGGATGTGTTCTGCCACTAATAGAAGTTGAGGCTAGGCTCCAAACTCCTATCTTGACAAATATGTTCTTCGTTATAAAACCTGGTATGCAATAACATGGCTCACATACTCACTACAGGTGAAGATGTGAAGATCCACTTTATTTTAGTTGTACGCCCTTTGGGCAAATTGTGTAAGGACGCTGAGGCTCAGTTTTCTCATTAATTAAATGAGTATATTTAATTTACAGGATTGTCATGAGATTACATTTAGATAATCTGATCTTCGTGAAAAAGCTACAGAGATACTATTATTCTACGGTATTAACATTTTCATAATTGTTAATCTATTTATGCGTATAACTTCTGAATTTACTTGGGCTAGAGGAACAACTGAAAACAAATGTCTAGACCTGAAAATAATAATAGTGGTAGGAGTTACCACTTACTCATTCACTAAGGCCCACTCAGGACTGGGAACTAGATTAGTTCCCACCTTATCATTTAAGGGCAGGGTTGCCAGGAAAAATACAGGATGTCCAGTTAGTTTTAATTTTAATTTCAGATAAATAATCAATGGGACATATCTATATTTTTAGAACTATTTGTCATTTATTTGAAAATCAAACTCAACTAGGCATCCTTTAAAAAAAAACAAAACAACAACTAAGCAGTAGCTATAATCTAGGGCTAGTGAGAGTATTTTTTTTTTTTTTTTTTTGAGATGGAGCCTTGCTCTGTTGCCCAGGCTGGAGTGCAGTGGTGCAATCTCGGCTCACCGTAAGCTCCGGTTCCCAGGTTCAGGCTATTCTCCTGCCTCAGCCTCCCAAGTAGCTGGGACTACAGGTGCCCGCCACCACACCCAGCTAGTTTTTTGTAGTTTTTTTTTTTTTTTTTTTAGTAGAGACGGGGTTTCACCATGTTAGCCAGGATGGTCTCGATCTCCTGACCTTGTGATCCACCCGCCTGGGCCTCCCAAAGTGCTGGGATTACAGGCGTGAGCCACAGCACCCGGCCGGCTTGTGAGAGTATTAAGAGTTTGTAAACATAAACTACTTAGAAGAGTGACACTCATGTAGTAAGCATGTGATAAATGTTAGTTAGCAATTAGAGAGACAGCCCCATATCAAGGTTACAAGGAGAGGCTCTGGAGCCAGACAGCCTGCACCAAATCCCAGCTGGGCCACTTATTAGCCGGGTAACCTAGCGCAAGGTACTTTACCCCTCCATGCTTGAGTTTCCTCACCTAGAAGGTGGGGAGACTGACAGTCCCTTCGTCATAGGGCTATTGTGAGAGTCACTGAGTTAATATGTGTGAAGGTTTTAGAAAAGCACCCAAGACAGTGAAAGGCTCCAAAAATGATAGCTCTTACCATATTACTGTCATTGCTGTTCTTATCTGTTTAACTGGCCCTAAGATTTGAGTATTTGTGCTTATTGTAATAAAGGAATCCATACCTGCTGTCTAACAGAAAGTTTTGGGACAACAAGGAAAGTGTTACCTCATCCCCAATTCACAAAGGATGTAAACAAGACCGTAGAGGCTACTAACTTGCCTAAGGTCACACAGCCAAAGCTGGGATTCAAATCCCTGACTGTCTGACTCTAAAACTGAATCTCTTTCCACTCCTCTGAGGAGCTGAGATCTATGATCTATGGGGTGGCAATAACACCGTCTATTAGATGTGTGAGCATTTTGTAAATTCTGGAGAATGGTATCTAAATATTAGAATAATATTATAGTTCATTATGTTTATTTATAAAAAATCAAAATATTCTAAAGCATTTTATCACCTTTGTTCTTCTTCATGCCTGAGATGAACAGAGCAGGGATTATTGTCACCCCTAGGCGGCAGGTGGGGAGTCAGAATCCAGGAAGGTGAAGTGACTTGTTCCGAGTAACCCAGCAGAATAAGGAGGGGCAGGAATGACCAGCATCCTTGGTTTCAAAGCCCATGTTTGTTTTCTGACCTGTGTCATTTCCTTCATTATAAACACATTCCTCTGTTAGAGCTTCCAGCATGGTCTGCTTTGGTTGTTATTAAATTAAGTGTGGCATCCACATCCAAAGACAACTGGAGTGTTCTGTATTAGAAAAACTCCCCCACGTTGGATTTTTTTTTCCTGGTTTGTCTTCAAATAATAAAAAACAAATAATTCACAAATCCAGGGGAGGGATTAGCAAAACAAACTTTGCTGTTATTTTTGAGCTATAAGGAGAGCAAGTAAGCACCATAATTATTAGCAAATGTTCTATAGCCTGCATTATCTCATCATGCTAATTATAAAGCAAAAGCTACTTCGCCTCCGATTTTCTTTAGAAATCACAGGTATAGGCCAGGGGCTGTGGCTCACGCCTGTAATCCCAGTACTTTGGGAGGTCGAGGGGGGCAGATTACCTGAGGTCAGGAGTTTGAGACCAGCCTGACCAACGTGGACAAACCCCATCTCTACTAAAAATATAAAACTAGCCAGTCATGGTGGTGCATGCCTGTAATCCCAGCTACTCGGGAAGCTGAAGCAGGAGAATCGCTTGAACCCGGGAGGTGGAGGTTGCTGTGAGCCAAGATGGTGCCCAACAAGAGGGAAACTCCTTCTCAAAAAAAAAAAAAAAAGAAAAGAAAACACAGGTATAATTCCTACCATGTTCTTACAGGATCATAACTCCAAATGGTCATTTGGCAGCTGAACATATTCTGTGAATCTGTTTTTGGATTCCTGAAACTATTGCCCATGCAGTGTGTCTCTAGATCACTATTAATATATAATAGGCCCATCCTTAAATTTCTTTACACTTAAGAAAAAGGTAGTAAGATATTTATGGAAAAAGCTGATTTTGGAGACTTTACGAGGAAAGGGCTGTGAAAGACCAGGCAGGAGTCCAAGCTGACTTAAGACCAAAGTCTGCCAAAGCTGAGGGTCTCCAATCTGGCAGCATAGCGCTGAGCAGGAAAGGAGCTGACAATCAGTAAATGCCACGGGATAGTTTCTTGCCCTGTGAAATTTTTCCTGCAGGGCAGAGGATGGTGCAGGTGGGGGTGGGAGGCAGCAGAAGTTCTGTATCCTCTCTCAGAAACACTTGGATGCTAATCATAGGTGGTAAATTTTATAACAGAATCAGGAAGGAAAAAAGTGTTAAAATTTGTAGATCAAGGCCCCTTTTTGTTAAAAAAAAAAAAACTATGTATGCAAGAAAATAAGAGGAAAGAAAGACTGAAAGGATGTATATACAAATGGAAGGGGCATTCCTTCTGGAAGGCTGGCCAAAATTGCTTTACTTGCAAGTAATAGAATGTCAACTGGAACTAGTTTAAGCAGAAATAAAATAAGAGAAAGTATATTCCCTTATATAATTTCTTGGCTCATATACAGAGGCTACTAATTTCCCATATGACTAGATTCAGGTCTTCTGTCTTTGGGGATTTCTCACTCCTCACCCTTCTTTGTCTCCATCCAGAAAGCTGTTCTCTATTGTTCACCATCAGAAGCTTCAAACTTAATCATATGTCTTCCTGGTTCCAAAAGAAAAGATCATGTTTCAGTAGCTCCAACAAAAGTCCCAGAGGAGAGTCTGGTCCATTGGTCCATGCCTGCATCTGGGTCATGTCCACGAAAACCATATGGATCAAGCAGGATTGCTATGTAATCAGGAGAATTGGTTCCCAAAAGGGAGGGATGCAGGCACATAAAGATCATATAGCCTCTACTCTGTGATTTTCATCTGCTTTTTGCTAGACTATTTTAATATAATTTTAATGAACCTATATTATTTTATAATAAGGTTTAAACATTTTAAAATTTATTTTGAAGGATACTGTGATGTAGAATAAAGGATCTAGGAGATTCTAAGCTCAGGAGATACTATACTTCTAATGCCTACAAACGCCTTTCAAGAAAATGGACACCAGTTTACCTACAGCATAAACCATCAGAGTTTGCCCAAGAGAGCCTGCTACCCTGGCTATAGTTAGTGGGAAGGGAGATAATCACCCTAATCTAATGAAAATAGCACTGTCCTGTCTACTTGTGTTAACTCATTTAAATTTCTCATAAAATCCATCTCTGGTAGGTACCACTGATATACACCTTTTACAGATGAGGAAACTGAGGCCCACAGAGATGAAGCAAACTGCCCAAGGTTAAGTATAAGTAAGAGGTGATGCTCACACTCAAATAGAGCTTCTGTCTAGGGGGTTGTTGAAAACAAGATACCAAGGAAAGGACCTAGAAGTAAAGGGGACAGCCAAAGCCAAAGGCAAAGGTAGTGAAGACAGGAGAACGAAGCTTCTTTGAAGGGGATGTCAAACTACCCAGCTCTCAGAACTGTTATTGTAGCCTGAGGGACAAGGGCCCATTGTTCTAGCACCTCGTAAGCTGTTTTCCTGTCCTGTTCACTTCCCTGTTCCTCTTCATAATACTCCATCATCTGACATAGTGTGGTCTCTTCCTCACAGCCTGAAAAAACCCAACTCAAGAGTGTGACAAGGGACACATGTAGTCCTACATGCCTCTGGTTGGACTAACTAACTGCCATCAAGTAAGAGAAAGCCAATGAGCCTTTTCATTTCTCTTCCCTTGCTCTCCTGAAGTTTCTTGTTTGAACATCTCTTCTGACACAGATTTCATTCCGCCTGGTACTACCAGGTGGTCAGATGTTTCCTTCTGCAAGACATCATCTTTAGGATAGAACCTGTGCTGTACTCATTTTTGTATGAGTTCAGTTCTCAATACATACCAGGGACCCAATAACCTCTTGTGATGTAAAAATGAGGTTTGTCTAGGTCCCCAATGGTGATCCCATGGATGAGAGATCTCTGCAAGGATGTCTGTCTCTCCAGAGACCAAGAGTTGCCCTCTCCTTCCGTCTGTTCTCCTGGCCTTGACCTTGCCAGAGAGTGAAGAATCAGCCTTCTTTTCCATACAGAACTAATTGCACTCCCAACACAGATCCTTTAATATTGTCCTCAGGGGCCAGGCCCAGGTGAAGCTTTGTGGCTGCACCACTGGGAATCCTGCCTCCAGAGCCACTGACTAGTGCTCCACAAGAGAACTGCCTGGAGGATGCCTTGAGGGCTGGATAGAGGCCACCCACTGGCAAGGTCAGATTTTGTACACTCCTTCCAACGAGAAGTAGGCCCCAGCAAGACTGTTCCCTGTTTCTTTAAACTACTGCCTTTTGGCACTGGGACACAGGGCCTTTGAAGGGCAGGTTGACATTCAGCTTTTAGAGACTGGTTGTAATTTGTGAGGCCACTGGAGATCTTGATGGGAGATGCTGAAGAACAGGATGAGACAATTGGCATGGCCACATGGTGAAAGACCTCGATGATTTCCTTCTGAGGGTTCCTCAGACATCTAGGAATGTGGGAGCATCACTGGGTGTTCACCAAATGTTCTCAGATGCTTTTTAAAGCTGTTTTTTAAGATCAAGGAAATGGAAGACAAAACGTGTCAAATTTCCACCCAATAATTTCTGGCTGCAGCCTTTGCTAATCTTTTCTAATCTCACCCTGCCCTTCACTTATAATACTGCAGGTTCTTCTTTTCATTCCTCAAATATTCTAGTCTTGTTCCCATCGCAGGGCCTTTGCACTTGCTGTTTCCTCCTCCTGAGATGCCTTTCATTCTGACACATTGCATCAAGGCAGTGCCAGCTCATATTTCAGCTCCTCAAAGATGCCATTCTGTATCACTCAACCTAAAGTAATTCTCTGCCAGCTACATTCTCCCTCATTATCCTCTTCATAATCCTTCATAATCCCACCAGCTACAATGATTTTCTCTGTTGGTTTGTTGACATTATCTGACTTCACTAACATGTAAGTTCCTTAAGAGCAAGATCCTTATAGCTCGATGTCAATGTCACCATCCATAAGGCTCAGTTACTATGCCATTCTCCCTGCCTCTGGCTGTGGGAAAGATGACTTTCCTCTTTCACAGACAGATCAAGTTAGAGCCTGGCTCTTAGTTTGGAGCCTTAGAAGCCTTTCTGATGTAGCATCCCACAAGCTATGATTTTCCAGGGCTATTTCTGCTGAGCCTTGAGATTTATTTGTTTGTCATTTGTTGGCATTTACAGGAATTCCTTTTGGAGTTTGACCAGCTATAGCCTAATGTTGGCTCTTTATGTCTAACTAAATGATAGCTTCTTGAAATTCATGGAACTGCTCAGATGTCTTGGGCATTCTGTTTTCCAAATTATGTTCCTCAGGCACTACTTCCTCAGGTATTACTTGGTGTCCCCCATGAAAAACAAAAAGGCAGAGGGGGACATCTGTGCAACAGACATTGTCCCATTAGTCTCTCGTCAGCACTCACAGTTTCTGTGCATGATGACTCAAGTGCTCTGTTGGAAGCAACTGCTAGTCTCAGCTTAAAGTTGTTCTTGGGGTGCCAGGCAGGGCAGTCTGAAAATGCCAGTGAGTTAGCACCCCTGGAAGCAACCCTCGGTTTATGATTAATGAGGGCTGTTAGCTACTCGGCATCCTCACTCCTCCTGTAAACACCTCTGAGGTGTGTTCTTCCCAGTCATCCCTAGCAAGATTGAGTACCAGCTGTCCACAGAGGTAAATCTGCTTATTAATATACCCTAGGTCAGTGTCCTGCCCTTTCCAATTTCACTTTCTGTCTCCCCTTATAGTGCTTCCTACAAATTCACCTCCCAAATGAAACTCCTTCCACTTAAATCTTTATTTCAGGATCTGATTCTGGCACATTCTAGTGTAAGACAGCATTCTACAGCCAAACATGGCCAAATAAACTTAGAAAGAATCAAGCAAAGTCACATTATTTTCTTTTTTTTTTTTTCTTTTTTCCCCTGCAGGACCTCTCGGCCTCTCTAATGTGCTAATATGCATTGTGAAATTCCATTTCCTTTATTTATTTGGCCATGGAGATCGAGGCCATGGTGTCCTTTTTCACAAGGTAATGTGTGGAATCAGTGAGCCTTAGAGAAAGACTTTTTAGGAAGCACTTATTCCGCTCCTCCACCAAAATGTATATTTGGGGACAGTTCTGTGGACTTGAAGCTTCATGTTGTCAAAGAAGTAGTTTGAATGCAATAGCACTACCTCCAGAGCCCTCCACAGATCGTCTTGGCAAAAATGGCAAGTGCAGATGCAAGCTTCTGTTCTGAAAGGAACACAGAATGAATGAGGCTTTCAAAGCCCCTTCCTTCCCAAAGTTACCCACAGTTTAATTGAGAAATTTCACTCCTCTCTTCTTCTTCCCTCTTGGTCGTGCTGAAGGCCACAGAATTAGAAATGAGCTGATGGGAACGGACCATATTAATGGTTAAAGAATTGAGAAGGATATTCACTAATAAGTCAGTCATCCACAGTGTGGAGGGGGAATATGGATGTGAGGGAATCGTGGTGTCTCCCTCCAGCAAGAAGAGGGGGGTGTCAAACTCACAGTTACAAAATGAACTAATCCCCATCTAAGAAGTGCTCTAAATGAAAGTGCAGGTTGCCAAGAGAGTATATGTCAAGAGCACTAAGAAGGCTTCCTGAAGCAAGTGGCATTTAGAAGGAGTGAGTGTTGTGAGGCAGCACTAAGGCTGTGGATGGGAAGGACTCAGACTCTCAGGGAGGTGATCAGTGGGATCTGACATCCAAAGGCTAGTTGAAAAGTGTGGAACCTCAGTCTGGTGATGTGGGCATGGCCAGATCAAGTGCATGTACATACTTTGTGAGCTGAAGTATTAAACATTCCTTAGTCTCTGTACATACCCTCATCTGCAAAGTAGGAATAACAATGGTACCAGCCTCATAGGGTTATAAGGATTAAGTGAAATTAATACATGTAAGGCCATTAGCAAATTGCCTGCTACATAGCAGATGCTCAATGAATGTTACTGTGTTATTAATTTATACATTGTTTATGCTTTCTCAGTAGGAGAACCAGGATTTAAACTCAGGTCTTTCTAACTTGAGTCCCCCCTATTAATTCCTATGATGTATATGCTGGCTTGATTTTATGTAATTTCGCAAAGAAGATTTTGTGGATTATTATGTAGCCCTCAAACAGCCTAAGTTTTTAAAAATATTTAGGAATTAAGTATCTACAAAAATGGTCACAAGATTTTTAGTAACAAAATGCATTCTGCAAAAGTTTATACACTATGAATCACAATTTTATTTTAAAAAATATTTAGAGTAAGACCAGATTTTTAAAAATAAAAATGGTAAAAACATTATTGTTAGATCATGGAATTGTGGGTGATTTTCAAAAAATAATCTTTAATAAAGCTTTTATGATTGTTCACTCAAAAGGTGAAAAGCCTGCTGAAGTTCCGGGTTTCCTTCTTGGCCCATTACTTAGGAATTACTCATTTCCCCATTTTTGGAAAAAAAAAAAAATACTTGTGTGTAGGACCCATTTCCTACCAGGAATTGATTTAAAAAAAAACTATGAATCAAGCTTGAAAAAGAGTTAAGGCTAGTTGACTGTGCTTCCGGGTCTATTTTAAAAGGAAAGGGGTGCTTTTCCACTTTTAAGGGAATTCAGTGAAAAAGTACAGGAGTGGTCCATTTCCAGTCCTGGCAAGCAGATCAATGTTCAGAGCATCTGTGGATCAACTGGCTGGCACAAAAACAGAGTGGCTAGATTAGCTTCATCACCTTACTCAGTGGCTTAGCTCAAACGCTTAAGGCATTTTTCAGAGTGCATTGGACCCAGGACTGAGTTTGGATAACACCTTAGAATTATTAGAGAAATCATATACGCACCTTGGTTTTTGTCCCAGAGAGAAAACATGGGCCCCCAAGGCCCTGTTTCCCCTTTGCAAGGTGTTAGCTGCAAACATGCCACCAGCAGACTGTGGGTTAGACTAAGCATAAAGCATTCCTCAGGCTTTTCAAGGAACACAATAGCACATGATCCCTTTGAGATTTGAAGTCCATCTTCAAGCATCCATCCATTCTTCTTCTACCTACATACATCATCAGATCAAAATGTGCCCCATACTGAGAGCTGAAAAATGTTTTGTAAGGAAACTGCAGCGGTATTGAGTCAGAATGTCGAGGCAGCACATGCAGCTTTAATTTGGATTAGGATGACCCAGATAAAAAAAAAAAAAAATTGTGTAGTCTTTCCAGATCCGCCGTCCTCCCCATCCACAAAAAGGAGTAGCTGCAATTTCCCAATTTTTGTTCCCCAACAGGTAACTTTTTTAGCATCCTAAAGAGCATCCCAATGGGCAGTCTTTTATTAAATGCCTACTATGCTCATTTATTGCAAAGGTATGCCTCAAACGGGGAGAAACTGGTAATTTTTCTAGCAAGCAGACTCTTGGCAAATGTTTCTGAGGTAAATCAGGATTTATTTGAAGCTTAAGACAGAGGATGTGGGCTCCAGATGGTACTTGTATGAGTGCAAACTTTTAAGTAAAACAGGGCTGACCTCAGAGTGTAAGGAGCACGTTTTTGCAGATTATTAGACCATCCGTCACTTGAGGACATTTGAATAATGTCTTTCATAGGAAATTGGGGAAATTATGTGCCTCTTTTTGAAGGTTTCAATTCTGAAAGAATATGCTCATGAGGCATTCATTGATTTCAGAAGGTGGACCCTCAGGGTATGTAAAAGGTGTGCTGAAATCCTAAAAAATGCATGATCCCCCTCAACAACCATGATCAATCGCTGCATTAAAATAATAAATAAATGAAAGACTATTTCCATGTGTTGGTGTAGAAAGCATATGTACAATGGCAGGCTCCAGAGATTCAGGGCAGATCTACTGAAGTTCTACTTGGAAGATCCCAAAGCATTTTGAGAGACAGATAAAACGTATACTTTGAGGACTTTGAAATCAACAGTCACATCCCTGGAATGCCTGGATTTAGACTCAGAAGCACAATGTTTTTTGTGCTTTAAACATCCTTCTTTCCCTTTCCTCCTGGCCAAATCTTTTTCACTCTTCAAGATTTTCTTGGACAAAGCCTTGTTCACCCAAGGTGTCACCTGCTTTTCTCCATGACAACCCCACTGTCATTATATGGCTGCCTCCCCACATGCCTGTGAGTACCCTGATGTCCGGGAACAAGTCTTACTCCTCTCTGTACCACATAGCACCTCTCACAGAGGCCACACAGAATACAGCCTAAGGTGGTTCTGGCTGAAATAAACTAAAAAGGGAGAAAGACTTCTCCAGGACATTAATCATTAATTCATTTCTCATTTCTTTTCTTTTGTGGACCCAAAGAGACACAATGAGAGACACTTGATGATTACCTAGGAAAGTTCTGGAATAAAGCTCAGGAGTCATCTGGAAAAGTTCTTGAAAGCTAGTATTAGGCAGTAGTGCAGTCATATGGATGTATGGCATTTGGTAGTCAAACAGGTTTAAACTACAAGTACTTACATTTGATCCAACAAAACTTACTAGGTGCCCATTGTGTTACATAGTAGACTGTGTACAGGGTGCTGGATTGAGGAAGATGAATGGGCCTGCCACTGGAGTCTCATAGTCTCCCAGCAAAAACTAAAAGGGAGGTAAATAACTAAAATATAATGTCATATGTGCTATTAATAGAGTCATAAACAAGGTACTATAGCAGAGATTCAAATAGATGTCAGCTGTTAACTATAGTCAATTTGTTGAGACTGACTGCTTTGGAATACTGTATTGAAGATTCTCCGGTCCTTGAGTTTCACTGAAAAAGGGAGCTGTGATCAATTAGTAATGTCTGCCAGAAGTGGAAGTGAGGGGATTTGTGGCTCAACTGCCATGTGTTTATCATCAGAACCTTACCTGTAGAAGAAAGGGTAACAGAGAAGACATCCAGGAGGAGTAGGCATTTGCATTCTATAGCATACCATATTCTTAAATTGAGCTAAAGAGTATTAAGAGGGTAAACTCAGGCACAATATAATTTTTAAAGAGTTTATATGAATAAATAGTGATTCATGAATCCGGGAACTCCAAACCAAAAGTGGTTCAGAAACTCCACCAAGGGAAGACAAGGGGGAAGAAGCTTTTATAGGATGAACATGGAAGTAGCGCAGAGAAAATATTTCACTGGTTACAGTTATACAGTTGCCTTATTTGATCAATCCCCGGAAAGTTTGTAGTTATATAATCCTAAGTTTGTTTGCTGCTTCTTACTGGTTGAGCTTAAGTTCTATTTTTCTCTAATACAGGCATTTTTAAAAAATAGTTCAAATTAAGTTTCACTTATGCTTGCAAATCACGCAAGGTTGAGGCCTAACTGGCTTTGTCCACTCAGGTATTCTTCAGGCCTGGTTCCCATTTTAAATTTGCTTTAACAAGGGTCATGTCAAAAAAGCAGACAGTCAAGTTTAAATCCAGACTTTGCTTTCTGCAAGTTACTATGCATTTCTAAGCCTCATTGGCCACCAAAGTGAAGTGGAGGCAATAATACATCCTTATTGTGTGGATTAATGGGAAAACACCTAGCAAAAAGCCCAGCCCTCAGAAGATGCTTAAAAAATGATAGTAATTATTGCTACAATGATTATGGACTTCCTAAACTTCCTTGGTATGATGACATCTCAGCTTTGCTTTCTGCTCACTCCAATGAGAGACTCATTTGCATTTGAAAGTGCAAGAAAATGGTTAAATTTTTATCTCATTAAAACCACAAACTCAATGGACAGGACAGGAAGAGATAAGATAATGAACTGCTTTCTTTCTGGCACAGTTTAGCAACACAAAAATAATCCTCATTCCCAAAGACTCCCTTTTAAAGTACATCTTGTCTTTTTAGCAGGTAAACTCTGTGAAAGCAGGGATTATGTCTTACATGGGTTTTGTAGATCCTCAGCCACACATTGTGGGTGCTTAGTAAGTGATAAAGATCAAAATAGCCCAAGAAAATAGGATGAGTATTAAAATTATTTCATTTAGGGAATACAAGTTGTGAAAATACCAAAGTTCAAATATTTAATGTTGGCATATTACCTAACAATTTTTTTCTCTATATAATTATTCTTCTTAAATAGCATAGATAATAGGACAAACTCATATATTTGGCACTAATATCAACCACTGAGAAATAATTCATTTTATATGCCACGCAAATAAACCCTATATTACATAGTGGTTAGATACGGGGAGATATAGATATCGAAGGTTTACTATGTGTTTGATTTCACCGAAAACTAGAACTGCATTAGATCATGCAATACTTGGTGATGATCCTTTGACATAGGTACTGTTATCTTCTAAAGGTTACAGATAACAAAACTGAGGTTTAAAGTAATTTCAAGGATTTGATGCTAGGTGCTTCTGATTCCAAAGCCCATGCTCCTTGCCCCTTATACCTGGGGTCCACAGTCCTCCAAATATGTGTGAATAATTTTAATGTTTGCAGAACATTAAATGGAAAATATCTTAAGGTTTATTATTTTAATAATTCAACAGTGTATCTTTGTATGTCTCACTATATCCATTCTGTTAATTCAGACTTTTACCTATAAGGTTTGGCTAAAGTACACCTAGGATGACTAGCAAATTATGACTATGAGGGCATCTAGTTAAATGATGACACATTATGCACACTTAATAAATGACTTTTGGAATGAATAGTCAATTGAATAAAAACATTTTGTTCAGTACATATTACTATGCAAATATCTACATTATCATTTCCAATAAGTCTGTTGTTTTCTGATGTTCTTAACCACCAAATTATTTCTCAACTGTTTCTGGAATTTAACTTATCTTTATCAGCACATTGTCAGCTCTGTGAATTTGAGCACACACTGTGTCTAAAGTCATCACTGGCCCTCTAATGATATTTTTAGAGGTGTGGATCACTTCCTTTTTGGTTAAATGGACACTACTTTGGGAAATTAGTTGATTCATATAAATGGACATACTTTTCGGCAATATAACAATAATTACTTAATTTCAAAATCTATTGTCTACCATAAAAAGTAAACTTGAGGCTGTTCTTGTGAATATCAGTGATTCCACGTAAATACAACCCACAGCTGCTTTATCAAGTTAGATACTTAAAAAATTACAGTCTGAAAACATGGAGGCAATATATATTGCCTAATTCAACACTTATTTGAGTCTATAACATGAGTTAATAGATGTTTACACTTTTCATGAAGAAAAAATTCAGTCATTATTCCCAATTCATTCCTGATTCAAGGACAGGCATTGAAATCCCTTTGTGTATGTTCTCAGTGGGAAAAGTAGTTCTGTTCCATTGTATTTAAGTAAGTGAATGTGAATATAATGGGTATTTGGCATGCTCAGGAAATATGGTATTCTAGTTAATCCAATCTAAAGTTTCTGTACATACTATTTGTGGATGATCACGTGCCACAGGGGTTGAATGCAATACAACACCCTGAAAAACTGTTTCCTGAGGACTCTGATTTTAGTTAAGATGGAATAAACACATATCATGCAGTTTCTCCCATTGATTGCAACCAAAAACTCTGGACAAAATGCATAGAACTTTGGAGAACTCTGAAAAGTAAGCAGTAGCAAATGGATTGCGGAAGGAAACCAGAATTCTATGTACAATTGAGAGCATAAATCTCCTGGGTATTTTCCTTCCATGTCTCCCAGCCTGTGCTCAAAGGCAACATGAATGCTGAAATAGAGTTCTCAGAAGTGCTAATAGGTGATCCCTGGCTAAGTAATGTCTGCTCATTAGCATAACACGGAGCCTCCTGAGATAACATCTCCTACTGTCCCAGGAGCTGTCAGGGCCTAACTTTCTCACGTTTTCTCACTAGGAAACTATGTCCTTTTGGCTTTATGGAGGAAACGCTGTTTTAGGGAGATTGCCCTCCCCACCCCCTCAATTATGCTGTGTTGAGTGTTAGAAACAATAACTCTGATTCATGTTCAATTTATTAAGGGCTTATGATGTTCTAGGGACTGTAGTGGGGGCTTTATCTAATTTAATGGCCCTGGCAACCCTCTTCTATAGGTGTTATTAGCCAGAAAAAGAGATGCTCAGGGAAGTAAAGAAACATACTCGCAATCAACAGCTAGTAAACAGTAGAAGAAAATTGAAATCTGGCGCTGTCTGCCTCCTAACAAGTCCATGGTTGTAGTTCTCTCCATTATCATGGCTGGAAGGAACTCACCCATGGGCTAGTTTCTCAGCTGCTTCAGTCCTGAATGTACATTCTAAGCTTAAACAGCCAAACAGAAACAAGATCAATTCCCTGTCCAGCCGGCTGGAATGAAGCACCGGCATAGAGTCGCTACCTGATTCTCTGTGCACTTCACACTGGAGAGTGAACTTTGAGTGCAAACACATTATTTATTTTATAAAGTGGAGCAAGGACAGCTGTGCTATTCCTCTCCTTAGGCAGATGGAGTCTTGTTCTATTACTAAAGATGCTTCTTCGTCACAGGGCAGAGGTCTGACGGTGCCATGCCCCTGTCCAGGAGCCCTTAGAGGCTTCATGCCGAAGGCCGTGTGCTCCACTCCCACATTCTGAGATTCTGCACAGCCTCCAAGGCTTTGGGAGTCTGGAAAGGTCCCATTCTCCTCCTAAGCCTTGCTCAGTGCAAGGCACAGAGCAGCCACTCAGCCAATGCAGGTTAATTTGAAGAGATGTTAGTTTTCCTCCCTGCCTGCCCCTACCTCCCCCAGCACAAATATAAAACTATCCCAGCTTCTCAAAGCAAGTCTCTTTCATGTAAAGTAATGAAGTAGTAGAGGAAGGATACACCAATAGTGAATGCATTTGGGGAGGCAAGAGAAGAGTTATGAATACATGGTGAGGCACAGCCTGAATTCGTAAGAGCCAGGGAAATGGAAGTGTGGTAACAACCTCCACCCGGTAAGGGTGTTCCAGGAAGGCTTCCTGGAAGGACTTGCATGTGAACTCCCTAACCTGGTGTTCTTCAGACTGTAGGTTGTGACCCTAGGGTGAGGAAATCATTTTGGTGAGTCATAAGCAGAGTTTTCTTCTGAATGAAACTGAATAAATAGAATGGAGGCTGAGTATATTACTAGCTCACAACATAAAATATGTTTCTTTCTGAGGGTTGTGGTCCACAAAAGTAGGAAACATATTGCCCTATCTTTTGTCTTCTGAGAAGTTGCTCTACTCCTATGATGTAAATTCACCAGCCCCTGCTGACCATGATCTTTCATTCTGCTCAAAAATGGAGATATGGTATCACTTTCTTGTCTTCAAAAAATCACCACTCTTCGTGTTTATGTTGTGTCCAATCCTACTAGAGGGTGTTTTATTAATGAAGATAAGGGATAACACATATGTAGACCAGTACTAGGCAATTTATACACATGACCCACATGTAATCCTCACGTCATCTTTTTCTAACCCTGTAATAACCTCACAAAGCATGGTTCATCCTTTCCATTGCACTGATGAGAACACTGAGGGACAGGATGAAGGTTATTGCTAATCATTTGCTAGGAAGTAAGTGAGCTGAGATTTGAACTCCATTCTCTCTGACTCTGATGCTAGTGTACAGCCCCAATAATTATTAAGCTGAGTTTATGATGCAGCAGTACGGATTTGTAAAATCCATTAGTATTGCCCAGTAAGACTGAATAACCTTCTGTTTTCTATCTTTGGAGGCCTGTAAATTCCAAGTTATTTCTGAGAAGAATGAAGATATGCATTTTCTAAAATGTTGGTATCTCAGTTCCATATCTCGGATCCAATATCCACTTCTCTTTACCTTCAGTGCCCGTCACCCTGGTCCATGCCACCACCAATCTCCTGATAGCCTAACAGCCTCCCAACTGGTCTCTTCAGTCTAGTCTCTTCTGAACTTTTTGAGGTACAAACTCTGCAGTGGGTTTTCTTTGCTCTTGCCATAAAGACCGTATTTGCCAGATGGCTGTGTGTCTCCATGGTCTGACCTCCTTTTCCTTACCAGCCTCATTTTGTATCAGGCTCTTTGCTTTTATAATCAAGCAGGACTTCTTTCAGTTGCTCTATCATGCTTGTTCCCTTCTGCCACAGGGCCTTCACATATGCTTTTCCTTCTGTTGACATCATTCTCCAAACCAGTCCCTTGCTCCCTTCATCTGCATAACTCCTGCCCATTCATCAGATCCCATTGATTTTAGCAGGTCCTGATAGAAGAGTTCCTTGTCTTCCCTGTAGACAAATAACCTATGACATGATCTCAAGGCACTCCTGAGTCTTTGCTTCATTGCGCTGTTCACTGTAATTTTACATTCATTCATGTGATTCTTTGGTTGATGTCTATCTCCCCTCCTGAACAATGAGCTCCATAAGGGCAAAAATTGTGCATGTCTACCTTTTATTCCCAGGGTCTAGAACAGTGTTTGGCTCATAGAGCAAAGGGTAAAGCATTCAACATTGAACTTATCTGACCTCTATAGAAGCTCCAGGTGCTCAGATTTGGCCATAAGCAAATCAGAGAAAGGAGATCAAGGGCAAATCTCCAAGGGATTAAACAGCCAGATTTAGTAGTAGGAAGAGCCTTCTGAGTATAAATGTTGATGTCTTGGAGCCCTCATATTTATGGTTTCTCCTCTATTTGGTTTGGACACAAGATATTCCTCTGTCTCCTTCGAGTACTCTCATTTTCTTATTTAGGAGTTTAATGAAGTCTTCACCTAAAATGCTACAAACAGCTGGGGGTAGAAGGGTATCTGGTTTATGGCACTGAGAGAAATGTTCACTGTGTACAGATTGATGTGGCCACAAAACTTTCTGTGTGTATAACTCCAAGGTGAATTTGCATGGGGCTCCATTAGCCTAGTCTCAAATTTCAAGCTGCTCCCTTGGTTATGTATCTCCTAAGGGAATCTAAGGAGAGGAAGTAGAAAAAAACAGAGATAAGACTTCTCCCCTCCATGAGCAAAGAAAGACATCTTTTCCAAGCAAGCCTCTTATCCCAGCCACCAGTAGACCCTGTTGAGAAAATACTATTAATAATAAATAGTAGTCTTCATAATCATTATTATAACAATAGCGTTCATTGGACTTTTTTTTTAATGTGCTAAATGTTTTGCCTGAATTTTCTTATTTAATATTCACAACCATCCTAGGAGGGGCTGCATTTACTCAGGAGTAGACTACTTAGAGAAGCCAAGCTCACAGGACCTCAAGACCACACAGGAAGCAACAGGTGATAAGGGGATTTGAAATTAGGCGAACCATCTTTCTGTCCCCTTGCTCTTGACCACTGTTTTACTGCCCTCTTTCAGTCTTTAACGATTTCTTTAATAACTCTTTCATTTGTTGGCATTTATTGTGTGACAGGCACCGGGGATTCAAAGGAAAGTAACTTATAGATGGCCCCTTCCCTGGGGAAGTTTACCACCCTTTGGGGACAGATCACCAAAATCCTCTTCCTTGCTGGCACCCATTGAGCACTTCCTGTGAACCAGGCTCCGTGCTAAGCCCTGTACCTGGGATATCTTATTTAAGCCTCAGAACTCTTATCTCCAGGTAGGTGCTAATATCACACCCTTTTTCAAGATAAGTAAATGGAGGCCTCAGGTAAAATAACTTACCCAAGGGCCCAGAACAAGGAAGCAGCTGGCTAAGATGGAGCCCCAAGTTTATCTGGCTTTGTCAGATGCCTGTACTTTCTACCACCACACTAACTTGCAGAAAGGTGGAGAATGTACAAACAGAGGAACCTCCAATGCACTTTGAAAGTACAAGGCAGGACAAGCTCAACTCTGTCTGAAAGAGCCAGAAAAGGCTTCCTGTGTAGATGTTTGGGGTAAGTTTGGCCTCTACCTTCCTGTTTAAATACACTTCACAGCTGGCAAGAGGTGGAAGTGGAAGAAAATAAAAGCCAATGTGCAGACATTCCTAGAGGACATATTTGAATTCAACATTAGAACTTTCTGATAATTATTGTAGAGTAAAAATAGAAGGGGCTATTTGGGAAGTAGTAAGTTCTCCACCATTAGAGGTATGAAGAGGGAAACTGAACTATCATGCTGAGGATACTTGAGAGATTGAGGCACAGGGTTGGTAGTTGGATTAGATCAGGGGTAACCAGTTTAGCTGTGCATATGAATGGGTGGGTGATTTGGTTAAATACCACTTCCTAGGCTTTCCCACTAGACATTCTGGGTCAGTAGGTCAGGAAAAGATCCCAGGAATCTGCATTTGTAACAAGCTCCCCAGGTGATTCTCAAGGGCACTGTATTAGTCCTTTTTCATACTGCTGATAAAGACATACCCGAGACTGGGTAATTTATAAAGAAAAAGAGATTTATGGACTCACAGTTTCATGTGGCTGGGGAAGGCCTCACAACCATGGCAGAAGGCAAAAGGCACATTTTACATGGTGGCAGACAAGAGAGAATGAGAACCAAGTGAAAGGGTTTTGTATAAAACCATCAGATCTTGTGAGATTTATTTACTACCATGAGAACAGTATGGGGGATGCCATATGCCCCATGATTCAGTTATCTCCCGTTGGGTTCTTCTCCACAACACGTGGGAATTATAGGAGCTACAATTCAAGATGAGATTTGGGTGGGGACACAGCCAAACCATATCATACATGGTCCTTGTGGAGTCACACAGCCACAGAGGGCTAGATGACCTTTAAAATCTTTTTCAATATTGAGGTTCTCTAAACACATGTTTCCTAGGATGTATTCCATGGAATACTCTACCTCTAACAAGAGAGACAAATTTCTATTTTTTTTTTTTTTTTCCTGAGGCGGAGTCTTGCTCTGTCACCCAGGCTGGAGTGCAATGGTGTGATCCCGGCTCAATGCAACCTCTGCCTCCTGGGTTCAAGTGATTCTCATGCCTCAGCCTCCCGAGTAGCTGGGACTACAGGCACCTGCCACCACGCCTGGCTAATTTTTGTATTTTTAGTAAAGATGGTGTTTCACCATGTTGGCCAGGCTCCTGACCTCAGGTGATCCACCTGCCTATGCCTCCCAAAGTGCTGGGATTACAGGCGTAAGCCACCGCGCCCGACCAGATTTTGTCCTTTAAAAGCCAAATAGTGAAGACTTCAGGCTTTGTGGGGTTTTTGTAACAATCACTCAACTTACCATTGTATTAATAGCATGAAAACAACCATAGACAATAGATAAACGAGTGGACGTGGTTGTGTTCCAGTAAAATTTTGTTTATAAAAATAAACGGTAGACCAGATTTGGCCTAGGGACCGTAGTTTGCTGACCCTTGGCCTGTGAAAATAAGTTTGTAAAAAGCTATAAATCATATCCCTTCATGAATATTCATGGTATATGTTAGCATCTTAAAGGTTCTGAAAAGACCGGAGAAATAGACTTGTTTAATTAACCCAGAATTTCTCAAATGTATTTAACCACAAAACTCTCTTAGTACATAACACTCACATCCTAACACACTTTGTGAACGACTCATTTATGTCTTATAAGTGGGCAGCATACAAAAACCATTTGCATAGACTGTTTTCTGAGAGGTTAGGAAGGAAATGTCTCTAAAATACATGCCTTACCCAGCTCACTGGTGCCTAAACTTGACTCATAAGAGATGGTGTCTGTGGCTTAGGGTGATGTGCCCATATTAAAATGAAAACACTCACAACGTAAATGCAATTGGCAGGTTTCTTCTGCAGAGGTGGTTTTGAATGCAACTGATGAAACAGAGGACATAAGAGTCATTTGGAAAGGGATGACACCATGTGGGAAAGGAAGAGCAAAAAGGAAAGTGAAAAATAAAAAGACTTATTCAGCATTTGCTGCATGCCTACCACTGGACTGAGGCCTTTATCTAGATCCATCGTTTTCAACGGGGGGGCAATTTTGCTTCCCAGGAGACACTTGGCAATGTCTGGAGACATTTCTAATTGCCATAATTGAGAGTGTAGTGTACACACAGTGTTAGGATGTGGCAAGTAGAATCCAGGGATGGCATTCAACATACTACCATGCACAAGATGCCAACCTCCCCCAGTAAATTACCCAGTCCCCAACATCAATAGTGCCACTGTTGGAAACCTTGATCTAGATTTTCTGATTATCTAGAAATGTTGAGAATAGGGCAAAGAGAAATTTAATCTTTTCTCCAGCCTTCTCATAGTTAGTGATGGTTTGAGCCACACTCTTAAACACTCACATTCAATTAAGCTTGGCAAAGACAAATTTCACTTCCTTAGTCATTGATAGCCCATGGCTCTAAGCGGTCCTATCCACAGCTCCTTCACATCACCATCTCCTCTTACCACGCTGTCCCTTATCTTTTGAGGCTCCTGATATGTTAGGTACCTACCATCCAATCTTATCCATGTCTTCAAAATTTATCTCCAATGACCACTAAAATACTCCTTAAGACTTGAACTCCATCTGCTGCCAGCCTGACCAGTTATGTTCAATTACGTTTGTGACACCAGGCAAATGACTTTAACTTAAGGGTCTTGATTTCACCATCTGTAAATGGAAATGATGACAATATGTGCCCTTTCTACCTTAATTCAATTCCACCCAAGCATAAGCCACAGGCTCAGTACTAAGCTTGGGGAGTTGGGGGATGCAAAGAATGTGAAACCTCCCAGGGAGAGTATGTTGAGGGGAGGGGAGGGGATCTTTAAGGAGGCGGCAAATTCCTTGTTTTTATAAGCCAGCCCAGCTCCAGTTTTCCAGCAGCCTGCAAGAATGCTGCAGAGTGTGAGAGTGGGCTGAAGAGGGTCTGGACAACATCACCGAAGGGCAATCATTAGCCCTGGTATTTGGCCTGGGGATAGAGGGAGCTAAGAAGTCCATGTGTGGCAGCACATTATGAAGTTGAAAGTTTCTACTAGAACTGGCTCTCCAAGGGGCAATCAGTAATAAACGTGATTTGGACTTGTTAGGAGACATCATCAGAACTGACTTGGTCCCCAGAACTCCAAGCTATTCTCTCTGGTAATTATGGAACATGAAGCACTTGTACTTTATTTTTATCATGGCTAAATTGAGCAATCAATTTCAGACAGTCCATGAATAAGGAGGTTGCTTCTGGGAAGATGATCCCCATAGATTATCATTAAGCACTGAAACTGATGCTTAGAAAATAAAGCAACAAGATGGCAGGAATGTTTAAAATGATCCCTCATGGAAGACTCGTCTTTCCCCTCCCTTGCTAATCTCCTGCCTGCTTTTGAGCCTGTCAGCTGCATTTCCCTCTTTCCATCCATACTGACTCTGGCTGTTCAACTATTTCATAGTGAGAGGAGAAACTCCTGGAATTGGAAATGACAAAAGAGAACCCACGATGATGGTGGGACTTTCTTTTCAGAATCTCAGATCCTCATGGAAATGAGTGATTGCTGAGCATTACACTCTTTGTGCTCAGAAATACTAGGAATTAAATCGTTGAAAAAGCATGGCCCACAAATGGCTGCTTCCCCTCTTCCCAACCATTAACAAGATAATAAATATAAATATGGTGCTAGTGTGGGTGGAGGGCGTCTGACTGGGGAACGTATAGGGGTCACTGAGGCGCATGCCCAAGGAGACTCGTGGAGACTGACTGGCACATGTGAATTCGGGCATGAGTTTGGTCAGTTATCTCATAGCAAAAGATGTGTCATATGTTACGGATCTGTGTGATAAGTCGTGTTTCCCTTGACTGCTGTGCGGAGTCCCACTCCTTCTTGCTTTTCCTAAGTCTTTTCTATAGTTTCTAGAAACACAATAAGGGGAATGGAAAGACATGTAGTTTGAAACAGATAAAACTTGAGGTTCATATCTTGGCTGGGCCACTTATTAACTAGGTCTCAGTTTTCTTAACTGTTCAGCAAGGAAGTGTTACTTAGTTCATCGGATTCTTGTGAGAAATAAAGGAAATGACGTATGTTAAGGACCTAGATTATACTAGGTACTCAAAAACGGTCATTGTTATTTTTTAGTCAAATAAAAGTGAAATGATACTGATGCTCTAGTGAAATCTCTCTATTAAAGATACCTAACCATATACCCCATAAAGGAGAGCTGGTCCTTATTATACCCGGTAACAAGTAACAAACAGAAGTGATTATAATTTCAACTTGTCACTTTTTCTAGGTGGAGCCTCTGACCATTCAAACTTTTTTGCAGTGCAAAAAAGAAGGCAGGAATACCTTAGTACATGGACTTACAGGGATTCAGATTTGATTGTAGATAAACGATTTTTAAAATAATTCTTGTGAACACGGGGTTAACAGCCCTCAGGAGTGCAGTTGATCTGTTTCACGTTATCATTTCTTGATTTCTTAAAACCAGTGACTCAAACTGGGCTGCCCTTTTAGCCTGGGAAATCCCTAAAGCGGAAACGGAGGGGGAAAAAGCCCTTTGTGATTTTTCAAAATGAATCACCAGTGATTAGGGCTAATTTCAATGCTGGATTCATTCAAGTATGTTACCTTGAGAAGTGGAAGCACCCTTGCCTTTCCCTTTTCCTTTCTTTGTTTGCCTCCCAGGCAGGACTCACTCACTTCCACCCACCCCTCACCTCTCACACAAAGACCTTCAGAGTTGGGAAGCTTTAGCAGCCTCCCTAGGGAAGAGTCTAGCGGAACCTGCTTACTCCAGCCCCACCCTCTAGTCTCTTCTGGCAGGTGTTAGTTGGCTAAGTTTTCCCTCTGTGCAATTTTGATGTTTTGCTTTTCCTCTCTTTCCGTAACCCCCGCCCCTCCACCATTAGCTAGGTAATCATCATTGTTCTGTGATGTTAGCAAATGCTTGGGTGGGTGAAACCTGCCCTTGTGATGAAGAGGCTCTGAGAATCCTTGGCTAATTGTGTTAAAGTCAAAGAAAGCTCTTTACACATCCATAAGTAGGCTTTAGAGCTGGATAGAAAAAAGAAGAAGAAGATAAACAAGGGCAAACAGTGCGATTCAATTAGGCTAGGCTTCTGCAGTGGTCTGTTTGGACCACTTGGAGATGTGTTGAGGAGAAGCAGAGCTGTGATTTTCCTTCCCATCTTCCTGCTTTCCCTCTGTTCCAGGGAATAGACACAATAGTGCTTTGAGGAGGGAAAGCTAATGTTGAGACAGAATTTTTAAATTCAATACAGCATGACTCAATTCAGCCAACCATCCCTGAGCACCAGTTCTCGGAGTTACATGGCTGGTTCAGACCCTGTCCCTGCCATCCTAGGGCTGCCTCCTAGGAAGGGAGAAGGACATGAAGACATTTATGTTAAGAACACATCTGCCTGTTAATGGCCCACCTGGTGCTCAGAAAATATGAACATTCACCCCACCTGCACAAATTCTGATATAAAACCGTAGAAAGCAAACTATTATTTACTTACTATTTTTCTTTATTCTCTCATTTTAAAATTTAGATTCATCCTAATCAATATTCTCTGGGAAATTATGGGCAGGATATATGGTTACAATGTTACAAATGCACATTAAAATAAATGAATAAGCAAGTAAACCTGTTCATCTGAGCACCCCGTACTCAAGGCACCTTATGTATTCTTAGCAATGTCACAGGGAATCATTGCCATGTGATGTGCTGCGCATAGGTACCTGACAGAGGTCTTCCAGAGGCTGATGGAAATGGAACCAGGGAGCAGGGCAGAGGCAGAGAGAGGAAGAAACTGGAAGATGGAGGACTTCCCTGAGAGCTCTGAGCTTTCATCCTCAGGACCCCCATGGGAGTTTCTTATGGATTTCTGGTAGAGAAAAGTGCTCCAGACAAAAGTGACAGAGAGCACTAAGCTTAAAGTACTAGGGGAAGGAGTAAGGAAAGGAGTAGAAGATTCATTAATTCATTCCATAATGAGGAATGAATTCATTAATTCATTCTATATTGGAATGAATTTATATATATATATGAGATATATATATCCCCTATAAAGTAGGGGAACCTACTTTGTAACCACATGTCTGCCCGTCTGTTAGTTCTCTACATGATACTGGAGGCTATACCAGGAAGTATGATAAATGGTCTTGCTCTCAAGTTGCTTGCAGTCAAGTTAGACAGGTGACACACACACAAACACACACACACACACACTCTCTCTCTCTCTCTCTCAGGCATCCAGAGATAAGCATTCAAAGAGAATGTATGCTTAAGGACCAAAATAGCAACACTGAGAGTTACTGTGAGTTCAGAGGAAAAACTTCTGTAGATAGCACAGGCTGAGAAAGGCCTCCCAAAAGCAGGGGGTCTTTAAAGAATGGAGCAGAACGTGGAGAGTAGAAGTAGTTCAGGCTGGAGAAACACATCAGAAGCAACAGCTGCACATGTAACCTGTATCCCCCTCACTGCAACCTTGGATTGGACCAATCACAGCTTCTAATTCCAGTTCTCAACCCAGTGTCCCGAATGGATACTAAAGGGTCTGTGAATTCATAGACAGGCAAGCGTTTTGTGAATTCACATGTGTATTTTTTCTGGGGAGAGTATTTCTAGTTTTCATCAGATCCTCCATAGAGCGACTCAAAATCACTTAGGAGTTTTTGCGAGTTTATTCCAATTTATGTCTTTATTATCACAAGCATCCATTTTGTTGTTTCTTTACATCTCACTTTTTTTTCATTACAAGGAGAATCCAGTTTTCACAAACCTGAAGGGAAATAAAATTTCTCACAGTGATTAGATTAGTGCCCAAGGCCACTTAGTGAAACCAGGCCTCCCTGGCAAGGTCAAGCTCTAACGCTCATCCATGCTCATAACCAGGGATTCTCTGCTTAGTCAAGTTTCCCACGGAGAGAATCAACATACGTCCTGACTCAGTCTCACCTCCCCTGTTAGGGCTTCTTATATTCTCAGCTCGGTGAAACTCCACTCCAAGTATTTTGTCTTGTCACTGACCGTGACTTGAATGTTAATTTTTTGCCTTTGACAACTGCCTTTGTTAAACATCATGCTCTACTCAGCATAGCCCATCTTTTGGAACCTGAAGAAAGTAAGCATGCTTTAAATACTTTCAGCCCAGCCCATGTCTTTAGCATGATATTTCATTACAGTGGCAACACACAAACCGTACGTTCAAAAATGGCATCTCTATTTTAAAATCAGTATTTATACGAACCTGCTTGCAAATCCACTGCTTATACATGATTTTTAAATGGATTACTCTTCTTTTTCTATTTATTATTCAAAAGTAGGGAGAAGATGATAACCAAGCCTTATGTTTTCATTTCCTAATTTCATTCAACTCATGGCCAATCTTGTTTCCTATTAGCACCTCCCACGTACTGTCCAAACCCAGATTATTTTGAAGCAAATGTTACGTATCATATAATTTGCCCTTAACTGTTTCAGCATTATACAAGATTTTAAGTAGACTTTGTTATTAATAGTATGAGCCACTTGCCAGGTCATGGAAAAGTCTTGTGACAGTGGCATGTGAAAGAGTTTGTGTAAAGGGGGCCCTACTTATTTCCCTAAAACATTTCTGTTTGGTAATTTCTATGGGTTAAAAATCTCTTTGCTAATAACGTCTGCTATACTTTTAAGAATCACTGGTGCTGTAGATTACAGTTTTCGTCCAGTCCATTCAGTGCAATTAAGTACGTAAAGTCAGTTCTGCTATAAGACTTGTTTTGAAATCATGAATTTGTTCCAACGGTATTGATATATTAGGGAACAATTTGAACATAACTGGATTTCACGTTTGCTTATACACAATTTCATCCCCTAGAAACACTAGATGAATGCAGAAAACTGTACCCAGCTGAACTGCACCTGATAGGAATACACAAAATGCATACACCTCCACCATCTGTCATCTATCTCAGTCCACCACGTTGTCATGAGCCACACCATGCACATCCGGTGCTGCAACTTTCTTTCTGATTCTACATAACCCCCTCCCACCACTTCACAATAGCTCAAAAGCAGCAACCCTTTCCACTTTGACTTCCACAGGCAGATTCCAAGTCTTTGACAAGGAAAAGTGCAATATTTATTGTATCTATGCATGTCTTAACCATTTAACATGGGTTAAACTGTGCTACCATTTTTTGTTGTTGTTGTTAATTCCTATTTGTTTTGTTATTTATTTATTTATTTATTTATTTATCCGTCTCACTCTGTCGTCCAGGCTGGAGTGCAGTGGCGCGATCTTGGCTCACTGCAAGCTCCGCCTCCCGGGTTCACGCCATTCTCCTGCCTCATCCTCCCGAGTAGCTGGGACTATAGGCTCCTGCAACCACGCCCGACTAATTTTTTGTATTTTTTTTCAGTAGAGACAGGTTTTCACCGTGTTAGCCAGGACGGTCTCGATCTCCTGACTTCGTGATCTGCCCACCTCGGCCTCCCGAAGCGCTGGGATTACAGGCGTGAGCCACCGCACCCGGCCTGTTTTGTTTTTTGATGTGTCATTGACAAGTTTTTGAGTTTTGTGCCCTCAAACCTAGGGTCTCTCAACCTCAGCAATGCTGATATTTTCGGCTGGATAATTCTTTGCTGGAGGAGCGGGGTGGGGCTGTCCTGTGCATTGTAGGATGTTTAGCAACCACCCTGGCCGGCATCTATCCACTAGATGCTAGTAGCCCTGATTCCTCTACTCCCCAGTGTAGCACCCCAAAGTGATTATAGACATTGCCAAATATAGCCTGAGGAGAGAGAGAAAGTCATGGAGGATTGTGAGTGGTTGAGAACCACTGCCATACCCCATCTCTCATGATACCTGTGGTGCTTTGCCTAGCATGATGATTTTTACAAATGCATATATCTTGTTATAGCAGAGTTAATTATACATATTATGTGAGTGCCTCTGCATGAGTCTTCATATTAATATTATCTACAGTGTGCTATCAGATTCCACGCACTTTGCATTGAGCTCAAAATGTAAATCCCTGAATTAAGGGACTCATTGACCTCCAACAACATCTTTACTTTCAAAGTACATAGACCTTGGACCATATAAAAACTTATAACAAAAATAATATTAGTAAGAATAGCTATCATTTATTGGGTCCTTCCTAAGAGCCAAGCACTATGCTGCAAGCATCTATATTCATTGTTGCACTTAACCTTTACAAGAGTCCATTCTGGAAGCCACTATCTGTCACCCCCACTCCTTACCAGGAGAGAATTCTCAAAAGGAAAACTGTGTCCCTGAAGAGTGGAGTGACTTGCCTGAGGTCAGCCATCTAGCATGAGAACAAGAGGCATCAAGGTAGAGTGTCTCTACTTGTGAAGTCAACATTGTCATGCCTCTGGAGCCTCCTTACTTAAGGATATCAACAACTATTTACTGAACGCCTACTTCTTTTATCAAAGTAGTGACTGTAACACTAATAATACAGCTCATAGCCAAAAAGCCAAAATGCTCAACCAAAGGGGCTGAGCTCAGTAAAAATTATCTCACATTATTACACTGAAATCGTATGCTAACACTAAAAATATGGTTGTAGAAAAAAAGAACTAATTATATGGAAATATGTTCATGCTTTATTTATCCAACAGCCTGTGTATCTATTTTTACAAAGAAAAATACTAGAAGGTTTTATCGCAAATCAGGAAGCACTATTATCTCAGCATGCTAGGATTACTAATGACTTTCTACCTCTTCATTTTGCTTAACCATATTTTTGAAATGTTTAGCCATGCATATGTATTACTTTTATATATACAAAGACACGTGTTTTTAAAGAGAGAATGAAAGCTCAAGATAGCACAAGAGATAATAAAAGAAGAACTAGACATTTAATGAGTTCAAGTTGGATTACATTCTAGAATACAGAAAGAACTTGCAGATGTGATTACAAAACCACTGTCAGCAATCTTAGAGAAATCAGAGACTGGGAGCAAGGCCAGGGAATTGGAGACAGGAATATGTTATTCCAGTTTTCAAACATGAGAAAAATGTGGATTCTAGAAACTATAAGGCAGTGTATCTAGCATTCATAATCTTGTTATTATATACATTTTATGAACATTTAGGAAAATGAGTTCAGCCAGAGATGGATGGGAGCGTGCAGAGGTTCAAGTCATCCTGGGATAACTTTATTTCCTCTTTTAGTAGTTTATTTTTGATAGATCAATAAAATATTCCAGACAGCATGCACTTGAATTCCAGCAAGAGCATTTGATAAACAGATATGTGCTTTTCCTTTTGGAAAGCATGGGCTAGATCATAATTTGATGAGTTGGATTCACAGCTAACTGAATTATTAATAATTACTACCAATGACTGCAAACTGCCTGAGCCAGGTACTGCACTAAGCCTTTTGCATACACCACCTTGCCAGATGGGTGCCATTGTTATTCCTACCTTTGTAGATGGATAAATGGAGGCTTGAAGAGACTGAGTCATATTCTTGAAGACCCAAAGCATGTAAATAAAAGAGTTAGGATTCATGCATTTAACTACACTACCCTTTTTGCCTTTCTAATAAATAAATAGGGATTGAACTGAGGGCTCTAATTGAAGACCACAGATCTTCATCCCATGGAATATGTTGATTAATGCCTTGGAAGAGAATGTAGAACTGATATTTGTCAGATTGGCACATGACATACAGCTAGGAGATGATCTGTCCATCTCTTGAATTCCACTCCATTTCCTTTGATTAAAGGAATGGACTTCCCAACTGGAGGGGCTGGGTCAGAGTGCTGGAAGTCGGCCTGGTCAGGGCAGGGGTAGAAAACAAACTCCAATCTTTTTCTTCCAAAAATATAATCTCTAAGGTCACCGTGAGGTTTGGCCTTTTCAGTACTTTCCATGGACATTTTGCCTGAATAAGAAAGAGGCCTTTGGCCCATTTATTTCACTAGTTCTTTCAGCTGCAAACAAATCTTTGGCCAAAGGAAAAAAATCTTTCTGGCTCTAAAAATAAAGGATTTCTCTCTTTTTAAAACGTTCTCCCAAAATTATTTGTTATGGAAGGTGGAAGGAATAAAAGAGGAAAAGAGAGAGAAAAGAAGAGGAGGGGGTTAAAAAAAAAAAAAAAACAAGTCAGGGAGAGAATGAGGAAAAGGAAAAAAAGTCAAAGGAAGAAAGAAAGGAGAGAGAAGGAATGAGAAAAAGAAACTTCTTCCTTGTGTAGTATAATCAAATTCCTCTTTAAGGCAGCAGGGCAAAATTAAAGGGGTTGCAGTTTCCCCAGCTGTTTGGTCTGGGATGCAGTATAAACAAGTCTGCCCCTCATCTGGCCCCCAGGAGGCTGGAACCTCAGCAGAGCCTGAACCCCAGGCTGCCAAACCACCATGAATTCTCTGGAGGAGTCCCCTGCTTGCTGAATCAGCAGGAGCAACCAGGACAACTTGACTGTTTCCCATTTTAATTCTTCTGAGTGCCAATAGCATAGTATGCAGGTGAAGGGTGATGTCCTAGAACAATCAAGGTCAGCTCCGATTTGGAAATTGGAACACTGCTCTCAGATCCTTCCTGACTCTGCAGAGCTTGAGTTTGCAGCAAGATTATTCTTAGCTGGTGTTAGAAATGTGCACAATGAGGATTTGGCCAGGCTTATAATTCAGGACGTGTGCTCTATTGGACTTAACTTTATTTTCTTCTTTGTCAATAATACATCCTGGCATATTTGCATCAATGGAATGCTCTACAGTTATTTTTAAACAATGATAGAGACTATAGAGCACTTACTTGGGATGAAAAGATGCCTGCAATATATTGGTTTCCGGAGCACACGTGTAATATGACACAGTTAACATCAGTCATCTCTGGTTGGGAAAATTGTAGGTGGTTTTTAAATTTTATGTTTTTCTGTATTGTTTGCACTTTCTTTTTCTTTTTTTTACTAATCATAGCTAATGTGTATAGAGGGCTTTCTGTGTGTTGGGTGTCATGCCAAGTATTTCATGTGAATCATGTCATTGGATCCTTGCAAGAGACATATGAGTTAGGTATTATTATCGTACTCTTTTACTGCTGAGGCAACATACTTAAGTCCCTTGCTCAAAGTTATGCAGACTGAAAATGCCAGAAGGTAAGACTCAAACCCAAAACCCACACCAAAGCCACCATATGAGGATTTTTTTCCCAAAAAACAATAAATGACTTAAAGGTAAGTGTATCCTCATAATTGTTTAAACCAGTTTTCAAACAAAATGCAGCTATTTAAAATGAGCTGGTTGACTCATAGTTAATGATATGCAAAATGTTCCTGATCCTTGATTATGTGGAAAAGTAGGCCACAGGGATCATTCTGTTGTATGTGTCTGTGTGCCTGTGTATGCCTCTAAACATAAAAGTATGAATTCTAATATGTTAAGAACTACCCTTTCAATGTTGGAATAAAGATAATTTTAGACTCTTATGTTTTATAGTGTTTGTGAAATTTCTACAATAGCGAGTGCTACATTTAGAGTAAGGAAACATAAAGGACAGAAGGTAGTCCACCTGCCTTTCTGACACCCCAGCGTAGCTACTAAGACCCCACCTTTCAAGAGAGCTTCTTGAATAATAGCTTGCCTTTTCCTTTTCTGTCTCCTGGGACCTGCCACTCCATGGGCTCTAGCCTTCTTTGGCAAGAACTTGGGCAGGTGCCTTAGAGACAAGGAACAGAATCTATGACATGCACGGAGTTGGCAGAGCCCTGATAGATAAGCCTGCCTCCAAAGTTTCACATCTCCCTTTTGTTTGTCTGCACTTCGTGGTGGTTCACAGAGGCCAAGGCCTGGCTTGTCGAATAGGGCTTGTTAGAGATAAAGACTCTTGAATCCCAGGGCTTAGGATGGAGGGTGTGGCCATTGGACAACTGGAAATTTAAAAATCATGTCATAATTTCTGCATAGGCTTCCATGAATAGCAACTGAATAATTTCTCTAACATCTGAAGGAGAGGCCATGTATCAGGGAAGGGGATTTAATGTGAACCAAGTGACCTGCACTTACATAGGCTGTGCCCTTTGGTGAAAATGCATTCATTCATTTGAGAAATATTTATTGAATGCCTACTATATGTAGAATACTGTTCCAGGTGCTTGGGAGGCAGGAGGCAACAAAACTAAGTCACTGGGATACCTATGTTATATAGCCCTTCTACCATCTGTCTCCTTAAAGGACACCTACTCACGCTTTGAGACCCAGAATTTTAGATCTAACCTGGAGACTTCCATGATTGCCTGAAGGAAAAGGGTTAGGCACACTTTTCTTAGATTCCATGGTTTTGTTTGGCACTATATATATATATATATATATATATATGTGTGTGTGTGTGTGTATATATATATATATATGTATATATATATGTATATGTATATATATGTATATATATATGTATATATATATATATGTGTATATATATATATCACCTTTGTTCTTAGTAATATAACCATTTGTTTATGTGTCTTTTTCTCCAAGACCATGGGCTTGACACATGGCTTGAAATCCAGTTTTCAACACTCAACTAGCTCTGTAACACTGGGTCAGTTATTTAACTTCCATGAGACCCAATTTTTTCATCTGTATTATAGAGATATTAATATCTACCTCACAAGTATGTTGCGAGATTTACAAGACAAATGAAAACCTGTTCATACAGAAACAGTAATATTTTAAACAGTGAATATTTAAAGCACCTTATTCCTAAGAATACCAAATGAAAGCCAAATGTCTTTCATCTAATGAAGGGACCATTGAACTGTGCTATATCCATTCTACAGATACTACTAAACAATAAAAAAATTGACACATTCAACAACATGGATGAACATCAATATATTATGTTAAGTCTACATACAGTGGGATTCCATTTATGTGACATTCCTACAAAGGTAAAACATAGGAACAGAAGAGAGACGAATGGTTGTTTATGTGGCTGACTAATAATGAGCAAAAAGGAATTTTTTGAGATGATGGAACTTTTCCTTATCTTAATTATGATGGTAGTTACACAACTGTATGCATTTTTCCTTACTCATAGAACTGTACATTAAAGAACTGTGTTGGATATGTTGGGTGGATGAATAGAAGGAAGAAAGCAAGGAAGAAAAGATGTGCAACTTGAAACTTCAGGGGATTTAATGTCTCTGAACCTTTTACCAATAGGAAATGAAAACCAATGAATAGATTCTCCAACCATATACATGACCTCTCAGAAGACATGGTCCCACAAGAACAATTGATCTCACTTGATACCAAGAGTCAGCTAACTCAGTGATGCACCCTCCTGTTTGATCTTGTTCCTTCCTTGCACATTCAATTTTTTACTCACTTCTGCTTCTTGGCATGGTATTCCCTAATAAAATAGCACAGAAGTATTTGCCCCATGCTTTGCTTTGCAAAGAACTTAGAAAAAGGCCCTCTGCATGGCTATGTAACTGGGTTCTTGCCAGTAGAAATGGGGGCAGAAACTATATGTGTGGTTTTGGATTCTGGGCCTTCAACCTGTAGACATACTCTCCTTCATACTTCCTCTCCCCCTTCCTGTGAGCTGTAACCAACTTCCTCTCCCTCTTCCTGTGAGCTGGGTCATAGGACCCAGACTTAAACATGCAGACAAACCCAGCCACTTAGGAGATGGCGGAATAACAGTATGGAGGGAACTCTGGCTCCTGGAGGATCTTGTGGAAAAGAGACCCTCCCAACTTGGATGACACTTCATCTCAGGACTCTACATAAGAAATAAATATCCATATTATTTAAGCCAGTGTTTTTAGGGGTCTCTTTATTCTAGCAGCATAATTTTACCTAAACTGAAACATGTGATCTTATACTTTATCATTGAAATTGCAACAATTTTAGGGATGAAAGGGGTTATATTCATAATGCTGGTAAAGAAAAGATAAATACGGTAGACATCCTAATTACCCTAATGCAATCTTTACACATTACATGAATGTACAAAATATCACATGTATCCCCCAAATATGTACACCTATTAGGTACAAAAAAAATGTAAATGTTAAAAAGAAATAATGCTGAGACAATAGAAGTAAATTAGTCTCCCTATCTAAAAGCAACCTCAAACTTCTAAGAAGATATTTTACCTGGTTTTGTACTTATTACCAGAATTGGGAGGAAGGATGGAGAGTAACACTAACATTAATAGCAGCTAACCAAGTGGGGTTGTTGGCCAGAAAGTTACTAGTGTTTGTATACAGAGGGTTTATAGGAATTTCCATTCCCAGGAGATACGCATGTGGCCATTGGTAGCCCTGAAGATCCATGTACGTTGGAATCCTAGATAAGCCTAAAAGGATTTCTAACCTGTCTGGCAAAATGCTAAGAGTAAGAGGAACCAAGGATACCTTCATTTAGATTTGGGTGGAGAGGAACCTGTAAAGTAGATCTTGAGACAACATTCACAGGTAGACAGATATGAGGCAGTCCATGGCCCAGTATCACACCTTGGAGTTGAAGTCCTACAGCCCATTTCAGACCATCTTTGAGACGTGGTGGCCCCAGAGTGTTGCATTAGGGGCCAATTGACAAAGTGCTGCATTGAGCTTGAAAGACAGGTGTGTTCCTACAGCTAGAAATTGACTAAATGAAAATGGCAGAAAATCTAGAAAACCCTAGTGCCCCATTGGTAACTGCAGAGATGGCAGTTTGGTGAACCTCAGAGCTCAGTTCTACACCAGTTTCTCCTCTTTCCTTCCTTTCTCCCTAGATGGTCGCACACATGTCCATCAGAAACATACATTACTAACTTAATGAAACAAGTTTTCTCTTTAAAGATGCTAAGCATGCCACCAGAAAAATCAAGCCATTAGATAAACATAGAAAAATAGTAATAGTTAAGAATACATTTTTTAAAATTTTCACAGCTCTGTGCTTGTGAAATTATTTCCATTACTTAAAAATAGTGGAATGGCTTTTGAATCTTCTTTATGAGGACTAAACACTTATCCACACAAGTTTCCTTCCATTGCAAACCCTGCTGATGAGAAAGTTAGGATTATCGTTAAACCCACATGCTCAATTTGACCTTAAATCTATTAATAGTATTTTTGTTCTGTTTTCCACTCTCTTTCCTACTTCTACCCCATCTCATCACTACATGATGCAATGTAGTCTGAGATAGGCCCATATCAAGCAAGTTAAATTTTAGATAGACTAGTAGCTACAGAAAAGGCTATCTATAGGGCCACATTATTAAAGTTACTAAGCAGTTAGTTGGAGAGAGGAAATGTTAGCATTCAGATGCAAGAAATTTTAAAATCATACTTTGCCAAATAAAACTGTTTCCTTGGAGCTAAATAAATATTCTCCCAAGGACAGACCTGAGGACTCAGACAGCTGCATCTATTTATGGTTTCCCCTGTGTTTCCCTCTCTCCTCCAAATCCAATCAGCTGTACAGAAAGCAATGAGGGTTCCTTTATTAAGCCTCCCTATTCCCAGCAAGGGACAGAAGTAGTGAAACAGAGAGCCAGCTGCCATTGAAATGTTCCAGCCATCTGCTTCTTCCTTATTTTTCCCCTTTTCTGTACACATTTAAATGTTCTTCCTTGTTTATCTATTTGTAGGGAGCAGATGGAATCATCATCATCACCACCATATTACATTTACTGAACACCTACCATGTCCTAAGTACCATGTTAGTAACTTCCTATAAATTATCTCATGTAATCCTCACAAAATTAATAATGTATTATTGCCCCATTTTACTGATGGTGAAACTGAGGCTTAGGAACTTTAAGAGACTTGACAAAGGCTACACAATTATAAGTGGGATCTTCTAACCTTAAGCCTCTCTCTTTTGAAAGAAATTAGGGCTACAGTGATAAATCTTCACAAAAATTATAAAGTAGGTAAAAGTATTTTTAGCACTCTTTCCATACCCTCTTTTCAAGCCATGTCAACACTCTACTGCCCTCTACCACCTTTCCCCAAACTGCCAAGGATCCAGCAGTTCCAAAAGTGTGCTTTCTTAGTGGTGGTTGCATTAGAGTATGAGTTTCTTAAAAAACAAAGTTGAAAGATCCAAATAAATAACCTCTAAAGGCTGAGATTCAGTCCATGCCAACAGGTGACAGGGAGGGTCTTTGTAGGTTGCTGGACCTCCCCAAGGCTTCTTTGGTGACTCCCGGTAGGTAGCTGCTATTCTCAAAATTTTAACAACCCTGCACCCTTAGCAATGTCAAGTTTACACATAAGATTTCTGAAAATAGGCTCCACATCAAACTTTCCAGTTCATCAAAACCAGAACAACAATGAACATCCCTTAAGGCCACTGCTATGATTCCACAGTATTTTGAAGGGAGTGGCAAAGGCAGTTTTTTTTCAGTAGGGTAGAAAAATTCAGATCCCTGACTTTGTTATGATTCAGTGAACAAGGTGGTTGTTTTCTAGCAAATAAAAATGTATTCTTTGCAAACTCTTCTTCCTCGGGTCCCTAGGACATGCCCTCAATCTGCTGTTGAAAATCTAAAGCATTCCAGTTGGCAATAGACTTTTCTCTTGGTGGACTACTGTGAGTTGAGTTTGGACAACGATTGTTCTGTTTCCAGAAAGTCACTGGGGAGTGGGGAAGAGGGGACTTGGAAACTCAGCCAGGTGTTAGACACCTCCTCAGGGGGTCCTTTTCTGCCAGGACCCGAAATCCCAGCCCTGAAACAGACCCTGCTGACTTTCCCTAAAGTTTTGACTTTATTAAAGAGCCAGAGGCAAGGGATTTTTTTTTTTTTTTTCCATGCACAGTCCTTCAGCTCTGGAATTCTGGATCTGACCTCCGGGTTTGAGAGAACTTGAATACATCAACCTCTAAGACACGATGTAGCAATAAAGTGCTCAGTTGTTTTTCTTTCCACAGCCTTTTCTCATTTCCAGGGAGAGGTTGAATTAGAGGGGCATTTGGGATGTTACTGGGCTTGCAAGCAGGTTGTGGAAAACAATATCACCCTAGGGGTTTTTCTATGATAGGTAAATTTTTCTCCTTCACTAAATGAATAATTAATGTTGTTTTAATATGGAACTGGCCCTTAATGCAGACAATTTATATGCATGAGTGCCCCCTTTTTCTCTCAAACTAGCTGGGTTTTAAATTATTTTTTTGAAACCCACTAGAAGGACGGTATAAAATATGTAAACATTTGGGTGGTCTGTTGATATTCACAGACCACATTTGAAATTAACTAATTTGCCTTCTATGAGAAACAGACTTTAGTGCTGTTCAAAAAGCTGGAGTTTTGAAATTAAGTAGCTCAAGTTGCCTTTGCCTATTCTCCAACTTGCTTAGGTTGTTGTTTTAATGGCAGCATTTACTAATGAAGGGAAGGAGGTTGCCAGAACTCAGAACCATGACAGGCCTCCTATTTAAAGAGAATTTCAACCACCAGGAGTGAATGGGTAATTAACCATATATTTGACTCCAGGTTTTTAAAACATAGTTATTCTCTCTCTCTCTCTCTAGAGTAATGGTTCACCTATCTCTTGCCCTGGGAGGCTGACACCTGTAGACTGCATCTCACGCTCTCCTTGGCCAGCTAGCTTCAAGTTGAGTTCAGCTAGAAAACAACCCTGACAAGGAAATGAGAAGGTGGGAGAGACAAGTTGGAGGATTTCTGCCTTCCTTCCTCAAATTCTGAAACAATACTTCCTCCCCTATCTTCAGCCCAAGGGATGCTCATGACTGCTTAGGTTTGTCAGTCTCTGGGTGCCTCGCTACCTCCTGTGTGTTTCCTAAGCCACACCCTTACCTCCATTCATTAAAAAATGACTGCTTCAACGAACTTACGGGGTAGTGATGCATCCTGTTGACTGCCGGGATCCAAAAAAACACTCAACTGGCTTTTTTCCAAGAAGCCTAAGCAATACTAGGAATTGGCCTCTTTATGATGACCCCAGAGTTGGATCAGTAATAATAGCACTGGGAGTTAACAGTTACTGAGTGCCTGCCATGTTCCCACGCAGTATGCTAAGCAATGTATGGGAAGAATCTCAGGAAGTAGAGGCTGAACAAGTTTCTTAAAATAATGGGCTACAGGGAGCAGAAACCATTTAAAGGGCACTGACAGCCAAAGACTGTTTATGTCCAAGGGAAGGACTCTTCAGTAATATGGTAATACTCTTTTGAGTAATATAGTATGGAGACTAATAAAATAAAAGTAATACTAAAGGATCCTTTAAGGGGACTGGGTAAATGTGAACGAGAGGACTATTTTAGCAAAAATTCTTTCACTTAATACTTGCTACGAATTTACCATTAGCTCTCATTCCATCTAGTGGTAATGCCAGCACTATTCAGCCCCACCACTTCACCTGGTGAAGACATTAGTGTTGGAGCAATGGTATTTTTGCTTTATTGAGATAAGATATAATTCACATGCCCTAAAATTTACCCTTTTAAATACAGGTTCAGTGGTTTTTAGAATATTCACCGAATTGTGCAACTGTCACCACTATTGAATTCTAGAACGTTTTCATCATCCCAAAAAGCAGCTCCATACCCATTAACCATTACTCTTCATTCCCTCTCCTCCAAGCCCCTCGCAATCACTATTTCCTGTTTCTATGCATTAGCCTAGTCTAACATTTCATATAAGTGGACAAAGAATACGTAGCCTCTTGTGACTGGCTACTTTCATATAGCATAATGTTTTCAAGGTTCAAGCATGTTATAGATTCAGTACTTCATTCCTTTTAATGGTTGAACAATATTCCATTGTATAAATATGCCATAATTCATCAATTGATGGACATTTGCATTGTTTTACCTTTTGGCTATTGTGACTAATGCTGTTATGTACATTCATACATAATAGTTTTTTCCATTCTCTTCGGAACCAAGACTGCCCGGCATCTTTTAGGGGCACAATTCCTCCTTCATACTGTGGAAATCATGGTCAGTTCCTTTGGTTCAGATGTGCTTGATTTCAACTATTGGCCCCAGGGGTGGTCATGTGACCCAGACTAGCCAATGAAAGTATTTGATTCCCATGACTGTGGTGATTGGCTCATTGTTAGGGGTGCGTTTCAAGATGAGCCAATCAGTGTCCTGTGCTGGATGGATATGGCTGCATAGACACAGGTAGAGGGTGAGCTCTTTCTGTGTGGTAGCTAACTATGTCCAATGCAAGCATTCCCTGCCAGGAGGAGGGTCTGCTGAAAAGATGGAGAGCACTTATGACATCATTTGAATGCCAGAGTCCAGAGAGAACAAGGTAGAGCACTTATGACATTTGAATGCCAGAATCCAGGTGGGACTCGTCAGACCTGTTGAGCTTGGACTTCCTTCTGAGTAATGGGAGTCAGTGACAAGTATATGGGACTAAAAGATTTACTATTTGCTGGTTTCTCCTCCTATCCTAACTTCTTGAGAAATCTACAGGCACACATAATGGTATCTCCACACTACCATCGGCAAAGCAGCAGAACCTTGGTTATATGCCCCTTGGGGGCTGGGCCTGGGAGAGGGATTCTCCTAGAGAATCTCTCAGGGCTGCTTTGGGTTCTTTGGAGAGGCATTTGCTTATGAACTTCCCTTCTCTGGGATCTTCTATATACTAACAGTCAAATTGCTTTAAATTATGTATTCTAGAAGGCAGAGAAAACAACTCCTCTGCCCCCATCCTAGCCTCTTTCACTTTCTCTTGAAATTCTTTTTCTTTCCTCTTTCCCTTTACCAGCAATAATTTTTCAAAATGGCAAATTCTGCTAAGTTTTAGGTAGTGTCTGGTCATTGTTTCGGTAGTGGTGGTGGTGGTGGTGTTACTGGTACTGGTATGTATATGTTTCTCTGTATCTTATTTGATGTTCTTGATTCTTCAAAGTCAACTAAAATAAGTTTCATTTCAGAAAAATTGAACCTATAACCTAACATCTATCACGGATGCCATACTTTCCTGTCTAGGGTATGTGTACTTCTGATGATACCCTGGGCTTAAGAATAGGTAAAGTCAATATAAATATGGCACATCTTTACTGGATGCATTTGGGAGGAAATTATGTACAAATTAAAATGAAAGCGTGGAGGAGAATGCAAAATTCTTATGAATTTTCAAAATCAGATGGGAGATGTTAGATGTTGCCTTTTCAATGAATTACTTTATGGAATTCTAGGTTTCCTGAAGTGATAACAAGAATAACTGGTATTGATCCAGTCCTTACTATGTGCCAGACATTATCTAATTTCGTCATCACAACTGCCCTATAATCTAGTTGTTATGATTTTTATTTTATAGATGAGGAAACTGAGGTTCAAAGAAATCAGATAACTTAAGATCCCACAGCTAGTAAGTGGTAGAGTGTTGACTTTAATCGTGTTATGTGTGTTGTCAAAATCTTCTTAGTCACAATACTAAGTTGCCTCTCTGTATATGCAACTTTTATTTTTACTTTATGTATTTCTGTGGGCTCATTACTTTAAAAAATGAAGCTATATAGTATTATACAAAATAGATGCAGGGCGTGGTGGCTCACGCCTGTAATCCCAGCACTTTGGGAGGCCGAGGCGGGCAGATCACCTGAGGTCGGGAGTTCCAGACCAGCCTGACCAACATGGAGAAACCCGGTCTCTACTAAAAATACAAAATTAGCCAGCCATGAAGGCGCATGCCTGTAATCCCAGCTAGTTGGGAGGCTGAGGCTGGAGAATCACTTGAACCCGGGAGGCAGAGGTTGCAGTGAGCTGAGATCACACCATTGCGCTCCAGCCTGGGCAACAAGAGTGAAACTCCATCTCGGAAAAAAAAAAAAAAAAAAAAAAAAAAAAAAAAGAGAAAGAAAAGTTTCCACCCCCCTCCACTCTTTCTCTTTTAGTTTGTTTCTACTACTTTCTTGTGTATCATCCTGACAGTAGCCTCTGTGGACCTTGACCCAGCTTTTCAAAGTCTGGACTCAATCTCTGTGCCATACTGCTGAGTTGTTGGAAAAGCCAAGAAGCACTTATATAAATTTTGCCAAGAGAACAATCTGCCCAATATTGAATTTAGAACCTATTTAAATCAAATTCCTACCAGGTGCATCTGTTCAATCCCTTTGTCAGAGTATAATTTTTAAAAAGTTAGAAACATGATCCTCTCACATATATGGTGAGCACATGTCAAGGATTTCTTTAACTCAGTAGCAAGGAAGAGAGGACACAGCATGATGACAAAGCTGGTTTAAAGGAAGATATAAAAAACTGATATATATTTAGTCAGTTAAAAATCCTGGAACAAGGTTGCAAATTTAGATGCAAAATTGGTTAATTTCCTTTAAGGCAAAAAAAGAAAAAGAAAAAGAGTAACCTGTAGGGCTATCTTTCCTTCTGGATAAAAGTGATTTACATCTCTAGAGAACAAAAGTCATTTGCAATTAACAGCCTTCAACCAGTTAAAGTCTAACTTTACAGAGTCTGAGCTGTAATTAATAGTCAATTTTAAGGGAACCTTCCCTTCCTTTAGAGCAGCTGTCCAACAGAACTTTCTGCAATGACGGAAATGTTCTCTAGCTGTGCTTCCTAATGTGATAGCCACCAGCTTCATGTAGGCATTGAGCCCTTGATGTGTGGCTAGAATGACTGAGGAACTAAATTAATTTTATTTAATTTTGATTAATTCAGGTTTAAAGAGCCACAAATGACTAGTGGCTACCATAAAGAACAGCGCAGCCTGAGAGAGTCATATGACCCTTATGTGGCTTGTTAGAATAGTTAGTATGACTTTGAAAGGCTCACAGTAATCTTTCTGCCTGATTTCCAAGTTTAGGGGCCTTTTCCTGACACCTTTTGTTCTCCTACAGTTTCTTCAATCAACCCTTATTTTTCTTTGCTGTGAGGACCAGGAAGGAACCAATCTGTTTAAAAACTGTTGCCCGCTGGTGGCTCGTTGCCAGGTCTGAGATAACACTGGTGGTCCCTCTGAGGGCTGAGGACGCATTCCCCGGGTACTGCAATCAGAGCAGACGCATGTGCAGCTGTGGATGGAGGGAGCTGACGTGTTCTCTCCGGGAGCAGAGGAGCAAATGTCACGAGAAAAGCCCTTGAAAATGGTTCTCATCCCTTTCTCCATCGCAGACAACCCAGAATAAACTGTTCTGAAATGTTGACGTTTAATAATATTAATATTAGTAATGGCTGGAAAGGGCTTCTGGTAATGAGATTCCAGGATAAATAGGTCACTGGGTTTTCATTGCTTATCAATGAAGTTCCCAAAAAGATCTTTTTTAAGGAAATAGGCTCATGTAAACTTTTTTTTTTTTAAAAAAAGGAAGGAAATACATTGTCTTTATAATAAGGCAATGCAAGAGGGATTTTTGTTGATTTGTTTTGAGGAACTATTTATAAAATGATGAAGATTTTAAAAAATAAAAAAGGCTGAGCATGGTGGCTTATGAATGTAATCCCAGCACTTTGAGAGGCCAAGGCAGGAGAATCGCTTGAGCCCAGAAGTTCAAGATCAGGCTAGGCAACATAGTGAGACCTTGTCTCTAAGAAAAATGAAAAAAAAAAAAAAAATTAGCCAGGCATGGTGGCACACACCTGTGGTCCCAGCTACTCGGGAGACTGAGGTGGGAGAATGGCTTGAGCCCAGGAAGTTGGGGCTGCAGTGAGCCTGTGATTGCACCACTACACTCCAGCCTGGGTGACAGAGCAAGACCCTGTCTCAAAAAAAATAAAAATAATTTAAAAAGAAAACAAAATTGAGAATCCTCTGCTGGTCCCTGTTATGTCTTACTCAGAAAGTGACATAGGTGAATTTTATCTTAGGAAAATGTACTGCTACTGTGTTTCCAGCTGTATCAGTGCATTCTTACCTTCCCTAAATTAAAAGCCCATCACTGCTAGCTCCTAAGGACTCCTTTCAGTACCGCCTTTTCAATGCCACTTGAGCATCATGGTTCTAACAGTTAAGTTTGGCCTGCTTTGCGCTGTAAAACTTGCCTGCAAATAGCTTGGTGGTCTGCCCTGGATTTGCCAGGAGCCTGTTTTTTGAAAGGGGCTTAAGGCACAAGGCTGCTGAGTTTGGAATCATTTTGCCAACCCTGGCAGCCTCTGTGACTCTATGATTTCTTTAATGTTCCCGTCTTTCTCATTTCCCTAAATAAACTGAAGCCTTTACTGGAAGGTCAAGTAAATGTTACTGTGAATCACTACTAGTAGAGGCTCCAGAAAAGGGAATCCTGGTTGCTCTCAAATAATCTTGAAATTTCACTCTTTTAATTATTTTTAAGCCCCTGTTCTTAAAAAAAACTGTAGAAACATATGTAACATATATAAACCAAAATGTCTACTGATTTTCAGGCTAACTGAAGACTAACTAGAAATAAGTTTATTGCCCCAATGCTGTTGTTCAGAAGCTTTCTGATATGTTCATTCACCTTCCTGCCTTATTAATCAGAGTAAACATGATGAACTGTATATTTCTATGTAACATCATATACCATACTAATTTTCACTTGCGTTCTTAATATAATTTATCTTTTTGGGAATTGGGCATTGAACTACATTAAGTAGTTTCAGTATCTCCCCTTGAATATGTTGAGGGAATCTTTTGAAATCAACTTTGTACTGTCATTTCATTTTCTTTTCGTATACAGCTAAGATTTATTGAGTGCTTACTGTGAGCCAGACAATGTGATAAGTGTTTTAAGTGAATGATCTATTTTAATGCTTTTTAAAAATCAACACTGACTTAGTAATAGTGTTTTCCCTTTATTAAAGATGAAGAAACTGAGTTCAGAAAAGTGAACTGACTTACCAAGGTTACTCAACCAGTAAGTGTTGAAATCATAACTAAACTGTAGCTGTGTTTGACCACACAGCCTTGCTTACAACTCACAAAAGACTTGAGTTCCATTCCCAGCTTTGAACTTTATAGACCAAGTAATTCTTGACCTCCCCAGGCATCTTCATCCTTATTTATAAAATGAAGGTAATAGTGCCTCCCTTCCAAAGTTGGGGTACTAAGACTTGTGAGAAATTACTTCCAAACTCTAAAATGCTAAATACACGTAATGTTATTGCTTTTACATGTTTATTAGCTAGCGATGTCTTTAGTTAATTGCATTAGCTAAATTAACATATTATGCTTAGATTATAGGTGGGAAGCCTCACTATTAGCTAGCGATGTCTTTAGTTAATTGTATTCTAACTAACTGATATACTATGCTTAGATTATAGGTGGGAAGCCTCACTATCTACCATAGGGCAGAAATTGGTACAAGACCTCCTGGCTTTGGACTTGATCCAATGTGGCCTAGTTATTGAATTACCACAAGGAACTCAATTAAAGGTGGTCTGGCTAATGAAATAGGCAACTCACAGCTTCTAGTACTGGTCCTGGTTTTGACTCTCTTACTCTCTTAATATTTACAAAGTGTGTGAATATTCAGTAATCCAAATAATTTTTTCATTAGCCTTTGAGATTTTTCTGTCTTACTTGTGTTACAAAGTATGAAAATATTCAGTAATCCAAATATTTTTTTCACTAGCCTTTCAGATTGTCTATTATGGTGTTTGTTTTGTATCTGTTTAGGTGGGCTAATTAGCATAGTTAGTAATATCACTTTGAAGGGGCTCACAGTAATCTTTTTGCTTTATTTCCAAGTTTGGGATAATTTTTCTTAGTATCTTTGCCCCTACTACATTGTTATTTTTATCCCAATTATTGGAATGGTCTTCCTAATTTTGAATGGGATTTTTTATGACCTATGATTCTCTTTTCTGACAAAGCGCCAAGAACAGCAAAATGGACGTTTTTTTTGTTTTGAGACGGAGTCTCGCTCTGTCGCCCAGGCTGGAGTGCAGTGGCACAATCTCAGCTCACTGCACGCTCCGCCTCCCAAGTTCATGCCATTCTCCTGCCTCAGCCTCCCGAGTAGCTGGGACTACAGGTGCCTGCCACCACGCCCGGCTAATTTTTTTTGTATTTTTAGTAGAGACAGGGTTTCACCGTGTTAGCCAGGGTGGTCTTGATCTCCTGACCTCGTGAGCCGCCCGTCTTGGCCTCCCAAAGTGCTGGGATTACAGGCTTGAGCCACCGCGCCCGGCCAGCAAAATGGACTTAATGCAAATCAACCTGCATGGGCCATGCATTCTTTGGAAACTCTAATGCAATGTTCCTGAAAGCAGAGAGATGCCACTAAGAAATAATCTTGTTTTCTAAAGGTGGCCTTGGTAGGGTGAATTTTTTTTAAGAACATTACAATTCAACATGTCAAGGGATTGTTTCACACAGTATTGATATTTAGCTTTTAATTTTTTCTATTTAGAAAAACAAATGCCTTCCTAGTTCAAACAATGGCTTCTTTAAGGAAAACTGCAGACAAAGTGATTAAGTCACTTGGAGCTGAACTTCCAGGCAGCACTGCTTAATATTCATGATGTTTAATTTTTAAATCTCTCTCAAATGGAATTTCCATGGAGACATCAGACTTCATCATCTAAGAGGCAAATCAGTCAAATATATCCACAGACATTATCAGAGAATACGATTCATACTGTGTGCATTCCCTAGTCAGCCACTTTTGAAGATACGGTGATAGAGTCTGCACCATCAAATAACTTACTATGAGCAAGAGGATACTGATAGTTGCTACCTATATAAACATTTGTAGAAACAAAAATGAGAGATGCCTGTGACTGTTTGGGCTGAGGGGAACCATTAGAAGCCAAGTCATATTTTCTACTTTCTCAACAGATTTGGCTCCTCTTGCTTTTTTTGTATAAAGTACTTTCAACTAAGTGAAACAAGAGGTTTAACAAAGTCTCAACACTGGCTATCATCTAAGGGCAAGAATAAAAACTCTATTTGGTTCTTGTATTCAATCACCTGACCTCCATGTCTGAGACATACTAACAGTAAACTAACAGAAAACAATGGTTAAACAAAAAACAAAACCCAGCAACATTTAGCTTGGACTGTACATCAGGGAGAGGTTAAACAAAATTTATGGTCAAAGAAGTATTTATCCAGTAAATCCTACTAGTCACCATTACAAACTTGATATTAAAAATCCCACCCACGACTGTAAACTAGTTCAACCATTGTGGAAGACAGTGTGGTGATTCCTCAAAGATCTAGAACTAGAAATCCCATTTGACCCAGCAATCCCATTGCTGGGTATATACCCAAAGGATTATAAATCAAGCTGCTATGAAGACCCATGCACAGGTATGTTTCTTGCGGCACTATTCACAATAGCAAAGACTTGGAACCAACCCAAATGTCCATCAATGATAGACTGGATTAAGAAAATGTGGCATATATACACCATGGAATACTATGCAGCCATAAAAAAGGATAAGTTCATGTCCTTTTTAGGGACATGGATGAAGCTGGAAACCATCATTCTGAGCAAACTATCGCAAGGACAGAAAACAAAACGCTGCATATTCTCACTCATAGGTGGGAACTGAACAATGAGAACACTTGGACACGGGGTGGGGAACATCACACACCAGGGCCTGTCTTGGGGTTGGGGGAGCAGGGAAGGATAGCATTAGGAGAAATACCTAATGTAAATGACAAGTTAATGGGTGCAGCATACCAACATGGCCCATGTATACATATGTAAAAAACCTGCACGTTGTGCACATTATTAAAGTATAATAAAAAATAATAATAGAATAAGAGAAATGGTGGTGTGTGTGTATGTGTGTGCATTTTTTAAATAAATATTTTTAATTCTTTTAATTATTGAAAACTAAAAAAAAAAAAAAAAAAAAAAAAAATCCCACCCTCATGTTTAGGAAACAGTGATAGAGCCAAGTGAAGATAAACAAAACTGCCCATCTGCTTTTATTTAAAAAGATATTCAACTTTCCTTATTAAATATTGTAGGTCTGTTTAGAATGTCACCAACACATGCCTTTTTGGGAAAAGAAATCCAGAAGAGAAAATGTAAGCCCTTTAAAATGACAACATACCGTGTAAAGAAGATAAACCATTAGAAATTTGATTACGCTGACTTTTTTTTTTTTCATTTCTGAAAGGGGAAGAAGGTCTTGATTGTTTTTGCTGACTATAGAAGCAAGACCTACTTCTAATCGTGTTTCTTACTGATGAAGTCTCAGAGGACAGTGGAGGAGATCGATCTTATCATGATAGAACTTCCTTTTTGATTTGATTGATACAGAAAAGCTGCAGCCTGTTGGAGGCTTAAAACAGCCTTCAGAATATACATCAAACATCTCCTTGGCCCATATGGTGCCTCTGAGTTGCAGGCTTTGAGGATTTCTTTAAACACCTCTCCTCCTTTTCCAGGCTCTGTGTCCACATCAGAATGCTCTGCATCCCCATCAGAACGTTGTGTACCATGGAGAAACAATATAAATAAATCATGTAATAAAATGACCTTTCCCAAATCACGTTTTGGCGAGAAGATGCTTTTTACAGCTGTCTCTTTGCTCTCCCTGCAGATGCCAACAACAGTGGAACTTTTACAAGTCCTACTAGAAGTTTGACATCCAGTTGAATTCAATTCTGGGGGAAGCTAAATTCAGCATGCTTCCTTTTCACATTTTTTGGCAGATTGAAAATATATACTGCCAATGAACCAGAGTGTGTACAAATAATATCTTCAGCCTTAGAGTTTGCTTGTGAAGAGAAGACAGTTCTGGGAGAAAGACCTTGAGGAGGGAATATAGAGAGGGATTATTTATTTATTTACTGGACTTGTTTATTGGCTTGGTTAAGATAGCTGATTATGTTGTCCTGGGAATTTTTGACCACGGTGATATGTAAATAAGGAAACGACTTGAAAAGTGATATGTAAGGCCTCTGATACATATGAGAAGTGATGGAAAGTGATATGAGACAGTCCCACGTATGCCAGGAGCTGAGACACAGCCACTGAGGGGTTTATTTTCTACAGGTGGCAGTGTTTTGTGGAATATCTGACAGACCACACTATTTGTCAACACAGCCTAATCCACATGTCACACAACATTTCCAGTATGTTTTCAGAATATGGCCTATTCATGTTGATTGCCAGAAAGGTCAAAATTCACAGAAATCCAGCAATACCCAAAGGGTAGGCTGTAAAGGATGAAAAAGCAATTCCAGAGAATGCCTGTCGCTTTTTTGTTTGTTTGTCTGTTTTACTCTCAATTTGCTAATTCAGGTTGTCTGGGCCACTGTATGGCACTGGAAGAAGAACAAGAAAAAGAAGTTAAAGTTATAAACTCTCTCTCAAAGCAGTTCTAGAATGTTCCTGCTCCTTTGCTGTCCTAGTCACTATAAGTTCTTTTGGAAGGAGGTGGGGAATAAAGTCATGATTAAAGAAACAATGTTTACTTTCTTCTTCTTCTCTTATAGTGGCCAAGCCAGTGATCATGTATTAGAAACCATGAGTGCTCTCTTCCTTCTCATTCTCCTCCTCCTCTTCCACTTGTTTTCCCTCTACAATTCTCTTCACTTCTTTCCCTCTTTCTCCCCCAGTTCTTCTTCTGTTTCCAATTCCTCTTCTTCTCAAAGTTCTTTGAATGTTCTCACTTCTTCTAATTCTCCTCCATTTCCTTCCAATTCTCCTAATTCTTCTCCTTCTCCTCCTTCTTCTTCTTCCTTCTCTCCCTTTAAGCCTCAGCTTCCATGTATAGTTTACTCATTTGCTAGTTTAGAAATGGAATCTGCTATAGATTTCCACAGAATCTCAGAGTAGACCTAGTAAAACTAGGCTGAAACAGAAGAGTCCATACACCATCACTCCTTCTACTCCTGCCTCCATGGCTTTCTGCATGATCAGTAAGCTAGAGTTTCTTATTTTTTGGGCCATTTCCACTAGAAATTGTTACAAACTGTACAAGGAAAAAGTGGAAAGAGCAGAGTCTTAAAACTGCAAGTGGACTGACTGTATTTATTAATGAACAACCTTTCTTTCAAACGGAAAAATAATAACTTTCTGTTTTTCACACTAATTCATTATAAATAGACACCTATTCTTGTGTTGTCACTTTCGAATTCAGTTACACCTTGCATTTAGAAGATGATAAAATATAATCAGTGGCAATTATTTAATAAATGTCCTAAAATAGATAAAAATGTTATTTAATAAAAAAATGCTTCTCATTAAAGGACATTGATCTACTGGCTAAACTCTAGTTTTGACTACGTAACATTGCCAAATTCAACAAGTTCTCATCTACAAAAATGAGAATTTCATGAGATTCAATGTAATAGGCTGACTTTAGGTAAAATGATGATTTGGGCTAAATGTCTTCAGGGTCTTCCAAGTCCTAGACTAGGGCCCACAAGGACTTGATTCTTGACTCTTATACTGAATCCATTAAGAGTCCTGAGACTTGGAGTCTTTTCTCTGTATGTTGTGAATATACGCAGTTCACATAAAGGTGACAATTATAGGTTAACAGCTAAACTTTTACTAGTCTGCTGAGTATTTGAATTGCAAGAGGAGAATCAAAGCCCTAACCCAAAGACATACAATTCTAACAGCTATATTTGAAGATAGATATGGTATTTTATGGGATTATATATTGTTGAAGCTAGAGTCAAACTTAAGTACCATTTTATACAAACCCTCCATTTAAAAAATGAGAAAACGCAAATGTAGATACACCATGAGTGTTAGGACCAGACTCTCATAGAGTGGCTGATGGTGCAAGTTTCGTTGCTACTTCACTTTCCTTAACTCTATTCCACACACCCCGTGCCTATTTTCTAGTCCTTTTTTCTTCCTGACCGCAAATTGCAGATTCTACCTCTATTCAGAAGGAGTGGGAGGAAGGAGGAATAGGAGAAAATAGAGCCATTTTCCCTGGCTCTGTAATAAACATTTTTCATTCCAAGGTAGCAAACTAAACACAAGCTACAACCTCTTCCACCAACCTCAAATCTTCCAGAAATGCCAGCAAACATGTTTGAAATGAGTTTGTACACAGGTGCACTACAAAACTAGAAAGGAACTCTCCATGGGCCATAAACTGTGAGGAATCCCTAAAAGGTAGAAATTAGGTAACATCAGATTGAGAAGTAAAACTCCAGCCCAACACATGTCTGGGACAGTCCATTTATACTCTTCCAAATTCCGTCTCTCCGTGTTCAACCAGAGCTGAATCTGACTCCCAGTCCCTCCCTCCTCAAAGCCTTCCTTGCCTTAGAACTCTCTTTACTGGCTTGTTCTACACCAGTTTTTATCCATCTTCTTTTCATCATCACGCCGTAAGAGTAAGGACTTTTTGCCCCCATGAGCCAATTTTTGCCCCTTAGGGATGGTGTTTCTTCTCTTGAGAATGTCTTATACCCCAAAGATCATCACAGAGCTTCTTTTAGAAGATGCTCTGAAAGGAGAGGTTCTCTGACTCTTCTCAAGCTATACCATGGAAGTGAACAATATTTCTGCTCCTGTGGATGGCCAGCTCTGGGTGAATGGTTGTCATATATGTGAATAAAGTCTTTTTTCCTTAAATGGCTTAGGGGGAAAATTCACAGGGAAAAAATCCAAGCACCAAAACATGGTTTAGAAACATTTACTCTTTGTTTTACTTTTCCTCTAGTGTCCCCAGGACATGCTTTGCAGAGATGACTACTTCTGGATAATCTATAGCATGTAGCTATCAGCGTTATTAAAAAAAAAACTCATTGGTGGTAGGCAGCCTCTAAGATATCCTCAGTGATTTTTTTCCTTTCGGCATTCATGACCTTGTTTAATCCTTTCCTTCTCCTTGCGCATGGGCCAGACTTACTGACTGGCTTCTAACACACAATTTTGCGGAACTGATGGTGGTATGTTTGGGCTCTGTGTCCCCACCAAAATCTCATATCCAGTGCTGGAGTTGGGGCCTGGTGGGAGGCGAGTGGATCATGGGGGTGGTTTCTCATGGTTAGCACCATCCCCCTTGGTACTGCCATGGTGACAGTGAGTTCTTACTAGATCTGGTTTTTATGAGTGTGTAAGTATCTCTGACCTCTGTTTCTTCCTTCTGCTCTGGCTATGTGAAGATGCCTGCTCCCACTTTGCCTTCTGCCATGAGTAAAATCTCCTTGAGCCATGCTTCCTGTACAACTGTGCTTCCTGCAGAACCATGAGCCAATTAAGCCTCTAAATCTCCTTGAGCCATGCTTCCTGTATAACTGTGCTTCCTGCATAACCACAAGCCAATTAAACAGTTTTTCTTTAAAAATTACCCAGTCTCAGGCATTTCTTTATAGCAATGTTAGAACAGACTCATACAGATGGGATGTCACTTCCAAAATTAGGTTATAAAAAGACTGTGGCATCCATATTGAATTATCCTTGTCCCTCTCCCTCTCCCTCTGTTTCTTAAATCACACACTCTTGGGGAAGCCAGCTTCTGTGTTATGAATAGTGCCCTGGATGCCCACATGGTGTCTAACTGAAGCTTCAGACCAACAGGCCTATGAATGAGATTTGAAGCAGCTTCTTCTGCCTGTGTCATGCCTTATATGACTGTTATCTGGCTGATACCTTGATTGCAGCCTCATGAGAAGACCCTGAGCCAGAATCACCAAACTAAGTCCTTTCAGATCCCTGACCCACATAAAGTGTGAAATAGTTTATGTGTGTTCTTTTAAGCCCCTAAGATTTGAAAAAGTTTGTTATCAGCAATAGATATCTAACACATTCAAATTAATTTCCGTGTTTTTTTTCTTTCCTCCAAGATTATTTATTATTCATTAGCTAGTGATATGGTTTGGCTGTGTCCTCACCGAGATCTCATCTTGAATTGCAGTTCCCATAATCCCCATGTATTGTGGGAGGGACCAGGTGGAGATAATTGAATCATGGGGGCCGTTTCCCCCATCCTGTTCTCATGATAGTGAGTTCTCTTGAGATCTGATGGTTTTATGAGGGGCTTCTCCCTTCGCTGGGCACTCATTCTTCCCCTTCCTGCCACCATGTGAAAAACGACGTGTTTGCTTCCCTTTCTGCCATGATTGTAAGTTTCCTGAGGCCTCCCCAGCCATGCTGAGCTGTGAGTCAATTAAACCTCTTTCCTTTATAAATTCCTTTATAAATTTCCTTTATAAATTATAAATAAATTAGTCTCAGGCATGTCTTTATTAGCAGTGTGAGAACAGACTAATAAAGCTAGTCTGCCTGTTTTGTATTAGTTAGATGTCTATTTCTTTTAGACAGACATTGGAGATAGGACTAAATGTTTTACCAAGGCAAAAATAAATACCAGCACATCAAATTAGAATTTAGTTTCCCATGTTATTAGTATGAGAAAAGTGATAAATCTGGTGGAACAAAATGTGACTAGTTCAAATAGAAGTAACCATACTTGGTTGTCCTTTATAAAGTTATATTTTATTATTATTATTTCAATAGTTTTTGGCGAACAGGTGGTGTTTGGTTACGTGGCTAAGTTCTTTAGTGATGATTTCTGAGATTTTGGTGTACCTATCACCCAAACAGTGTACACTGCACCCAATGTATAGTCTTTTATCCCCGACCCCCCTCCCACCCTTCCCCCTAAGTCCATTATGTCATTCTTATGTGTGTGCATCCTCACAGGTTAGCTCTCTTTTATGAAAGTGAACATACGATGTTTGGGTTTCCATTCCTGAGTTACTTCACTTAGAATAATGGTCTCCAAATTGCTTGAACCCACAAGGTGAAGATTGCAGTGAGCTGAGATTGTGCCACTGCACTGCAGCTTGTGTGACAAAGCGAGACTCCATCTCAAAAAAAAAAAACAAAAGGAATAATGGTCTCTGGTTCCAACCAGGTTGCTGCAAATGCCATTATTTCATTCCTCTTTGTGACTGAGCAATATTCCATAGTATATACGTACATATGACATGTGTGTCTATATATGTCCACATATGTCCACATTTTCTTTATCCACTCATTGGTTGATGGGCAGTTAGGCTGGTTCCATATTTTTTCAATTGTGAATTGTGCTGCTGTAAACATTTGACTATATAAGAAGACTTCATGAATTCCAGTCCCAACAATTCATCATTTCTTATTATTTGGTAGAGTCTGAGGAGTTCATTACCTCTGCGTCTTAAAGAGTTAGTTAAGAAAAGTACAGCATAAAAAGATTGCAAGGGTAATGTCCACCAGCTTATAGGAATAGTTTTTTCCCCTGAAACTATAGTAGCCCCTTGACCTGTAAGTAAATGAAAAACTGTATTCAAAAATCCCTCATCTGTTCATCAAACTAGGCCCAGTGAGTTCTCCACAAGATTCTATTTTTGCCCAGTTGATATCATTTTATATTTTCTGCACTCCAGTTTGATTGATTCATTCATTCATCAAGTATCACAAAGATAATGACTTTCTTTTTTTAACTCATATTTTAATTAAAATATTTTATTAATTCAGAATTATCTCTCCCTTCAATAACTCTAAATTAGTGAGTTCTTTCTTTGAGACCATTTTGAATATTTTTCTTTTTTGGGGTGGGGGCTGGTGGTGTTGGACTGGTTTGATTGATTTCCGTAGAACCTGTTTCCTTTTTTTAAATGGCTACTCAGAATTTTTCTCTGATGAACAAGTAACCTAGAAAATATCCAGAGATACTGGCTGACTCGTCATATTAAAAATATATATTTTGTTTAGCAAGGCTGTGAAGAATGACTCATTCATAATCCAGCTTAATGAATCAACAAGGCCAAAGGACACAGATAACACTATGTCCCTTGTTCAAATGCAGCAAGCAGAGATACTGGTGTGGAGGAGAGCTAGGTGTGGATTTACATGTCAGAAGAAATATCTTCTTCACCACTGATCTGCAGCTCACCTGCATCTGGGCAAGTGACCAAAAGCTTTGACATTTTGCAGACCTGAGTCTGAAACTTGGCTATACCCCTTATTATCAGGTTATCCAAACTCTCAGCCTTTTTCGCATCTTCAAAATGAAAGGAAATAATTCCCCCTTCATACTGTTAGGAAGTTTAGATGAGATGAATGATGTAATACTTAATTCTTTACCTGGGGCCTGATACATTGTAAACGCATGGTGAATGACCAGGTTATTATGTAAATGGTGAACTTGAACTCTGTTTCTAATAGACAGGTGACTTCTCAGGTATCAATCATTGAAACAGAAATTGAAGAAATGAACTATTTTACTCCTCTGCTCAATGCATTAGTTTTAAATCTTACGGAATTTCCTTTATAATAGGTTTAAAAAAATTTCAAAGATTAGTTCACATAGTCCAATCTACTGATGATTTTATACTCAGAAAGTTACATTCAACTCCATCCTACAAACCAAGGAAAATATCAAGGACAAGAATAAGTTGATTATGGTTTCCCTTGAAAGCCCAACAAACCACTATATTTGTTTGTTTTTTTTAAAGCAATGGTAGGTACCAATTTTAAAACTACTAATTTACTTATCCTTCTAACTTTCTAACTAGTAGTCTGAGTGTAATAGGGCCAAATGCTTATTTAGACAGTTGAGATAGAAACGTCCAATAGTTTACTGACAGTTGTCCAAATTAATGTGTTTTAATTATTTTCATTATAATTGATCTAAGTTTTTGATCCTATTTTTATAGAGACATTTAAAATCCTCCCTTATTAATTGCTTGCCTCATCATTGCGTACACTCTCAAGGTCACTCCGACAAAACCTGGGCAATGAAGCAGAATGATGACTTTCTGTTTTAAGTTAGAGTCTTGTTTGTTTCTAAACAGTTTCTAAGTCCCCAGGGTTTGTTGTCTTAAAAAGTCAAATTTGTCATTGTCTCCAGACCTTGAGCTATCTAAACATGGAAACCCAAGTTCATGGATAGGGTAATAGAAGAGCAAGCAGAAATCTTGATTTCCAGGCTTCCAGTTGCCACATCAGCTCATCTAGACATCGGTTTAAGGGCAGAGTAAGGACATTTGAGTCCAAAAATTCCTTTAATCCACTTTTATTATCTACTAAATTCTTAACCTACAGTATTTAACCCTCAGAAAATTTCATGAAAATATATTCTATTTTTTTAAGTTTCTTTTACCAATGGGAAAAGTTAAACTCAAAGTATTTAAAGCACCTTCCTGGAGTTCCCAGTCAGCTCATAACCCTTAGGCTGAATCTAGAACATTGGTTCTCAGCCAGGGATGATTTTGCTCTCTCTTTCTAGGGGACACTTTGCACTGTCTGGAGACATTTTTGGTTGCCACAAGTGGAGGAAGGTGCTACCGGTGACTATGAGTAGTGGCTGCTAAACACCGTACAAGGAATGCACAGGATAAGTCCCTGTAGCAAACAATCAGCCAGCCCAAAATGTCTAGTGCCAGAGCTGAGAAACTAGAGTTCTGGTAGACAGAGCACTGTCTACCAGAACTTTCTGTGATGATGGAAATGCTCTACTAGACACTTGAAATGTGGCTAGTGTGACTGAAGAACTATAAATTTATTTAATTTTAAATAACTTAAATTGAAATAGCCCCATATATCCAGTGGGTATTCTGCTGGACAATAAAAGTGTTATTTGATATATTATTACTTCCTCACCTATACAATGTTATAATCATAACCATTTTATTAGGTTGTTCTAAGAACTGAGATTAGTAGGTATGCAATAAGTTATTAGCTGCTATTTTAAAATTTAAATAAGTCCATGTATGCATACTAATTATGCTGTTACATATTTATATTCTATGTACATATACACATGAATGAAACAATTTCCAAAGAATGGTCTCAAATAATAACTGCATGTTTTGATATTCCACAGACTATTAAAATGCACCAACCCAAGGTCTCCAGTGCTGCTGAGTCCCCCGTGTCACCTCCTGCAACTGCCACAGTTGTCAACAGCTCAAATCCTAGAGACCTTCTTCATTAGGTCAATGAGTATCTAAACTTTAAAAAATAAATAAAGGGGTAATTATTAGCTTGCCCCCCATCCCAACAAGGCCAGATTTCCTTAAATGTCAGTACCTTGGTAAATATAAATATGCTTTGATTTTAAAAAGCAACATTTGTGTGAGCTTTTTGGAAGCTCACCTTTTTTTTTTTTTTTTTTTTTGAGATAGAGTCTTTCTCTGTCACCAGGCTGGAGTGCAGTGGTGCAATCTCAGCTCACTGTAACCTCTGCCTCCTGGGTTCAAGCAATTCCCCTGCCTCAGCCTCCCGAGTAACTGTGACTATAGGTGTGCGCCACCACGCCGGCTAATTTTTTGTATTTTAGTAGAGACGGGGTTTCACTATGTTGGCCAGGACGGTCTCAATCTCCTGACCTTGTGATCTGCCTGCCTCAGTCTCCCAAAGTGCTGGGATTACAGGCGTGAGCCACTGCGCCAGGCCTGGAAGCCCATCTTTCAATGGCTTCTAGCCTGAAGGCCTAGCCCACTTCTGCAGTTTGAAGGTGTCTCTGGAAGACAGGCAGAATGGCCCATCAACACTGTTTGCACGAGGATGAAAGGATCTTGGTGGGCATACCAACGACTGAGCATTTCGAGGCTGGCAGTTGGGGCTGGACTCAGGTCTCTGCTGCTGGGGAATAAGGTCAATCCTTACATCTCAAGACTTACCTTTGTCAGGCAAAGGGCTCAGTCTATAACGAGTCTGGGCACACAAACTTGATACGAGAATAAGGACCAGTTAGATTCTTCTGGCCTCAATGTTCTAATGCTCTTTGAGCATAATTTCCTATGGAATACAGGGTTTGAACTCAAAAAAAGTTGGGACCAAAGAAGAAATCAGAATAAAAATAAATAGGGTCATGGCCTTTCTTTTCTTCTCTTCCTTTGAGTTTCAGCTTAACTATCACCCCTCTAGAGACTTCCAACCTCACCCTCTGCCCTTTTGTTATTTTATCTCCTTATTAGTTTCCTTGGTAGCACTTTCGAGAATTAGCAATTATGTATTTGTGGAGTTATCTACTTAGTTTCTCTCTGTCTCTCTCACTGGAGTATAAGCTCTGTGAGGGAGGAGACAATGTCTGTTTTATTCACCATGGTGTCTTCATGATTCAGCACAGTGCCTGAAACACACTAAGATGAGTGAAAAAATAAATGTTGGATGAGTGGATAAATGGAAACAAAATTAATTTGGGTTTAAATGCTACTGATGACTCTTCTGATTGGAATAAGCCACAAAAAGCAGTGAAAATATTAATACATTTTTCTATAATCCTGGAAAATAATGCTCCCAACTTGTGTTCATTTTTCCTGAATCTCAGAGAACTTTGATTCAGAAGTATTTACCAAATTGTAGTTGTCCCTAATTCCAGGATCCTGGCACAAGGTCTCTGGGGATGAGGCCACCATAGAAAGAATTATTTGAGCAATTATATGAGACATGTAAAGATCAAGCCCAAAGTCCGCACAGCCCAAGTTGGTTCCTAAGGATTTCATGTCTGCCAAGAGCAAAAGAGAATATGGGAGTTGCCAAGCATTATATTGCCTCCCACCAAAGTCCCTATTTGGGTCCCCTTAGATATATAGTTGCTGAGACTTTCTTTCTTTTCACAAACACTCACAATGAGCCTACTATACACATTGGGTCAGGAGTCGGGGCTGAGTTACAAAGAATACCCAGTAATACAGGTTACGGTTAAGCTTTTAAGCCTACAGATCTGGGTTGAATTCCAAAGTTGGGCACTTACTGGGGACCTTGGATAAGTTACATATACCCCCATCCCTGTGATCCCTTATCTATAAACTGCGGTGATCATAGCACATATTTCCTACTGTTGCGATGAGCTTTCAGTGAGTATCTCTGGTTAAGCATAGATGCAGAGTGCCCAGCACATAGGAAGCACTCCATACATCCTAATCATATGTGATAATTTTAAAACTTGACTCCAGACTCTTTGGTGTTCTTCCCATTGCAAATTGAAGCTATGTCTCCTCCCCTTGAATCTGGAAGTCCTTATGAGTGCTGTAACAACAGCCTGTGGTGGAGATGACAGTTTGTCTTCCAAAGCTAGGTCGCAACGACATCAGCCTCCACCTTGCCTGCTAGAAGCACTGTTCTACCTTGAAAGAAGTTCCACTTCCCCAGTGCCACCATGCTGAGGAAGGCACATGGAGGACCTCTGGTCAAGAGTCCCATCTTAGTCCAGTCTTCCAATCATTGCCACCAGGATGATAGACCATGCTGCTTGGAAGTAAGCACTCCAACGGCAATTGTTCGTTGCCCCAGCTAGTCGAGTTAATGCCAGCTGAGGCCCCAGACACTGAGAAGCAGACTCAATCCACCCAACCTTTGTAGTCAGAATTTCTTATCCATAAATTCCAAGAGTATAATAAAAAATAGTTTTATGCCACTAGGTGTTGGAATAATTTATTACCCAGCAATAGGCTGTGGAACACTACAATCACTATTCACTCAATATTACAAACAATTGTGATAATTATTAAGAGTAGTCCCAATTATACCATAATCACTAATAATTACTGTCAATAATTGAGTAGATTATTATGCTTACCACCTTGTATCCATTCACCCTTCTCCTGAGAGAAGCCTAGAGATGCCTGGAACTATTTTATCTTTGCTCCTCCTACAATGCCTTTCCCACCTGCCAATCTTTTTCTGACTCACTCTTACTCATCCTTTAAGATCTCAGATCTGGCATCACCACCTCCAGAGAGCCCACTCCCCATCCTGGGTCAGGCCTCCTCTGTAATGCTGCAGTGACCTGTGAGTTTTTCTTTGCACATTGCACACTGCACTGGCTCCATTATACTAAGAATTTATGTGAGCTCCCTGAGGCAAGGCACTGACTTGTTAATAATATTATTTTCCCAAGGGCCTTCCGTTTGCACAGGAAAGACAGGATGAGGTAAAGGCAGAGGTTGAGAGCACAGGCTGTGGATCTAGACTGCCTGGGTTCGAAGCTTGGTTCTGCTACCTACCAGCTGTGTGATCTTCCATCTGCTTTAAACTGTGTGTGTGTCCCATGTGAAGGAAGCTTCATTCATAAAGTTTCTTATGCTTCAAAGATTAAAAGCTTGAAGGAATAGAGAGCATTTGGATCAGTATTGGACATGTAAGAAGTCTTCAATTAATTACCCTTTATTGATTACAAAATTGTACCTGTTGGTTTGGCTCTAGACAGAGGGGCAGGCCTTCCATCTCATTTTTCTTGTTCTGTCTGCAGTTTTCTCCTCTAGGTATTTGATCTGCTGTATTTTTGTTTGTTTAGCCTGGGACCTACCAGTAATTCCCAAATCTAGCTGTATACTCTAACCTTATCTGGGGAATTGATTGGAAAAGCTCAGGCACTGCTTCCAGTGTTTCTACACAAAGTGATACCAGGGAACCCATAGCGTTAACAAGTTCACTCAGCAGTACTGGGGATGTGGCCGAGGGTTAGGGCCAGCATTTGGGAACATTGACCTAGAATTTCTATCCCGTTTAATGTTACTGCTTTATCTTTCTCAAATTTTCAAGCGGGCATCCCATACACGCAATTTCCTCTTCATATGGCAAACTGAAGTCTGTTTAAAACAAACATCCAAATGCCATTTCAATCTATTTTCACAAGATATCCCTTTTCTCATCTAATTTTTGTCCCCTTCACTGGTAGTTAGTAGCTGACCCTGTTCTTGTTCACTAAAAGAGCTGACCATTTGTGGTCAAACAGCTGGTGGCCTCTTTTTTTCTGGAGGGAGTGGGATGGGAGGGGAGTAAAATTGCAAATAAGGGTGTTAAGGCTGTTTTCTAAAAGAGCCACTCTCTTGGCACATTTTGTGCTTCTCTCTACCAGAGAAGGGGGAAACTGGGGATTATTCATAAGGGAATGAATAAATGGTCAGACTCACTTCAGAGTCAGATGCTTATCCTCTTTTCAAGTGGGAAATGCTTTTTTTCTATTTCCTATTTGTTTATGAATTTCACAGCATATATTCCTAAAACACCATTCCTGGAGGGAGGTGACCTGTAATTTTGTCAGAATTATATTACCCAATCACCTTAAGTCAGTATATATTTTAGATAGAAGAGAGATAGCAGAAAAACAATCCTTAGAGCACACCTGTGAGACCCTTTGAATAGCGCTTTGTGAATGAATTGCCCTTTATCTCTTTCCCAAATGATGCTATCACAGCTTAACTGGCACTAACACAGCTGTTCACAGCTGCACACAAGATGTTAGCAAGAGCACAATGTCAACCATTTGTCCTTGTGTGGAGCAGCTTAATTTATTTCCTTTGAGGATGAAGTCTGATATTGTGTTCTAGCAAGAATCCAATCAGCAAATCTAAAAGACATTCAGAGGTCAGATTTAAGGGATGAGATGAGATTCTGTGTCTGATTCTTCTTGTGGCTATCTCCCCCTGCCCCTCAAAACCTACCGAGTTGAGAACTGATCTTGATGATGAATTTGTTTTTAATAGACCCTGAGCAGGAAGTGAACTGAGGTGGAAAAAATGTTCTTATTATTTGAGGGAGAACCATAGCCACTCTTCACCTCTCAGCTGGGTCAGCTGATGCCAGAATGTTCTTCACGTACCAATTAAATGCAATGTGAGATATATATATATAGCTAGATATATAGATAGATATATAGATATAGAGCACCTACTGCATGCCAAGCAAATGTGCAGGACCAAAAAAGGCAATAAAAAGTTTTGATTTTCATTGGAATTTAAGTTTCATGTCTTGCTGCTGAATGCCTTTAACATGCCTGGCACAGTTTAGATGTTCAATAAATGTTGAATAAATGAATAAATAATGCACTCTGTAAATCAATCTCATAAGCCAACCCAGATAGATTGGTAGCAGCTGCCCAGAGGGCTGTACCAAGAAAAATCCTGAGGCTATATTTAAGCTCAGTGGGAAATGTGACCTGGTTGATTAGCAGTGTCTGTCAAGGGCAGAAGAGGGGTGAAATCAAGTGTGTGATATATTCGCCTTTTGGGGGCTAAACATAAGTAATATAGCTATTCTTACCCTCCCTCTCACTGTATCTTTAAAACAAAAAAAAAATTTCTTTTCCTTCAATTTCTAAAACAAGCTAGGTGGCTGTCAGGGTCTAATCAGAAATAAAAATCTTCTGCAGTCATGGCCCCTATCTATTCTGAATCCATCATTCTTTCTCCACTCAGGAGGGAAGAGCAAATATATCGGGGTTTGAGTCATTCAAAGAGACTGCTGAAGGAAATTCTATTTCACTACTGTCACAGTGTTCACTGCATCTTGTTAAACCGAAAAACATTAAAATATAAAACTTTAAATCTCACCCTCAATTGACTCAGCTTCCCTGTTGCAATTCACTTTATCAAAGCCAGAGGAGCAAGTTCTGACACTACTTACTGGGAGAAGATGTTGCAAAACAACATATATTTTAGATGTTGTCTTGAAATTCGTAAAATGGTCTATCCAACTGACCCAGAGCTCTAGTGGAGTGACACTGTGCAAGTAATTTGGCAAAAAAGTTTCACTAACAGCTAACCTCTAGTTACAGAAGCCATGCCAATTTGCCTGATCTTTAGGCAATTAGATCCAAAAATGTGGCAACAAAACACAGCCAACTTTTTTCTTTATACACTTTGGTTTGAATTTGTGATAACAAGTATGTGTTACTTTATAAATGGGAAAAAAAATTCATATGGATATAAATAAAATACATATGGATGTATTTTAAAAGGCAGTGTTTCTAAAAAGATATCTTTCTCTGAGATTAGAACAAAATGAACCAAAATATTCAAAAGTGGATGTTTTTAAATGGAATTGCAAGTACTTTTATTCTTATTTAAAATTAAGCAAGAAAAGTGATAGAAAAGCTATATTAGAACATGAAAGCAAGAGGAAGTAAAGAATGAGGTTGATATCCATGCTGTATAACAAGTTATTACTATAAAATTAATGTGACATAATACTTGATTTGATAAGATTCTACCTTTTCCTGTTTTTGTTTCTAAAAGTATTTGCTAAAAAAGTAAATAAGGGTGAAGAAAGATCAGCTTCAAGTATATCTAAATTCAGAAGTTTATGTATTCTGGGGATTTGGTGGAGATTCATATCATGGGACAGATACAACACTGGGGACTATAAACAGGAGTAAATCTAATTTGGTATTCTGAATATTTCCTTTTTAAGATTTGACAACCAAATGAATATACAACAAATATATAATTGGCTCTCAAGCACATTAAGAAAAATGCTACATAATTCATTAGATACAGTAGTAGATATTGGAAATGTGTCAAAATTTATTCTAAAGTGCCAACATTTTCACTTACATAAAAGTAATCACTGCATAAAAATTGTTGCCCATAGCCCAGACCAATAGAAATATAAAATTCCTTAGCTACAAACTAGAGATGATGAAAAAAGGAAACTACATAATGTGGCAGACTAGAAAAAGTCTAAACTTTGCACAAAGCATCAATCTCGAGACCTAATTAGTGCCCCTTGGAAACTAGTTTTTCAATTAGAGATTTGAATCAATGCCAGAGACATGAGAATGAATTTGCAAAATGTGCTTCCATCCACCTTTTTTAGCTTGAGGATTTCAGTTACAAGAAAATGTACCAAGAAAATAAAAATCTATTACAGAAGAGAGAATCCTTCACAGACCAATGAAGATAAGAAGGAAATCTTTTGTGTTCCAAAACCCATGAAGGAAGTCTTAAAGACTTCAGTAGACAATAGTTAAAGGAGAGAAGGAGAAAATAAACCTATCTAATGTGTAAACTCCAAGCTATTCAGAGCAGGCCTCTTCAAACCTTCTAGGTATTGATTTGGCCTCAGGATTATCATAGGGGATGATGAAATATCATTGTTGATGGAGCAGGATGGTACTTTGGAAACTTGCTTTGGGTCCTCCTTGAGTTTTCCTACTATTAAAGAAGGTAGGCAGGGCTCTGTGTTCTCTTCCCTCATGGGGTTTGAGTTATATGGCAGAAAACAGAATTTGCCTCAAGAGAACCCTTGCTGCCTGTTTTTTTTTTTTTTCTTTTTTTTTCTTTTTTTCAAAAGTCTGCTTATTGATTAGGCCACTATTATTTTGGTTCTTCATCACTTGTAATTGAACCTAATTCTATTAATAAATGAGATTGAAATTACTACCAACCTGAATAGATGGTAGTTCAAAGTAAATTTAATTTGGTTTTAGAGAAATGGTGTTAAATTATTTTTGCACAACAGAGCTTGGGATATAATACCTGTTCTTGTTCTAATAAATTTAGAAGAAGGTACACTTATCCTGGAGATGGTCCCAGTACAACTAAAACTTCAGTATGCATAAGAATCACCTGAAAAGTGTTAAAATACAGATTGCTGGGACCTAGCTCAGAATTTCTAATGCAGAAGATCTTGGTAGGGATGAGAACTGCATTTCTAACCAGTTCCCAGGTGATGCCGATACTGCCGGCCCAGGACATAGTTTTGAGAATCGTTTTTCTAGATCAATTCTCAAACTCTCTGAAATAAAGGACAAGTTTTATTTTGTTTTTCAATCTGACCTGAACTGATGCTTTTGTAAAATACAAGAAAAATAAATTACTAGAAAAGTGAAATAATGTAAAGGTAATACAAATACAAGCCCCATTTTTAAAATTATCATTTGGATCCAACAGACATAAAATTACGCTGCAAATTATTATAAAGGTTTCCAAAAGCTGACTCTCAATGTCTATGCTGACCTGATCTTGGACTGGTTTCAGAAAGTAGACAGATTGGCCCCAGATCCCTGGCCCACTATAGCACTCCCAGCCTGACTGAGAAGTATTGGTTTAGAGGCTCTTCTGATTCTTCCTGTCTTGGAAATTTCTGGAGTAGAATCCAAAGACCTCAAGCCTGGGCCCAAATCTTCTACCCTGACCAGTAATCATTAGCAGTCTTTTTTTCTTGATGACAGTGATATAAAAGAGGTGATTTGTTTGAGGGCTGGTTCAATAATACAGAGAGCTTCCTTTTCTCTTAGAGCATTCTAGAGCAGCCTCCACTGACAAAACTTCAAAGGAAGTTCTCAGCAAACAAGCAATTGTCATCTGATCTCTGTCCCTACCATGGGATCTTCACTTTCAAAGCACTACTGACCAATAATTGGCAACATATTTTGAGCACTCACTATGTGCCAGGAACAATAATAAATTGCTTATAATTAATGTATGTGCTTTACAGGTATTTTCTCTTATAAGTTGTCAACAACTTCACACGGCAAGTGTAATCATCATATTCATTCACAAAGGGGAAAAAAGGAGACCCCAGATAGTGAAATAACTTGCATGAGATCATACAGTGGGAAGTGGGCACTTACACCCAAGTCCCATGTGTCTTCAGGGGCCATGTTTTTAACCTGCAGGCTTTACTTCTCATTTCACCCAAGATCCTCTCTTGCAGAAATCCAGCACAGAGCAAGCTGTGTACTTTGTGCAAAGCATCCTGGATAGGAAGCACAAGACCCAAGCTTAAGTCAGGGCTCTGCCCACAACTAGCTAAGAGCCTAGAAGTCATTCTCCTCTTTGGGCATCACTGAGTCCTCATCCATAATTTTCTTCAAGAACTGATGTTCCTTGAAGGGTTATAAGACATTGTAGAACAAATGAGCTCTGTGGTCAAATAAATTTAGGAAAGACTGAATGGAATATCACCCTCTGTGAGATTCATATTGCCTGCATATTAAAGGATCTTGACAGGGCTCAGAGCATAATACCCCAAAAGATGGTACCTTAGCACACAGGAAGTTTAAGCTGAAGGAAACTGGAAAAAAGCCGCAGAAGCAGGAAGGTCTCTCTGACCTTCTCTCCAAGCTCTTCCCCTCCCTTCCAAGCAGGCCATAAACTTGAATTCCTGATGCTTTTATTCCCTGAAGCAGGCCATAAATCCAAGGGAGTTTACTCTCTGGCCCTCTTCTTTCCTTCTCCACTAAAGGCTCTGTGACAGTGTCCTGCCCTATACCCAGGGGAAAGGGAAGTCACATGGATGCCAAAAAGAAATCCAAACAAACAGGCCTTGCCGAGAACACCCCACCCCATTTATTACCATCAGACCATACCTTTTTGTCTTCCAATCATACTTTGGCATGACTGTCCATAAACATATATGGTTTCCCCTGTTGTCTTTGCATCTTCATTTCTGAAGTCTCCTGTGTCACAAAAAATTTATATTGAATAAATCTGTATTTATAGTAATACAAATATAAATGTGTTTATGTTAAATATATGACATTAAATACATTTGCTTTTCTTTTGTTAATCTGTCTTTTGTCATAGGGGTCTTGGCCAAGAGCCTAGTGATGTACGAGGAAAAAATAATTCTTTTCCTGAACCCTTGCCCTCTAAAAGACCCTATGGTAAAAACGGTTTTGATTTTATTAAACCTAGCATTTCCCAAAAGTAATTGATCAGAGAAATCCTTTTTCATACAACAAATATCTTAAATAACAGTGGATGTTCATGGAACGTATTTCTGGAAGCAATACTCAAAAGTTCTGAAATTCTGTGAGTCTACTCCTGGTGTTCCTGCTCACATAGAATGCGGTGTGGCAGGAGGAGGGGAGTCAAAAATAATAACAAAAACAATAATAACAGCTAGACCTTATGGTACGTGCTATCATTAACTATGTGCTGGACTAGAAACCCAGACACTATTCTAAATGCTTTACATCTACTAACTTAATCCATATAACCACCCTATTATAATAATTATAGACATTATTATCCCCATTTTGCAACTAAGGAAATTAAAGAGAGGCCCCAAAAAGAGCAATTATATGTTTCTCAAACTGAATCCTTTCACTGAGACTTAGGTTTTCCCACATGCCCTAAGAGTGTCAAGAACAGAAATAGAAGCAAGCCGTTTATATTTTATTTTGTTGCCCAGTGTGCTTTATTTGCATACCAAAAGCATGCTGATGTGACTGTAATCTGCACTGTTGAATGTTTCTGACTTCCTTTTAGTCTCCCTCTGTTTAGCATGGTTCACACTCATTACTCTCTTGATCAAGTTACAGACAAAAGCAGGCTCCAAATTAGGCCTATTAAGATTTGTTTTTAATGAGGAGATAATTTTTCTAACAACACAGGCCAGATTCATGTGGGTATGATTACAAAATCAGGCCATATTGCAGAAAAGCAAAGCAAAGCAGATTTTTGCCTGGTCTTCAAATAATTTCAGCCAGCCTTGATTAACTTGATGACACTTAAAAGCACAAAGCAAATATAGGATCTGGGACTTTGGAGTGATGAAGCAATCACATGGCCTCTGTTCTGCTATGACAGTGCGAAAGTTTCTGTATCAGGGATTAGAACTTCTTAGAAGGCAAATGCTCAGATTTAAAATATTAGAAATCACAGAGGAAAAGATAAATGCATTCTTTCCACCAGTGTGAGCTTTAGAAAGCAAGCTGTCTCGCTTTCCTTAAATTCATTTGCCAGTCCTTTTTGTCGTTCAGGAAGAAATGCCCTGCTCTGTGTGACTGAGGAAAAGGATTTGATAATTAACCCCAAGCTTTTGGGGTCTCTTTGCATGTGTTTTATTTTCATTTTAGTTATAATAATATAATAATGTAAAAATAATCTGCATACTCACTTTCTAAAATATTCTTTGCCAACATCATTTCTACATATATTTGTAGCCCCTGCATACTTATTTTGTAAGTATTGGCTTAAGAAGTCTTTATCTGGTTGGGTGCAATGGCTCATATGCCTGTAATCCCAGCATTTTGGGACGCCAAGGAGGGAGGATCGCATGAGCTCAGCAGTTTGAGACCAGCCTAGGCAACACAGTAAAACTCTATCTCTACAAAAAATACAAAAAAATTAGATGGGTGTGGTGGCATGCACCTGTAGTCTCAGCTACGCGGGAGGCTAAGGTGAAAGTATCACCTAACTCTGGGGAGGTTGAAGCTGCAATGAGCTGTGATTGTGCCACTGCACTGCAGCCTCAGTGACAGAGTGAGACCCTGTCTCAAAAAATAAAAAATAAAAAATCTTTACCTGTACCATAATAAATACTTAAATTATCTCTTTATATTTAAAATCTACCTAAAGTATCCATTTATCTGACACTCTTTTACAATAATATATATAAGGAGAATTGATTTGGGCCATCATGCCCCAATTTTGGTCCAAAGCCTCTTTCATCTCTCATTGTAGCACCACAATGAAGACAGTGACAAGCCTCATTAAATATTTAAAGTTGTTGAGCAATTTCACCTTGTTAAAGTTGTTTGTGGAAAACTGAATTTAGCCTGAATGTCAAGGAATAGCTCTTAACCACAGGCAGGAGATCGAAAAGAAACCTTTAGCAAGACCAATGGTTAGAACACAATACATGACTCTACATGTAGAACTGACACAGCCAAATGGCTTATTCGTTCTGTATTAACATGGTGGAAACCATCATGTAGCATCTGGGGGCTGAGTGAATGAATCAGAGGAAAAAAAAAAAAGGCCCAGAACAGAAGGCCAAGGCTAACTAGTCCTTGAACAGCATCACACCCCCTACACTCCATCCTGACACACACACAACCACACACTCTCACACTCACAAATGACTCGGCATGATCACTTGTACAAGGCAAATGTTCAATAAATGTAGTCTCATTTCAGTTCTGTAAATATCCTCGTTTCTTTCCGGATGTAGTCCTTTCACACAGTATTTTGGATTTCTAGAACTCTCTTTACCCAAACATTACATGGCTCACTTTTTCTCTGTCTTTATTTTTCAGCTCAAATAAATCAGAGCAGCTTTTCCTGAGCACACTTCCTAAAAAGCATCTACCCAAACCCTGTTATTCTCCATCTCCTCTCCTTATTTATCTTCAAATATAACACTTACTTGATTTATTCTTTTATTAGTTTTGAACCTGTACCCCTTATTCCAGGGTATGATCTTTGAGGGTATAGAAAATATCCATCTTCTCCACTGCTGTATCTCCTACCCATAATGTGATAAAAGAGACACTTCATGTTTTCTTTACTTGGAAGAATGTATTTTCTTGCTTTTCTCTCATTGGCCATTTTGATTTTCACTTCCTATTATAAATTGGCCTCTGTGGAGACAAAAGTTGAGTTTTATGTGGATCCCAACAATCCTTTAATAAATGCCTGTAACCTCCTTCCCCATATATTTTGAGTGTGATTTTACCCACTGTCTCTCAATGAGTGTTGTAGGTAAAGATGTTGGAGAACTCTATCCTTAGAGACTTCACTTAATATTTCTCCCAGATGAACTGACTGCCTCACAAAAGGACTCTTTGTCTTTTGAATTTAACCGGCTCTTTGTCTAGGCTGGCATCCAGCACCACAGGAGTAAAATGTCAATGCTCTCTATTTAATCAATGTTTTATTCTTGGCTTGTATTTCAATAGGGGGGATGAAACAGCAATTCAAATGTCATTGCAGATATATTTTTTGTCCCTTTTTCATTCCGGGTCTATGTTATGTGAATCTCAATAATTTAGAATTTATTTTCAGTCTGTACAAATCCCTTGGAGAAATGTACTATTCATTTGCTAAAAGACGCAACAGCTGTGTTGACCTGACACCAAAACCAAGACTCTCTCTCCCCCAACCCAAAGGGTCATTTTATTACATTCAGCATTTTTTTTTAAGTCAAAATTGCCAGATTCTATTGTTTGCAGACCAATGGTCCCCTAGGTTCATTTTGTGGAAGACTAATCTATAGTGATATTTTGGCAAAAATTGTTTCAATGGGCCAAAGATTTGAGAAACAGTATTTGCATATTTAAGTTCTGAGAAGACCTGATAGAAAATCACCTAGCTTAATTTTGTTTAACTTTTAGGAGTTTCCTCATTTATTTGACTGTAGCAATGGTTCACAAACTGTGGTCCCCGTGCCACCTGGGAACTTGTTAGAAATGCAAACGACTGGGCACCACTCCAGACACAGAATCCAAAACCCTACGAGGGAGACTCGGCGATCTGTTTTCAGAAGTCTTTCAAGTGATTTTGATATATGTTTAAGTTTGAGAATTATTGGAATGTGGAATCCTTGTATTCGGACCAGCTTTTCAGATATTGGAACCATTATATTCAAATCATCTCGGGAACTATTCAATCGGTCTGGGGTATGGCCTGAGATTCTGCACTTCTCCCAAGTTCTCAGGTGATGTTGATGCTGCAGGATGGTGGAGCACACTGTGAGTAACATGGCCTGAAGATACTTCCAAGCTAGCACAGGCATGGCTGACATGCATGGGGATGAATACTTAGAAAGGTTCTTACCGTAGAAACTATGGGCCAACTGTCTTCTATGGCCCATCAGACCAGCCCTTCTTCACCTCTCTGTGTATGTTTGATGAAGGATGAGTGGAAATGACAACTTGATGCTCCTCACGTGGCCACACCAGGTGTTCAAAGACAGACACATGGGAAAGGAGGTGGTAAGGCCAGACATTCCTGAGTATGGGAATTTTTCTTGCACTTACAAGTAAAAATTAGTAGCTATGTGGTCTTGGGCAGCTTACATAACTGTTGAGAGACTCAAGCTCCTCATCTGTCAATTGCAACTATTAATGGCACCTGTCTTGGTAGTTGTATTGAAAGTTACCTATGACATTCTTGTAAAATGCTTATACTGTGGTACATAGTAAATACTTAAATGATGATGATGATTCTATTAAACTGAAATATCCTAAAGTCAGCCTTATAATTCAATAGAAAAAAATGTTGTTGGCCAGGCGCAGTGGCTCATGCCTGTAATTACAGCACTTTGTGAGGCCAAAGCAGGAGGATCACTTGAGCCCAAGAGTTTGAGACCAGCCTGGCCAACATGGCAAGACCTTGTCTCTACAAAAGTTAAAAAATTAGCCAGGTGTGATGGTGTGTGCCTGTAGTCTCAGCTACTCTGGAGGCCGAGTGGAGAGGCTTGCTTGAGCTCAAGAGGTCGAGGCTGCAGAGAGCCATGTATATGTACTCTCCAGCATGGGCAACACAGCAAGACTCTGTCTCAAAAAAAAAAAAAAAGGATTTTGAAGCAAAGGTCAAATTATCTTATTTTTCCTTCATTCCTGGGGAAGGCAAACGACCTACTTTCACCTTGATTCCCTTCTTACAGCTCTATGTGCTAAAACCACCTACCTAGGTATCTACTAAATTGTTAATTGTGTGGTTTGTTAGTAGAATTGCCGCTGATTCTTATTTTCTTCTTTATAATATGACTGTGATAAAAAATAGTCTTATATAAAGGTTGACAACTTGCCTCATTTCAGGACATTCCAAGGGAGATTCCAGGTCTTTTCTTGTGTGGATCTAGGTAATGGGTAAGTCAGCCAAACAGAAGAGTTTACAGGGATCTAGCTGGGAAGGCCAGAGAACCACGTGAAGAAGAAATGAGTTGATAGGTGCTAAAGCATAGGCAGGGAGAGGAGACAGGACAGCTAGCAGGGGTCGGAATGTGGGGTCAAGTTGGAGGGAGAAGAGAGATTGTGAAAGAGTAACTGTTGTCTGCTGTGATGAAAGCAATTAATAGATGGTGCAGAGGGAATTGAGGGCATTTCGGTGGTCATGAACAACAATTTCCTGTCTCCATATCTCTTAGGGAGATGTTGGTGGAAAGTTAAATTTATTTTCATTGATTTTTGGATGTCAGATTTGTGCTTTTGTTGAGTGTGACAACATGTGGAGACTGACCTTTCAGTCATTTTCAATAATACCAAATTGCAAAGTAATACCTTGGCATTTTGGTATTATTTCAGTAATGTGTTTCCGTATTTTAAAAATATAAGTATTTATTACATTTGTAATCAGAAAAAATAAGAACCCTCACTTTTAATAAAAGAGTTATCCCCTTACATTTTAAACACCCAAATTGTCTAAATTAGTGAATCTCAACTCACACTATTTCACCTTCCCAAGGGACATCTGGCAAGGTCTACAGACAGTTTTGGTTGTTTCAACTAGGGGTGTGTTAGTGGCTTCTGGCAGATAGACGCTAGGAATGCTGTTAAACATCCTATGATAACAAGACAGCCCCCATAACAAAGAATTGTCTGGTCCCAAATGTCAATAATGCTGAGTTTAAGAACCCTGGTCTAAATTATTAAAAACTTCCCTCCTTGATTCCAACTCCAGTGCATGATCTGAATATTTCCTCCAGATATAATTTATGCACTTTCAGTAATCATAATTCAAAGGGGAAAATATTCTGCATATCAGATAAGAAACATTAACTATCCTTAGGCAACTTTTTCTTCCACCTTATCTGAAATAGTAAGTACCGTGAATAAACTACCAATTTTGTCCGGAGACTCCTACTATGATAATAAAAATAACCAATGAATAAAATGTCCAATTCTACAATATCAATTAGTTTAGAAATTTTCTTGCCAGTAACAAAATTCAGTTCAGAAATTTTCTTGCCAGTAACCAAATTCATGCTGACCTTTATCTGATTTGCATGGCCGGTGTTTTCCATGAAACTGCCATCTGAAGGAGATGCGGCCAAGCATTTGAAGAGGCAGTGAGGCCAACTGAGTAGAGCCTTGTCTAGTCCTGAGTTTGTGTCTAGGCCCAGCTCTACCACCAGTGAGCTCGTATCCTTGGGCAAGTCACATTGCTTCTCTGAAGCTCAACTGCCTCATCTGCAAAATTAACAGGAATTGGATTATATTCACCCTAAGGTTCCTTCTGGTTCACTCTAAACTCTAGTTGAGTGCCTTCTCCATGAGGAATAATGCCTCTCAGTTGGCCTTTGAAAGGGCATCAAATAAAGTTCAGGTCAGCCTCAAGTTCAAGGAAGTGTTTGTGCTATTTCTGAAAAAAATAAGAAATGGACAAGAGTATGGCAACTTGCCACTGGCAAAGCGAATATATCTAAATGGAAATTTAGCATTTTCCTCTGCTAAGACAAATCTGCATCCAAGTAGAATTTGAAAAATGGCAAAATGTAGATTCCTGCTGAAAACAATGAATCAACATTAACATCTGTTAGACTTCTTTTTTTTTTTTTAAGGTCAGGCCACACCATATTATAAACCATGGTCAATCCTTGTTCACTCCCCTTATTATCCCCCTTCCAAAAACAAGTAAAATAACAAATTTTTAAAAAAACAACATAAAAACAATTTGCATTGACTTCATTGTAACAGAATGTAAACCAAAACACATCTTTGAAGTTTCCTGTACAGATGGCTTGTCCCTGCGCTCCCATGGTAAATGCTAAGCAAAAAAGTGACTGAACCACAGGAAGTTGAGGAGACCACAAATATCTAACACCACAGAGATGGCCCAGAAATGCCACTGACAAGCATGAAATACATTAAACCAATGCATCTTTTCATAGCAGTCCCTTTCTGGGTCGTTTGAGGCAAATCTTTTTAATTTGAACTTGTTGGTAGGTTCTTAAGTATCAGCAATAGGACCTGCTCTCTTGAGCCCATTTTTCTAGTGAGAGAGATGGATTTGTGCTGCTTTGTTGATGGCTGACACCTGGTTCCCCTGGTGACTTGTAGCAGGCATTAGTAAGGCTTCCTGAGGTCTGGAGTCATGCTGGGCAAACTTCTTTGACCTCAACATATAGAAATATATTTGAAGTCATTACCCAGTAAAAATGCACACACAACCACGCGAGCTCACACAATAATCTACATACTCACAGTAATCTACATAAGACTTTCGTGAACCAGTCCCCTTACATGTGCCAGATGCTGTAATGTTTATACTCTTTTATTTTTTTCTTCTTCCTTTTTTTAAGTACTGGCCACACTCCATTACATTAATTTCATGACCCACCTTGAAAAAAAAGATGCCAATCTTTTAATACAATTTTTAGTAATACTAATGATGATTGGTACAAGGTCTTATCTCACCTCTCTGTCCCCAAACCAAACCATTCTCTGTCCAATCTTCAGAGTGATGTTTTCAATGTGTAAAATGTATCATGTACTTCTTCTACTTATAACTCTTCACTGGTTCTTCCTTGTTCTTAGGATACATGCTTTAAGGCTCATTGGTACATAGTTACCACTCAGCCTTTCCAGCTTTAACTCTTCTACCCCATCTCTGCCCTTGCCTTTCCCATAACACATAGCCACATACAGAGTTCCCTTCAAAGCATCACAGCCTCTTGGATCTATCTTGGATTTATCCTGTATGCCAGTGCCTTCTGCCCGGATAATTGTCCCTACCCTACTCTCCCTTTGCCCTCTCATCCCTCAGGCTGAAATGCCTGCCCTTCTTAATTGGGTCCCATGTCTTTGATCCTTTCATAACAATGACACAGGCTGCATAAACACATACAGAAAAGGTGAATAAACCATGCAAGAACTGAATCTTGAACTGTCTGGCTTAGAGCATCATAGAATTTTTAATCAAAAAGGGACCATAAAAATTATTAAGAGAAGTGGTTGCCAACTTATGCTCTTTATATTCAGGGGTCAGTGATGGCCACAATGAGTGTCTGAGTACTGTGGTTCAATATTTTAGAAAGTCCAGGGGAAAAGTACCCACTAAGATGTGATAAGAGTGAACAGGGAACCCAACCTAAGATGGTGAAGAATATTCCTTCCCATGAAGGAATGATTCTAACGTGAGTCATACACGTTTCCCTCATTGTACTTGGTACTCCCCAAACTTATTGTTATTTGTCTGCTATATATTATCCACCTCCCTTAACTGCAATGTGTGTTAAATGGGACTTGGACTATTTCGTTGGCCTCTATAGCCCCCTGGCCTTGTGGCAGAGTTTGCAAACTATGGCCAACCAGCCAAATCTGACCCACTACCTGTTTTTTGTAAATAACATTTTATTGGAACACTTCCAGACCCACTGGTTTACATATTGTTCGTGGCTGCCTATGTGAT